>NC_000002.12:44129746-44432776 GCF_000001405.40 Homo sapiens
CTGAAGTCTTCAAAGGAAATTCATCTAAAAAATATCGATTAATGATTCCAACTCCACGGTCAAAAATTCTTAGACTTGATAAACTGAAGTCCTCTTATCCTACACAATTTTACGATGAGACTTTGTCCCTGATCTAAAAGTATCATGTGTATGATTTTCTTATCAAGAGACAATTAACTAACACCAGACACCAGCACCTCTCTCAACCTCTTTAAACAATTAGCATCAAATTATGTCTTTTCTTTTGGAAATTAAAAAGGAAATCACTAACAAATGCTACCCAATTACCAATTACAAGATTTTGTTTTTCCTATTTGATAGTGGGCTTACAAATACTAGTGGGTTGTTGTTGTTGTTTTTGTTGTTGTTGTTGTTTTTCCTGGCTATACCATCAGGAGTCTGACAATTTTGATGGAACATTTTCCATCAGCAACAAAAGTATTGGTTCACCTAATTTGACACTATCAAAAGCAGTATCATGTGATGACCTTAGTTTTGTTTTTCTGTACAGATAGAGAGCTATATGTAAAACAAGCATGCAATTTGTGCCATGAGCAATATATTACCATTATTATTACTATATAGATAAATTCTCAAAGAAAAATAGAAATTTCTTTTTACTAAGCTTTTGTTCATTTTGTTTTGTTTTTACAACTTGGCTGCCTGTCTGCCTTTATTAAGATAATACTTATTCAATATCTAGTTAAAATAAAAGATTTATGTCTAACTGAATAAGCAGCATAATTATTTTGTCAGAGAGTCATGAAAATGAACATCTTCTTAATTTTTTGGAATGGTATAGTTTTTACAAGGTATCATTCAGATAAGGTCAGACCAAATAGAAGTTTTGCTCATTGGATTAAAAATAGATCAGCTCAGTGACTCAGCATGTAGCTTATTGCAGTTGCCTACTGAGAACATCCTAATTCTTCCTTGTACTACATTACAGTGGAGTACTCATGTGGCTTTATGGGGATTAGCTTATTTAGCTATTAGAAATAAGATCGCAGTATATCTAGGACATTTTGTGAGACACGACACTGAGTATTACGGGTCAAATTCTGGTTAAGTATACATAGGCGTATATTCAACCTATCTATTTAAATTCCTTTTACTAAGAGTGTTATGGGTAACATTCTGGTTAAATATAAGCAAGCACATAGTCAAAATAATAATTTAAGTTTCTTTTAATAAATTTACAGTAATATTATGGCTAAATTAAAAGTGAAAGGTGGAATCAGGTTACAGAGAGAACTTGACTGTGCTCTGATTTCTAGAGCAATGCCTGCTTTATTATTTCATGAAACTTCCTACCTGATTCTGCTGCTGTGTGGGAAACTTTGGTAGGGGAAGGGGGCTTTAATACCTCTCTTTTGTTTTAAATACCACTGAAGGGAATCAGAATATGCCACCTCAATATGCCACTTTGGCATAAGGACTACTTGAGCTCAACACAATTGAGAAATAGCAGAAACAGGAGAAGCTCTTTGCCTTTCCCCTATCTGCCTAAAAGCAGGGCATTAAATTTTCATTTGTAAAAGTGTCCCACTCTCCCATATAAGGGAGAGGAGAATGACTCCAGAGACAACTCTTATCACCAGGGACAACTTGAATCTGCATAACAAACCTTACTAAACAACCCTTATCTACCACACATTTCCTAGTCACTTTCCCACAGTTTACCTCTCTATAACCCAAATGCCCTTTTTCTTTGTCTAGTCACTTGTCCACAGTTTATTGCCCTTTGTTAAAATGGTATATAAGCCCCCAGGTCTAATCACCTGTTTGGGTTTTCACTTCTTTGCTGTGAATCCCCTTGCACATAAAATAAAATTTGTAGGCCTTTTCTACTGTTAATCTGCTTTTGTCAGTTTAATTTGCATATTCCAAGTAAGGAACCCAAGAGTTCAGAGGAAAAGTTTTTTCTACTTCTATATCCACATTCAGGCAGTGACCAGGAAAAGTTATCTCTAGTCCCAATCAGATAATCTTATGCACAAATGGAAGTTCTCCTAAAAGGAGACAGGAGGAATAGAAGACCCATCCTCCCTCCAAAATATCTCCCTCCAAATTATTGGCTATCAATAGAGAAACACTGGGCCAGGCATGGTTGCTCATGCCGGTAATCCCAGCACTTCAGGAAGCCAAGGCAAGAGGATTGCTTGAAGCCAGGAGTTCGAGACCAGCATTCACTTAAAAATCACCTTTGGGCGGGGTACTGTGGCTCACACCTGTAACCCCAGCACTTTGGGAGGCTGAGGTAGGAGGATCACTTGAGGTCAGGAGTTCAAGATCAGCTTGGCCAACATGGTGAAACCCCATCTCTACTAAAAATACAAAAATTAGGCAGGCATGGTGGCATGCGCCTGTAATCCCAACTACTTGGGAGACTGAGGCAGGAGAATCGCTTGAACAGAGGAGGCAGAGCTTGCAGTGAGCCAAGATTGTGCCCTTGCACTACAGTCTGGGCAACAGAGCAAGACTCCATCTCAAAAAAAAAAATCACCTTTGTACAGCCATCCTATGTTACATGCCAAAGATAAAAAAATGACGCTTCCTTGAGCTCCTGATTTATCAGATCCCTGAGTAAATAGACAGGTAAGTTGTGATGTGAGGGGGAAAAAAAGTATGAATATGAGAAGTAGGAGAATGCAGGTCTTGCATAGCCCTAAAGTGGAGCATCACCTTGAGTCAGCCAGGATAGCAGGCCTAGAAGGAGCAGTTTGAGGGCTCTAGAGGCTTTGAAGAGAGGCATAAAATCAACATGGGGTTCTGAGAGGGGCAGAAAATGAGCTTCATTCTCACAAAATTTGGCCTTGAGCTAACTTTGGAAATATCATCTGGTTTAGTCCATCCTCTCTTAGGTTAGGCCTTCAACAAAACAGAGGTAACTAAACCTATCTTTGGCAGGCAGTCTATATTCCTTTAATATGGCTATTTTTCCTCCAGAATTGAATTTACTGTAATTTCCTCCCACTCCCTGTGGCGTGGAGACCTTTCTTCTCTGCTAATATTATTAATTGATAGCAAGAAGTTATGGAACACTTAATTGATAAGGACTTAAAGTGAGTTCCTTGCTAGTAATATTTGCATTTTAACTCTTCAAAGGAGACCCCTAAAACTGCAATCTAAAATCAGACTATAAGGTTAACTTATAAGGTTATTCTTATTCACTATCTCAAGTCTCTGTCCTAGGTCATAGCCCCCTAAAGTTTCATTGAAAAATAACAGACATATTAAGTAGGTAGTTAGGCAGAGAGGAGTAGGGCAGTAGAGAGCCTCCCTGACCCCCTACCCAGGAATGTCAGGTGACCATCAGGTGATGGTCAGGTGGTTGTTAAGCTGTCTCTCTGAAATAATAATTGGTTGCAGCCAGTCCCAGGGAAAGGCAGTCTCCCAATAGATAGAAAATACCTGACACTGGTGATCAGCAACTTCCCGATAAGATCTCAGGAGCTGGGCAAATGGGCTCAAGCATGCGCACTGAGGCAAAATGGTGGAGTTTAACTACTGTATGACATTCCTCTAGGAACACTTGACCGGTAAGGAAAAAATGCCTCAAATGAGCATGCACGCAATTTCAGTAAACACACTGCACATGCAGACAGCCCACCCCAAGGGAAGAATAAGGGACAAAGAGATGTAAGACCGCGGAAGCATGCCAATGTATAAAACCCAAGTCAGAGGTCAAAAAGTGGCCAGGTGCAGTGGTTCATGCCTGTAATCCCAGCACTTTGGGAGGCCAAGGCAAGTGAATCACTTGAGGTCAGGAGTTTGAGACCAGCCTGGCCAACATGGTGAAACCCTATCTCTACCAAAAATACAAAAATTAACCACACGTGGTGGCAGGCACCTGTAATCCCAGCTGCTCAGGAAGCTAAGGCAGGAGAATCACTTGAACCCAGGAGCTAAAGGTTGCAGTGAGCCGAGATGGTGCCACTGCAGTCCAGCCTGGGCAACAGAGCAAGACTCCATCTCAAAAAAAAAAAAAAAAAATCAAACAGCTCAGCTGAATCTCTCAAGTCACCTGCTTGGCCCTCTTCCAAGTGTGCTTAACTCCTTTTGTTCCTGCTCTAAAACTTTTTAATAAACTTTCACTCCTGCTCTAAAACTTGCCTCAGTCTCTCACTTTGCGTTATGCCCCTTGGACGAATTATTTCTTCTGAGGAGGCAAGAATTGAGGTTGCTGCAGACCTGTATGGATTTGCCACTGCCAACAACATGAGGCAGACTGATTAACAGGAGAAAAAGCACACAAATTTATTTAACATGTATATACATACATAGAAACCTTCCCAGTGAAGACCCAACCTGCTAATGAGGTACAGAAGCTCATATACCATCTTCAAGTTACAGAAAGAATGTGGACTCAGAGTGTGGCCAAAAACAGATTTTAGTGGCAAGATAGGTAATGGGAGGGTGAAAGGAAGAGGCTTGGCTAGTAAAGTTGGTCTTGTTTTTTTTTGTTGTTTTTTTTTTTTTTTTTTTTTTTGAGACAGAGTTTCGCTCTGTCACCCAGGCTGGAGTGCAGTGGCACAATCTTGGCTCACTGCAAGGTCCGCCTCCCGGGCTCACACCATTCTCCCGCCTCAGCCTCCTGAGTGGCTGGGACTATGGGTGCCTGCGACCACACCTGGCTAATTTTTTTGTGTTTTCAGTAGAGACGGGGTTTCACCGTGTTAGCCAGGATGGTCTCGATCTCCTGACCTCGTGATCTGCCCGCCTCAGCCTCCCAAAGTGCTGGGATTACAGGCGTGAGCCACCATGCCCAGCAAGTTGGTCTTGTTATAAAGATGAAGGCTCCTAGGTAGCAGCCCTCAGAGACAATAGATGGTAAATCTTTTTTTTTTTTTTTTTTTTTTTTTTTTTTTTTCAGATTTTGAAAGGTGTCAGATTCTCAGTTAATCTCTCCTAGATCTGGGAAAGGCCTAGAAAGGAGGGCCTGGATGAATAATGGAGACTTTCTAGAGATGCAAATTTTCCCAGTGAAAAATAGTTTCAGAGGGCTACCTTAGTTGGATGGCTTGGCAGCAGCCATTTCAAAATATATTTGGGGGGAAAATATTTTTATTTCCTTCAGCCTCCTAATTTTACTTCTTTCATTATATATCAGTTAGCTTTGTAAATGACTTAAACTAACAAACAAAACAAAACAAACAGACAGGACCTTGCTCTGTCACCCAGGCTGGAGTGCAGTGGTGTGATCATACCTCACTGCAGCCTCGAACTCCTGAACTCAAATGATCCTCCTCTCTCAGCCCTGCAAATACAGGCAAGCACCACCATGCTTGGCTAATTTTTTTTGTTTTTATTGTTTGTAGAGGTGGTATCTCCCTCTGTTCCAGGCTAGTCTTGAACTTCTGGCCTCAAGCAATCCTCCTGCCTCAGCCTCCCAAAGTGCTGGGATTACAGGTGTGAGCTACAGCTGTGTAGGGGAGAAAAAATAATTTTCTTTCTACCTTTCATAATTATTAACAGGGAGTCCCTATAACAAAAGACAGATTACCAAGAGAAAATCAAACAGAAGTTTATTAACATGCATGCCTCATGGATACATGGTGGGAGCCAGGGGCAGAATGCAGCACAAACCCCAAGAAATTAATAAATCTTCAGAGTGGATCTCAAAGAAAGTTTAAACTTCAGGCTTAAATATTACCTTTTTCTGAAACAAAGAAAGAAGGGAAAAATGAGATGGCCAGGAAAAGTACATTAAACAAAGGTAGTATTTATTATGCAGATTTAAATCCATGCCTTCTCCATTGTTCAAGAGTCTCTCATGATTTAGTCACCCTTTTCTTCCTGGTGCAGAGGAGACAGTCTTACAAATGGAGATTTCCTTTACAAATGTAAATTTCTCTTACAAAAGGATAACTATGTCTATAGTTTCTCAAAATAATCAATATGCTAAAGAGACATATTTTGGGGTGGCATATTCTGGTCTTCTACATTTGTTGGGCTGTAGTGTCCTGAGCCACATGAGTTGAGTATAAAAAAAAATAGTTGAGTAGGTAATTTTCTAAACTGTATTTAAAGGTTTATCTATCTAACTTGCCTGGGAACTACTGCTAAGGTAGACTTAAATATATTCTCTGCTCACAAATTCTTTGGGACAGAATTGCTCATAACTTCCAAAAGGCAGACTCATGTGTTGTCTTTGGGCCCCAGACCATTTCTCTTGCCTGACTCTGCTCTGGTTGTCAATGGATTGAACTCCAACAACTTCACATTTTGCTCCTACGTTCTTGGAGCTGAAAGCTGTAATCATTTCATAAGATTTTCTACGTCCTTCTTCTTGGCAAAGGAATTACAAGTTTATATAAATAGAGTTTATATCAGTCCAAGAAAATGACTTGCAAAAATTTACAAAGCAACATAAAATTAGACATAAATAAATACAGGGAAAAAATAGTGTATGATGCAAGTCTGAGAATATTGACTGATCTTTCATGCTAGATGAAATGTAAGGGCAAATGCAAAATTTCCTTCGGTAGAAAAATAAGGGAAGAGTATTTTCTCTCACTTCTTCCTTTTCTTTTGGAGTTTATTTCTCTGTCCTTGTCAAAAGTATGTAAATTATTTTAATGGCTAAATAAGCCACTGGCCAGTCTCACAACTCAGGAATGTTTCCTCAAGGAGTTGGGAGTCATCGCTTTGAAATGTTATCATTTAAGAAGATAACGCACCACCTGATGCCACTCCCATCTTTTAGTTTTGTGGGAAATGATGGACCTGCCTACATTGTCACCTGATTCCAAATTGCAAAACCTATCTAACAGTTTGCATGGATTGGGCTATGGTTCGAATGTTTCCTCCAAAACTCATGTTGAAACTTAATAGCCATTGTGACAGTATTAAGATGAGAGACCTTTAAGAGGTGGTTGGATCATGTGGGCTCTGCCTTCCTTCGTTAGTGGATCGATGCGTTATTGCAGGAGTGTGTTCCTAATGAAAGGATAAAGTTTGGCTCCCATTCCCTCTCTGTCTCTCGTGCTTGCTTGCCCTTCTACCTTCCCTGGTGAGATAACGCAGCACAAAGGCCCTTGCCAGATCCCAGTACCATGTTCTTGGGTTTTCTGGCCTCCAGAACTGTGAGAAAGAAATGTCTTTACTTTCCAATTATCCAGTCTCTGATATTCTATTACTGCAGCAGAGAACAGACTAAGAGAGTTTGTATCCACTTAGCTATAAAAAGAGTCAAATTCCTTTCTAACTTTGCAAACCCTTTAGCAGGTTTCCTGTATTGTGCATCACATTCTGGTTTAATGCTTTTTCGATAATAAAATCATTGTCTTTCTCTTCTACCTTTACGGAGAGGTTTTCTGGGTTGGGAGAAGACTTTGTTTTTAATTATATTTCTCTCAACACAGGATGAGCTGAGCTTTTCTGGCAGCTGTGATATTGATGCCAGGTAGTTTCAATCATGACATTAATCCTCTCTGTTTTCTCTAAGTAATAGAGAATAATTGCAGCATGGTGGTCAAGAATGTGGACTCTGGAATGAAAACCCTTGCCTTCAAATTCTCGCTGTGATTCACCAACAATGTAACTGTGTGCCAATCAATTAGATGTTACGCTGAACTGTCCCCAGTCTAAATTTTCTCATCAGCTCTTCTTAGCCGCAGTTTTCTCATCTCTAAAATGCTGAATTATGAATAGTGCTCACTCTGTAGGGTTGTAAAAATTGGGTGAAACAGCATATGCTTGGTACAGTGCCTGGCATACAGTAAGCACTCAAAAACATGTTAGCTGTTATTTAAATTCTGACAAAGGAATTCATATTAATTATTGCTGTATAACTAGATTATTCTCAAAATGACATTTTTATTCTTAAGAAAGTGTTTACAATTCATTTTATTTTTAAATTTTAATTTTTAACACTGAGCGCTAGTGTTATAAAAAGGAGTAATTGTTTCATCTAAGTAACAAATCTCTCACAGAGATCTAATTAAAAATAGAAACAAGTTTTTATAGTTTTTCCCCTTCCTTTGTACTTTATTCTTAAAACAGGTCTTTTTTAAACCCCAGGTTCTAGGGGTAACTATTAACAGTTTGATGTGCATCCTTCTAGACATATAAGTCCAGTTCCCCACTCCACCTGGATCATACTACACATAGCAATTTGCTTTAAAGACCTAGCAATATATCATTGATATAGTTCCATGTGAGATGATATTGTAACTGTAATAGGTTCATTGCCCAATGCGTGGCAAGTCAATACGCTGAGACACCAGGTTGCAGCAGAGGAAATGGTTTACTCACAGGGCCACCAAACAAGGAGATAGGAGGAAACCTCAAATCCATCTCCCCAGGGAGTTTGGAGCTAGGGATCTTAAGGGTTTTGGAATTGGCCAAACTGTGGAGATCATTCATTGGTTGAAGAATGCAGGGTAAAGTCATGGAACAGGGAAATGAAGAAACTGTATTCTCATGCTGATTTAGTATCTCTATGGGGGTCTTCAAACTGGTTGGTATCAGCTGTTCCAGTGGATTTCAGAATCTGAAACACATTCTAAGTAGTTTTTTTTTTCCTTCTTTCTTTCTCTCTTTTTTTTTTTTTTTTTTTTTGAGAGTCTTTGTCATTTAGGCTGGAGTGCAGTGATGCAATCTCAGCTCACTGCAATCTCTGTCTTGCAGGTTCAAGTGATTCTCATGCCTCAGCCTCCTGAGTAGATGGGACTACAGGCATATGCCACCACGCCTGGCTACTGTGTGTATTTTTAGTAGAGATGGGGTTTTGCCATGTTGCCCAGGCTGGTCTTGAACTCCTGGTCTCAACTGATCCACCCGCCTTGGCCTCCCAAAGTGCTAGGATTACAGGCATGAGCCACTGTACCCGGCCCTAAGCAGTTTTCAAACAAAAACCTTATGATTCCAACATCAGACATCTTATCTATTGGAGCAATGGGGATCCAAATCATCAGTATCTAGTGCTACATGATTTTACAAGGATGTGGGCCAACTTGCAGCCTCATTAATGCTTAATTATAACTATATTTCTGTCCAGAATTCTTGTTAACCCTGTGAGGACAGCTTCAATATAGATAAATTTCATTCTTTATGGCTATGTGGTATCCAATAAGACAAATGTACTTTGATTTACTTAACCATTCAATATTAACAGATATTAAGGTTATTTCCAATCTTCAGCTATTTTAAACCATGCTACTGTATGTCCTTGGAGGAGCATTTCCTTATTTTAGTTTCCAAGGCCGAGCATTTGAAACCATCTGTCAAATTACACACCCATAAATTGTGTACGAACAGAGTAGTTTCCCTTATCGCCATTGCTCGATCTTATTTATTTTCATTGTTGCCAATTGGAAAAACCAATAGTATCTCCTAATTTTTTAAATTTTCATTTCTTTGATTATTCATGATTTAGAATTTTTTGTATTTTTTGGTCACTTGTTCTTATTCTGTGAAATGCCTATTTGTATCATTTGCTTTCTCTCGCTTATGATTTGTCTATTTCTTAATGATTTGTAGGATTCTCTTTTTTTTTTTTTTTTTTTTTTTGGAGACAGAGTCTCATTCTGTCGCCCAGGCTAGAGTGCAGTGTCTCTATCTCGGCTCACTGCAACCGCCACCTCCTGGGTTCAAGCGATTCTCCTGCCTCAGCCTCCTGAGTAGCTGGGATTACAGGTGCCCGCTACCAGGCCTGGCTATTTTTTTTTTTTTTTTTTTTTTTTGTATTTTTAGTAGAGACGGGGTTTCACCATGTTGGCCAGGCTGGTCTCAAAATCCTGACCTCAGGTGATCCGCCCGCCTTCGCCTCCCAAAGTGTTGGGATTACAGGTGTGAGCCACGGTGCCTGGCCTGTAGGATTCTTTATATAGAACATCATTAATGTGTTATCTGCCCTTTAGCTCTGTTTCTGGAACTGCTGTTTGCCTGACTTTGGATCAGTGCTCACCCCTATAACTTTGCAACCTACTTCTGGTCTTCACTTTTCCTTGCCCTCAACTCAGTTTTCCCAACTCTCCCCTCTTGGACCTATTTGGGGCACTCCTTGTGAATTCCCAGTCTTGATCTTACCCTTGTATTTTTCTCACTGAGAACTGTGAAGAGGGAAAGAGTGGGATTACAGAAGGTAGAGATGAAAGTACCAGGAAGGTGGTGAAGGTAGAGATTTGTAATATCTATACCATTGCTCATGTGACTTCCTTTTTTTATGTGCTTCAAAGATGGCACTTTGTTGTGGTGTCCTCACATGGCAGAAGAGACGAACACTGTGCCCTCATATGATGGAATGGGCAAGAAAGCTTTCTCAAGCCTCTTTTATAAGGGCACTAAATCTAGTTTATGAGGGGAAACCCTCATGACTTAATCACTTCCCAAAAGCCCCATATCCTATTACTATCACATTGAGTATTAGGTTCCAACATATGAATATTGAGGGGACACCAACATTTAGACTGTAGCAGACTCCTTCCTGGAGGCACAGCCTAGAATCTGCATACAATCCCTTCCAATATTTTTGCAAGCACTTAATTCCTTAGATTATGTTCCATTTCATGTATTACCATTTACTAGTAAAGTCACCTCAATTATCTGCAAAGTAAGTCCTGATTAATTCATCCCAATTAATTCATAAAACATAGTAAGAATTTTGGATTTTATTTAGTGAAAGGATGGAAGCTTCTCTGAGGAAGCAATGCTTGAGCTGATTTCTAAAAGATATATATATGTTAATTAGTGAAATGAAAGGGGGAGAATATTCCTGGCAGAGGACTTAGTGTAGACACTGTTGTTTAGGAGGGAACTTGGAGAGAGAAAAAATGGCTGTAAGAAGCCTGTGTGGCTGGAGCATAGAGAGTGAAAGGGAGGGAGGCACCAAATGAGGATGGACAATAGGAAGAATGGGAAAGTAATAAGGGAGGAGGTAATAATTTGATCAGATTTGCATTTTGAAAATATTACTCTAGCTTTGGTGGAAAAGGAGATTGGATAGGGTCCAGAGATGATGAAGATACATCAGTGTGTTGGAGCCTCCCAAAAAATACATGAGAAGATTTTGGATTAGCAGCTCACTAGCAGGTGATGAAAGAAGTGGATGGTTGAGGGATTTTGATAAGACTTGGCGATGGGGCCAGGCACGTTGGCTCACACCTATAATCCCAGCACTTTGGGAGGCCGAGGCGGGGTATCACCTGAGGTCAGGAGTTCAAGACCAGCCTGGGCAAAATGGTGAAACCCCATCTCTACTAAAAACACAAAAATTAGCTGGGCACGGTGGCACGTGCCTGTAATCTCAGCTACTCAAGAGGCTGAGGCAGGAGAATCACTTGAGCCCAGGAGGCAGAGGTTGCAGTGAGCCAAGATTTTGCCATTGCACTCCAGCCTGGGTGACAGAGTGAGACTCCATCTCAAAAAAAAGAGACTTGTTGATGGACTGGAGATGGGGGTGAGAAAGAAGCAAGTGTTCAGGATAACTCCTCGGGGTCTAGTTTGCCAGTTGTATGGAGAGCAGTGACATTCACTGAGACAGAAAACCCTTGGAGAGCGCAGGGTTGCTTAGAAAGGAATTTGGGGCTTAAATAACTAATAATTCCGGGGGGTAATTTTGGGATTTACCTCAGGAATAACTGGCTCCAAGGGCTCAAAAAATTACAGTAGAATACACTATATCTGTCTGTCCCTAGGACAGGCTCTCTCCCCATGTGGCAGAGACTATTGCCACCAAATGTCCAAGACATGTTCTCTCTCGCCTTTTTTTTCTTTTCTGTAGGGTTGAGGTCTTACTATAGTGCCCAGGCTGATCTTGAACTCCTGACCTCAAGTGATCCTTCTGCCATGGCCTCCTAAAGTATTGGGATTACAGGTGTGAGCCACTGCACCCAACTAAGACATGTTCTAACAGCTTGGTAACCCTAGTGCACAGCAGAAAAGTTCAAGGTTTGCATTCTGATTGGCCTGGCTTGGATCCCATTCCCACCCCCAAACCAATCAGTGTAGCCAGAGAAAGATGGTGTACTTGACTGATCAGGCCTGGATTATGCGTTCAGCCCTTTAATGGTAGGAAGAGGAAGTTTGGGAAGGTCAGTCCTAGATGAATCTTATGGAAATTATTTTCCAAAGTAGAAAAGTAGATGGGGATGCTAGACAGGCCATAGCAACTGTTGGCAAGACCACTGATAATCTTCTACCACTCAATGTTAAGCTCCTTGAAGGCAGGAGCCATGTCTCACTTAATAGCTTCAATGCCAAAAATAGTACCTAATATTTAATAAGTGTTCAATAAATATTTGCTGAATGAATACATAAGGAATAAATAAATATCATAGGCAAAGTTTCAGAGGTCACAAAGTTGGAACAAGTAATGTAGAGAGTAGCAGTGGGAAATATGACTGAGGTATAGGTTAAGGCCGTATAGTAGGAATGCTTAAAAGGAATTTGTGGATTACTATGTAGACGGGAGGGAACCACTAAAGGGAGATAATAGGATCAGAGCTAAACATTAAGAAGACTAAACCAGTAGAAAGGTCTGGAATGATTTGGTGGTAGGACCCCAACAAATAGGAAGATCTTTCTAATAGAAGGCTATGGCAATTATTTGGTTAGAGCAGTAGCTCTCAACTGGGGATTAAGATTTTTTTCCTCAGGGGATATTTGGCAATGTCTGGGGATATATTTGATTTTCACAACTGAGGGGGGTGCAATTATCAGTGGGTAGAGGTCAAAGATGCTGTTAAACATCCTACAATGCATGGAACAGCTTCTCACAATAAAGAATGATCTTGTCCAAAATATCTATTGCACTCTACTTGGGAAAACCCTGGGTTAGAGGTAATTAGAGTAGATAACAGGAAGTGAAAGAATGGAGCAAACCTGCATGGCACCATGGAAGTAGAACACACAGAATTTTGAAAACATATAGGGCAGAGAGAAGGCAGGATTAAAAAGAAAATTCTAAGGGTTAGAGCTGATAACTGAGAAGATGATGGTGTCACGAACAGAAACAGAGAAATTAGAAGGAGAATCAAATCTTAAGGGGGGCCAGGTGTGATGGCTCATGCCTGTAATCCCAGAACATTGGGAGGCCAAGGCAGGCAGATCACTTGAGGTCAGGAGTTCAACACCAGCCTGGCCAACATGGCAAAACCATATCTCTACTAAATATACAAAAATTATCCTGGTGTGGTGGCACGTGCCCATTCTCCCAGCTACTCGGAAGGCAGAGGTTGCAGTAAGCTGAGACGGTGCCACTGCACTCCACCCTGGGTGACAGGGTGAGAGTCCATCTTAAAAAGAAAAAAATCTTAAGGGAGGATGACGAATTTGTTTTAAGATGGCAACTGGATACCCTAGCGCATATCCAGAGGCAGTTGAAAATGTACTTGCAAAGCCTAGCAAGAGCTTAACACCAGAGATACAGATTTTAGGAGACATTGGCATTGAGTTATTGGATAAGGAAAGGGGAGCATATGAGAGGCTGAGAAAGAGCAAAGAGGAGAAGAGGTCTGAGAACAGACTTGTGAAACACTGGGCAAGAAATGCAAAGATCTGTCAGTCAGTGTAAGGCAGTGATGTTTATAAAATCATATTGTTTTTCAGAATAATTATTTGCTTCAGTGATTAATTTTTCCCCACAAATTTTTCATACTAATTAGACTACCTGGAAGTGAGTCTTTCCTAACTGTTCCTAAAGTCTTGTTAAATCCATATCAAAGAGCCTCTTGTTCTCTTGTTTTTAAATCACGGTTTTATTAAATCCTCAAATCCTCTTATAAATCTCAAACATATTTTCAAGCTTGGCTCAATGGAACAGTGTTTTTAAAGCATTCTTTTCCTTTTTTTTCTGTGACCATCTTTAGTATTTAAGAATTGTTTCAAAATTATTTTTAAGGTCGACCCTCTGCAAAATTGGGAAGTAGGTTATTTGATTTCGGAGCATAACAAGCCTGAGGCTTTTTACCTCTCCATAAAGGAAGGGAGTGTGAGCATGAGAGTTTCTATCTCAGCTCTGCCACCAGTAAGCTATGTGACCTTTGGTAATTTTTTCTCTCTCTCTCTGTTTTTTACAGCTTTTAATTGAATAATACCACACCTACAAAAAAAATCACAAGCTTTGTAAGAGAATGACATAAACATTTAATGTGGTAGTTTCCCATCACTGTGTAATTCATTGCTTGTCTCTTCAGTGTAAATTCCAAGGCGCAATTCAGAAGCATGACAGATTTTCACAAACTTTCCAAAGTATTTTTTGTTTTGTTTTCTCTTTTCCTTTTTTAGGTCTCCCAGGCTCGAGTGCAGTGGTACAATCATAGCTCACTATAATCATGAACTTCTGGCCTCAAGAGACTCTCCTGCCTCAGCCTACCTAGCAGCTGGGACTACAGGCGTGCACCACCACACCTAGATAACTTTATTTTTTCACTTTTTTTTTTTGAGACGAGTCTTGCTCTGTCCCCCAGGCTGGAGTGCAGTGGCGCAATCTCGGCTCACTGCCAGTTCCGCCTCGTGGGTTCACACCATTCTCCTGCCTCAGCCTCCTCAGTAGCTGGAACTACAGGCGCCTGCCACCACGCCAGGCTAATTTTTTATATTTTTAGCAGAAACGGGGTTTCACTGTGTTAGCCAGGATGGTCTCGATCTCCTGACCTTGTGATCCGCCCTCCTTGGCCTCCCAGAGTGCTGGGATTACAGGTGTGAGCCATCACGCCTGGTCTTATTTTTTCACTTTTGTAGAGACAGGATCTTGCTATGTTGCTCAGACTTGTCTCAAACTCTTGAATTCCTGGTCTCAAGTGATCCTCCCACCTTGGCATCCCAAAGCGCTGGGATTACAGGTATAAACCACTGCGCCTGGCCTTCCAAATTTTTTATTTTGAAAAATGCCAAATCTATAAAAAGTTGAAAACAATAATACAACGAGTACTGATATACCATTCACCTAGACTCACCTATCATTAACTTTTATAGCATTTGCTTATCTATCTGCCTCTAACTATCTGTATTTTTTTGTTAAATCACTTGAAAGTAAGTTAAAGATATCATGAAACTTTACCCCTAAGCACCGAGTATATATCTCCTAAGAATTAGAACATTTTACTATATAACCACAATATTATTATCTCACACAAAAAAATTGTGCGTTAATAAAGTAGTATTATCTAATATGTATTCAAAAATTTTAAATTGTTCCCCAGATAAGTTTTATTTATTTATTTATTTTTATTTTTTGAGACAGAGTCTCACGCTGTTGCCCAGGCTGGAGTGCAGTGGTGTGATCTTTGCTCACTGCAACCTCAGCCTCCTGGGTTCAAGTGATTCTTCTGCCTCAGCCTCCTGAGTAGCTGGGATTATAGGATGCGTGCCACCACGTCCAGCTAATTTTTGTATTTTTAGTAGAGACAGGGTTTCTGCCATGTTGGCCAGGCTGGTCTTGACCTCCTGATCTCAAGTGATCTGCCTGCCTTGGCTTCCCAAAGTGCTGGAATTACAGATGTGAGCCACTGTGCCCTGCCATGAAGGCACCATCTTTGAAGCAGAGAGCAGCCCTTATTAGACACCAAATTTGCTGGCACCTTGATCTTGGACTTCCCAGCCTCTAGAACTGTGAGTAACAAATTTCTGTTGTTTATAAACTACCCAGTCTAAGGTATTTTATTATAGCATCAGAAATGGACTAAGACACTTGAGTGTGTTTGTTAATGTAATAGCTATGGTAGGCCAGACATGGTGGCTCATTCTTGTAATCTCAGCACTTAGGGAGACCAAGGGAGGAGGACTGCTTGAGCCCAGGAGTTCAATTCCAGCCTGGGCAACATAGCAAGACCCCGTCTCTACAAAAATAAAAATAAATCCCCACTTGGAGTTATCTGCAGTGCTGTTAAGGGACTGCAGATGCTAGAGGAGTTGCAGTCACCCTACATTCCCAGGCAGATGTTCTCTACTCTCTTTGCCTTCTTTGACCTCACTGCTGCAAACTTCCACTTGTATTAAACATATTTATTGAATATATGTTGAGGAGTGCTACAACATTTTACTTGAATATATGTTGATGAATGCTACATTTCACTGGGGCCTCAATTCACTCCTCTGCAAGATAACTTCAGTAATTTAGAAGCATTATCACTAGTTTTGTAATGTTTCTTTAGAAATGTTAAAGGCATCTATAGGTAGTCACTGAATTGTGAAGAGTATGAGATCAATATTTAGATGAAGCTGAGGTCAGCATGTGTCATTATGAAAGTAATCCTATTCATCATCATATATATATATATTTTTTTTTCGAGATGGAGTTTTGCTTTTGTTGCCCAGGATGGAGTGCAATGGTGCGGTCTCAGCTCACTGCGACCTCCTCCTCCAGGGTTCAAGTGATTCTCCTGCCTCAGCCTCCCAAGTAGCTGGGATTACAGGCACCCGCCACCATGCCCAGCTAATTTTTGTATTTTTAGTAGAGATGGGGTTTCACCGTGTTGGCCAGGCTGGTGGCAAACTCCTTACTTCAGGTCATTCACCCACCTCGGCTTCCCAAAGTGATGGGATTACAGGCGTGAGCCACCGCGCCCAGCCTTGTTATCATATTTTACAGACTCTGTCCATGTGAAAACTAAGCCATTATACCCAGTTACTCCAAGATAACAAAAGTCATTGGGTCTCTTTCAAACATGAAGGGGTCTACTTCAGATTTCCAGAAGTATGTGTGCCCAGGAGAAAAGTGACACAGGTTTGGTGAGTAGTCAAAGGGCTATAAAAGGTTTGATAAATCCCCACTTGGGGTTTTTCCTGGAACAAATGAACAAAAAGCAATATTTAAATATTTAAAAGGTCTTCCTGACTGCTGTGTTACAAGGAAACCTACTGAGGCCTAAACTGAAGTGAAAGCAGGAATCTTAAGAGGTAAAGTGAGTACCAAAGATGGCTTAGTCCTAAGGTTTCTGAAGAACTGTGGAGAACTTGAACTTCTACTCTGAAGGCTGCACAGCGTTTGGGGGACAGAAGATAATACCTAGGGCCTACCCAAGTAGAGAGTCTACTACAGGATCCCCATAAAGCTGAGAACTCCCTGCCCCAAATCCCAGAGAGAAATAGACTTACCACTTAGAAGTGAACAGCAGGCTGGGCGCAGTGGCTCATGCCTGTAATTCCAGCACTTTGGGAGGCCGAGGTGGGTGGATCACCTGAGGTCAGGAGTTCAAGACCAGCCTGACCAACATAGTGAAACCCTGTCTCTACTAAAATACAAAAATTAGCCAGACATGGTGGCGGGTGCCTGTAATCTCAGCTACTTGGGAGGCTGAGGCAGGATAATCGCTTGAACCCAGGAGGCAGAGGTCACAGTGAACTGAGATCATGCCATTGCACTCCAGTCTGGGCAGCAAGAGCAAAACTCCGTCTCAGAAAAAAAAAAAAAAAAAAGTGGTGAACAGCAAACAATTTGCTTATCTTGAACTTGACTCTGGGTAAGGAGAACAAGATAGAAAAATTCCCCCCTGGGCATTTGCTACCACAGACTGGCCTCCAAGTGGATTTTTAGTCCAATAGCATGCTCCCTATGAGGTTTGAAAACCTAAAATGATCATTTATATGGTTTGGCTCTGTGTCCCTACCCAAATCTCATCTCAAATTATAATCCCTATGTGTCAGGGGAGGCAGCTGGTGGGAAGTAATTGGATCATGGTGGCAGATTTCCCCCATGCTGTTCTTATGATAGTAAGTTCTCATGAGATCTGATGGTTTAAAAGTGTGGCACTCCCCACCCCTGCCCCCACCACCTCCTGCCACCATGTAAGATGTGCCTTGCTTCCCCTCCTGCCATGACTATAAGTTTCCTGAGGCCTCCCCAGCCACGTGGAACTGCAAGTCAACTAAACCTCTTTTTTTATAAATTACCCAGTCTCAGGTCTGCCATATTCTCAGGTCTGAGACTGGGTAATTTATAAAGAAAAGAGGTTTAATTGACTCACAGCTGTATAGCAATGTGAAAACAGACTAATAGAGTCATATAACTTGAAGTGGTCCCAGGCTGGTAGTTCCTTCAGTAAATAGGCAAGAGGATTGCAATTTCAACCTGGACCTCAAAGAAATCCTGCCAATAAAATGCTAAGGCTGGCCAGTCGCAGTGGCTCATGCCTGTAATCCCAGCACTTTGCGAGGCCAAGGCGGGCGGATCACGAGGTCAGGAGATTGAGACCATCCTGGCTAACATGGTGAAACCCCGTCTCTAATAAAAATACAAAAAAAATTAACCAGGGCGTGGTGGCGGGCACCTGTAGTCCCAGCTACTCGGGAGGCTGAGGCAGGAGAATGGCGTGAGCCCAGGAGATAGAGCTTGCAGTGAGCCGAGATTGCGCCACTGCACTCCAGTGTGGGTGACAGAGCGAGACTGTCTCAAAAAAAAAAAAAAAAAAAAAAGCTACAGCCAGTGATTCAGCTCACAGTGAAAGATCTAATGACACAAGGAAATAAGGCACTCAAAGCCAAGAAATAGCCAAAACTAAAGAGCAAAATCGGCTGGGCTAGGTGGCTCATGCCTGTAATCCCAGCACTTTGGGAGGCCAAGGCAGGTGGATCACCTGAGGTCTGGGGTTCGAGACCAGCCTGGCCAACATGGTGAAACCCCATCTCTACTAAAAGTACAAAAATTAGCCGGGCGTAGTGGCAGGTGCCTGTAATCCCAGCTACTTGGGAGACTGAGGCAGGAGAATCTCTTGAACCTGGGGGGCGGAGATTGCAGTGAGCCATTGCACTCCAGGCTGGGCAACAAGAGAGCGAAACTCCGTCTCAAAAAAACAAAAAAAAACAAAAAAACAAAAAACAAAACAAACAAACAAAAAAACACTAAACAGCAAAATCAAATCTGCAAAGACTTCAGATGTTGAAATTGTCAGATCCGACATCAAATTACTGTTTTGTATATTTAAAGAAATAAAAGGGTGTTTCAAAATATGAGCAAGGAACAAAAGACTATAAAAATAGTTAAGCCAATATGATAAAGAGCCAAAGAGAATTTCTAGAGATGAAAATTTTAATCATTGAAATTGAAAACTCAATAGATGGATTAAGCCTCAGAATAGAAACAGCTGAGAAGAGAATTTGTAGAAGAGTCCAGTCCAGGGTTATAGTCACATAACTCCAGTTTTGTCCAGGGCAGTTTCAAAATTCCAAATGTGTTCAAAGCTAAATCTTCTCTGATTCTCCAGCTCAGGGCTGCCTCGAGCATCAGAGCCAGAGGTAGGAGAGGCAGCCTTGTCAGCCACTCCTCTCCTCCCATACCACCTCCTGAACTTGCTAACTGCTGTTTCTGACCTCTCCACCCTGTACCAGTGGGGAAAGGGGATTAGGGGAAAAGGCAAACAGTCTTTTATACCTAGTGCAGTGTCCTCTGGCATCAGTGCCCTCTGGGAATGGAAAATGCCCAAAGCTGACTCTCTCTCCCAGGTCACCCCTCTCTCCCCACCTACCCTGACTGCAGTTCCCTGATGCAGACAACACTTCTCTGGCTGTCAGCTTTTGATGACTTCCTCAATTTGGGCTTCTGGTGGTTCCTTCACTCCTTGAGGAGCGAGGAGGCAAGATTCCTCTTCAGTTCATCCCAGGTGCAATGGTTTGAATGTCTCTTCCAACATTCATGTTGAAATGTAATTGCCATTAATCCAGATTAGGTCATGGACTAATGCCATTATCACAGGAGTAGATTAGTTATTATAGGCTTGCAGGCTCCCTTTTCTCTCTGTCTCTTGCACTCTCTTGCTCTTCCACCTTCTGACAAGCGATAATGCAGCAAGAAGACCTTGACCAGATGCAGCCCCTCAGTCTTGGACTTCCCAGCCTCTAGAACCATGAGCCAAATAAATCTCCTTCCCTGATACATTACCCAGTCTGTGGTATTCTGTTATAGCTGTGGAAAACAGACTACAAAAATTGGTACCAAGAAGTGGAGCTGTTGCTATAACAAATGCTTGAAAATTTGGAAGTGTCTTTGGAACTGGATGATGAGTAGAGGCTTGAAGAATTTGGAGGAACAGACTAGAAAAAGCCTGGATTGCTGTGAATGGAGCATAAAGGGAGATTCTGATGAGGACTCAGGAGAAGAGCTGTAGGGAAAACTCTTTGAGATTAATCGATGGCTGTGATCAGAACGTTGGTAGAAATATGAATGGTAAAGCCCATTTTGATGAGGTCTCAGGCGGAAATGAGGAAGAAGGTGATGGAAACTGAAGTAAAGGCCATTCTTGTTATGCAGTTACAAAAATTTGGCAAAATTGTGTTAGTGTCCAAGAACTTTATGGAACGCAGATCTTAAGAGCAATGAACTAGGATATCTGGCAGGAAAAAATATCTGAACAGCAAAGCATCTGGGCTGCTATGTGTCTACTTTTAGTCACATACAGTGAGATGCAAGAGGAAAGACATTAACTTAAATTTATAATTTTTTTTTGGAGATGGAGTCTCTCTGTCATGCAGGCTGGAGTGCAGCTGCACAATCTCAGCTTACTGCAACCTCTGCCTCCCAGGTTCAGGTGATTCTCCTGCCTCAGCCTCCCAAGCAGCTGGGATTAAAGGCGCATGCCACCAAGTCCAGCTAATTTTTGTATTTTTAGTAGAGATGGGGTTTCGTCAGGTTGGCCAGGCTGGTCTCAAACTCCTGACCTCAAGTGATCCGTTCGCCTCGGCCTCCCAAAGTGCTGGAATTACAGGCGTGAGCCACTGCATGCAGCCAGGAATTTATATTTAAAAGCGAAGCAGAATAGAAAAATTTGGAAAATTTGTAGGCTGGTCATGTAGAGAGTGAAAAGGCATTTTTTAGGAGAGCAAACCAATGCTGTGGCCAAGCAACCATTTGCTAAAGAGCTTACTGTAGATAGAAGGGAGCCAGGTGCTAGTTACCAAAACAGTGGGAAAAATACCCTGAAGGCATCTCAGAGAGTTACAAGGCTGCCCCTTACAGCACAGGCCCAGAGCTGTAGGAGGTTTCAGGGGATAGGCCTGGGACACCTTCCGCAAGCTCCTTCCCACGGCTGCCACAGGTCTCTGATCCCAATAGCCTTCCTCAGCTGCCCCAGCTACGGCTCAAGTGGGCCCAGGTGTGGCTCCACCCACTGCTTCAGAGTCTATAACTGGTAAGCCTTGACAGCATCCACATGCTGCTCATTCAACAGATGCATAGAATGCAAGAGTTATAAGGGCATAGCTTCCTCCACCTAGATTCCAAAGGATGTCATGGACAGTCTGTGGGTCCAGGCAGAGACTTGTCATAGGGCTGAGCCACCGCAGAGTCCCCACTAGAGTAATGCCTAGTGGAGCTGTGGGAGCAGGACCACCAATGAGGCCCCAGAACTGTAGAGCTACAAATGTACAATGCCAGCCTGAGAGAGTCACGAGCACAAGACTTCAACCTGTGAGACCTGCTGAGTGGACTGAGCCCACGAAAGCCACAGGGGTGGGGCTGCCTGAGGTCTTGAGGGCCAACCCACACATCAGTGTGTCCAGAATATGGGACATGAAGTCAAAGGAGATTATTCTTTGAGACTTAATGTTGTTTTTTTCTGATGGGTTTTGTGCTTGCTTAGGACCAGTTAACCCTCCTTTTTTGTCTATTTCTTCCCTCTAGAATGGGAATGTGTATTTATGTGTGTCGCACCATTGTATTTTGGAAAAAGATAATGTTGTGATTTCCCAGGCTCACAGCTGGAGGGAATTTGCCTCAGAATGAATTGTGCCTTGAGTCTCATTCATATCTAATTTATTTCATTTTATTTATTTATTTATTGAGACAGGGTTTCACTCTTGTCACCCAGGTTGCAGTGCAATGGTGCCATCTCAGCTCATTGCAACCTCTACCTCCCGTGCTCAAGCAATTGTCCTGCCTCAGCTCCTGCATACCTGGGACTACAGGTGCACGCCACCACACCCAGCTAATTTTTGTATTTTTCGTAGAGACAGGGTTTCACCATGTTGCCCAGGTTGGTCTCACACTCCTGAGCTCAAGTGATGCACTTGCCTCAGCCTCCCAAAGTGCTGGGATTACAGGTGTAAGCCACCACACCTGGCTTTCATTCACATCTAATTTAGATGAGACTCTTTGGAATTTTGAGTTGATGCTGAAATTAGTTAAGACTTTTGGGACTTTGGTGATAGAATGAAAGTGTTTTGTTTATAAGAAGGACACGAAGTTTGAGGGGCCGGGGGAGTGCTATGGTTTACATGTCTCCTCCAAAACTCATGTTGAAACATTTTCTTCCAATTACCCGGTTTCGGGTACTCATGTTGAAATTTAATTGCCAGTGTAACAGTGTTGAAAGGTGGGAACTTCAACAGGCGTTAGTCCTCATGAGTTGATTAATGCAGATGACAGTAGTGGGCTCGTTATCACAGGAGTTTGGCTCCCTTTCTGTGTCTCATGAACTCTCTTGCCCTTTCACCTTCTGCCAGGGGATAAAATGGCAAGACCCTCCCCAGATGTGGCCTCTCCACCTCAGACTTCCCAGCCTCCAGAACCGTGAGCCAAATAAATCTTTTTTCTTTATAAATCACTCAATGTGGTATTATATTATAGCAACAGACAACAAACTGAGGCTGGGTGTGGTGGCTCACGCCTGTAATCCCAGTACTTCAGGAGGCCGAAGCAGGCGAATCACTTGAGATAAGTAGTTTGAGACCAGCCTGGCCAACATGGTGAAACCCCATCTCTACTGAAAATACAAAAAGTAGCCAGGCATGGTGGCACATGCCTGTAATCCCAGCTACTCGGGAGGCTGAGACAGGAGAATCGCTTGATCTGGGAGGTGGAGCTTGCAGTCAGCAGAGGTTGGACCACTGTACTCCAGCCTGGGCGAAGAGTAAGACTGTCTCAAAAACAACAACAACAACAACAACAAAACAGAGACATCCAGCACTTTTTGTGGATTCCACTTTGTTCCCTGGGAATATTTTCCTTTACCCACTATAAATGAAAGTCCACCAGCCTGGCCAACATGGTGAAACCCTGTCTCTACTAAAAATACAAAAATTAGTTGGGCGTGGTGGCAGGTGCCTGTAGTCTCCATTACTCAGGAGGCTAAGGCGGAAGAATTGCTTGAACCTTGGAGGCAGAGGTTGTAGTCAGCTGAGATCATACCACTGCACTACAGGCTGGGTGACAGTGAGACTCTGTCTCAAAAAACAAAAAAAGAAAAGAAAGTCCAGTTTACACCCAATGTGACCTTGCGAACAGGTGAACCTTTGGCCATTTTTTCTACCTTCATACTTGGCAAGGATCAGACCCAAGTCTTTCTTCCTGAAACTCCAGGGGACAAATTCTGGGAGGTCTCCTTGAGGCACCTTTCCTTTGGCGTGAGGTGAGGAGAGGAGGCAACTTTCTCCCTGCCCGCATGTGAAAGTCAGGGGAGGAGAAAGCACTTTCTAAAGAAATCCTCACTCTCGCTCTTTCTACCTCAACCTCCTCATACTTTGAAGGTCAATGATGGGTTCATGAAAGCCAGAAGTGTGTTTATGATCTTAACAGGTCCAGAGTGACTGTGGGAGTACTAGTCCCCAATGGATTGGTCTCAGCTTTTGGGGCCTGACTAAAACAGAGAGAGAAATGCCATTTGAGCATATGGTTCCATTGGATTTTATCCCAAGTAATCAAAATCATTATGTTTTTAAAAGAAGTAGAAAAATGCAAATAAGATGTCTCCATTTCTTTGAAGTCAAAAATTCAAAGCTAAAAATGCAAACCACAGAGGAAGAGAAGATATTTACAATGCATATTACAAAGAGCTTATGTTCAGAATACATAAAGAATTCCTATAAACCAGTAGAAAAATGGGCAAAATCTTGAATAGGCTCTTCACAAAAGAGGATAGTCAAATGACCAATGAACATAAAAATGTACTCAAACTCATTAGAAATCAGGGAAAAGCCGGGCGCGGTGGCTCATGCCTGTAATCCTAACATTTTGGGAGGCCCAGGCGGGTGGATCACTAGGTCAGGAGATCGAGACTATCCTGGCTAACATGGTGAAACCCCATCTGTACTAAAAATACAAAAAATTAGCCAGGCATGGTGGCGGGCGCCTGTAATCCCAGTTACTCAGGAGGCTGAGGCAGGAGAATGGCATGAACCCGGGAGGCGGAGCTGGCAGTGAGCCGAGATTGCGCCACTGCACTCCAGCCTGGGCGACAGAGCAAGACTCCATCTCAAAATAAATAAATAAATAAATAAATAAATAAATAAATAAATAAATAAATAAATATAAATAAAATAAAATAAAATAAAATAAAATAAACACTGAAGCAGCCGGGCGCGGTGGCTCACGCCTGTAATCCCAGCACTTTGGGAGGCCGAGGCAGGCACATCATGAGGTTAGCAGATCGAGACCATCCTGGCTAACATGCTGAAACCCCGTCTCTACTAAAAATACAAAAATTAGCTGGGCGTGGTGGTGGGCGCCTGTAGTCCCAGCTACTCGGGAGGCTGAGACAGGAGAATGGCGTGAACCTGGGAGGTGGAGCTTGCAGTGAGCCGAGTTCACGGCATTGCACTCCAGCCTAGGCGACAGAGCGAGACTCCGTCTCAAAAAAAAAAAAAAAAAAGAGAAATCAGGGAAAAGCAAGTTTAAATTATACTGAGATATACCATTACACACTCACTAGGATGGCTAAAGTTAAAAGCAGAAAACACCAAGTGTTGATGAGAATATGGAGCAACTGAAATTTTTCTATATCAGAGGAGTGGAAGCATAAATTGATCTAACCACGTTGGAAAACTGCCAGGAGTAGCTATTAAGTCTGAACTTTTGACTTAGCAATTTCATTCCTAGGTACTTACTTAATAGGGCATATATGTGGTGTACTAAAAGATATATTCATGAATGACCATAGCAGTATCATTCATTATAGCCCCAAACTGGAAACAGTTCAAGTATTTATAGATAATAGAATGGATGCATACATCATACTGTATTCATAAAATGGAATACAATGTAGGAATAGAAATTAATGTACTGTTAACCACTTAAATGCAAGCAAATCTCACATGAATAAAAGAAGTTGAACACAAAAGTATCCATAATGCATGATTCCATTTATTTATTTATATATATATTTATTTATTTTTTAATGAATGCTTCATAAATTTGCATGTCATTCTTGCACAGGGGCCATGCTACTCTTCTCTGTATGCATGATTCCATTTATATAAAGTTTGTAAACAGGCAAATCTATGATATTAAAAATCAAGAAGGTGATTTCCTTTGGGGAAGAAGGAGAGAATAGCTATTGGGAGGGGGCAGAAGGGGAGTTCTGGGGTGCCAGTCATGACCAATTTCATGCCTTGTTGGTGGTTACATGGTGTGTACACTTTGTGATAATTCATTGAGCTTTATACACTTATGATTTGTGCACTTTTTGGTATCCATTTTATACTTCAATAGAAAAAAATAGTTTCTAAAGGGAAAACAAAAACCAGAACCATCTTAAAACCCCTGCTATAAGAAGACAAAGATGAAATATGAGTACAGAAACAACACTGGTTTTGAGTCGGTGTTGTATCCTTGTTAGATTAATGACATTAAACTTGATCAGTGTCACTGATCACTTGATCATACTTGATGTCGCTGAGCCTCAGTTTCTTCATTTATGAAATAGGAATGATATCACAATACTTTCTTAGAGGACTATTGTGAAGGTCAAATGAGAGAATGTGTACAAATGTGCTTTGAAAACTAAAATATTTGTTTATGAGTAGTCATGCCAAAAAAATCTAAAACAAACATCACATATAATAATACATATATTAAATGACAAAAAATTCAAGGCCATTTTTCCTTCACAATTTGTTCTCTCAAGAAATCATCTATCCCAAGCACAGCTGCTTTTTTTTTTGTTTTGAGACAGGATCTCTCTGTGTCACCTAGGCTGGAGTGTGGTGGCACTATCAGAGCTTACTGCAACTTCCACCTCCCGAGCTCAAGTGATCCTCCCACCTTAGCCTTCCGAGTAGCTGGGACTGTAAATGTGCACCACCACATCTGGCTAATTTTTTATTTTTTTAGAGGTAGGATCTCCCAGTCTTGCCTAGGCTGGTCTCGAACTTCTGGGCTCAAGCTATCCTCTCGCATTGGCTTTCCAAAGGGCCGGGATTACAGGCATGAGCCACCACACTCAGCCCTCACAGCTGCATTTTTAAAAAGAAAAGAAATAATCTAACATCCAATTAAGAATCAGGTAACAAAGGCCTCCCATACTATTTAATCCTCATGAGTCACCAACAGATGTACTGTATAGCCATGCAGATATGTGAGTCTACAGATAAATTTAGAAACTTTTCATGGCCATGAAATAGTGGCATCTTGATACAACTGACTTGTCTCAGTGGACAAGTGTAGGAAGCCTTTTTCTTACTTTTAATCTGGATGTCTCAGTTACAACTATTTTGGTTGCAAATAACGGAAATCAACTCAAGCTAATTTAAGCAAAGAAAGAATGTGGAGATATCTCACAAAACTCAAGGGCTTCTGGAATCAGAAACTCTCAGCCTTGGAGAATCCAGGCAGAGCTGGCTCCTTTCTCTCAGCCCTACCCCTTTAAGTCTCTCTGCTTCATTCTTCTCTCACAACTAACTGGCTCTCTCTCCTTCCCTGGGCACAGAATGGGGAAAGGTGGCCTGAAAGCTCTCTGAGTTGACAGCATTTCCTCTCAAAAGACAAGCTTAGCCTGATGGACATTTTCTTGGTCTCAAATCAAATTTCCCAGGGGAAAAAAAAAATAGTTTGGTCTGACTTAGGAAGAGTGACCACTGTGGTCTGGTCAAATGACCAGACCTCCAGTGTCATTTAGTACCAATGTGTCTGTAGGAGACCCATCCCACTGGGCAGTGGGTAAAATTTTCAGAGGAAGGGGGTTATTATCTGGGAATACACCCACAAAAGTTTTTTCTCCAGACTTTAACTGTAGTAGTTGCATCGATCAAGTTGCCTGGCTTCTGTGTCTTTTCTGTACTTTGAGGGTTGTTTCCACAACCCTTAAAGCCTATCAGATGGCAAAGGCCTTGCTATCCAGGTGATGGCTGATTGGGCCAGGGATTAATATGTAACCCATTATAGGCCAATTATATTTTTTCTGCCAGAAATTTGGAAATGGGATGTAAAGGCTGGGTCAGTTACCCATGGGTCTTGGGTAAGGTAGAAAGTGGATGCTGGAGTAGCCATGCTGATACACATACAGAGGAGAGAAACCAGCCTCCGTCTATGCGTGAGGCAGAAGCAGCTGGACAGAGAAATGGAGAGAAGAGAGACTATGTCAGCTTTTAGAAAAAGAGACTGGTTTCTGACCTCCCAGTTCCCAGTTGCAGAGACATGCAGTCTTAATTACCAACCTGTAGTTGGGTTCTATGAAATCCTCCTGTCTGTTTATTACAGATGCCTATGTAGCTAAACCAACTTAATTAGATTTATGCTCACTGTAACCAGAGGATCTGAATTAATTTGAAAACATCAATGCCTAGTGAGGGTCCTTTTTTTTTTTTAGATGGAGCCTCGCTCTGTCGCCCAGGCTGGTGTACAGTGGTGCAATCTCGGCTCACTGCAACCTCCACCTCCCTGGTTCAAGCAATTCCCCTGCCTCAGCCTCCCTGGGATTACAGGTGCACGTCACCATGCCTGGCTAATTTTTTTGTATTTTTAGCAGAGACGGGGTTTCACCATGTTGGCCAGACTGGTCTCGAACTCCTGACCTCAGGCAATCCACCCGCCCGCCTTAGCCTCCCAAAGTGCTGGGATTACAGGCATGAGCCACCGTATCTGGCCTAGTGAGAGTCCTTTCTACCCCACACAGAAATGAAGTCATTTGCTTTGAGCTCTAGCCATAGTTGTACAAAAGCAATTGCTCTTTCTGGATTTTCCCCATAAATAATCAACAAGATATGAATGGGTGCCTACCATGTTTAGCATAAAAAGCCATAACAGAAGTATGATACATGGTCCTAGCCTCTGGGACTACAGTCTAGTTGAGAAGAGACTACATAACATACCTAATACAATTAGAGACTAGCACAAAACAGTATATAATTAAGTATAAAATTGCACAGCACAAAAACATTACTACTGTAGCTCAGGAAAGAGAGAGGAGATCCTGTAATCTGTTGTGATCAGCAGAGATGATAGAGGAGGGAGAGAGGGGGCTATAGTGAGCAAACTAGCAGGATTGCAGAAGGTGGTTCAGGTTGTTAATTGGTAGGAAATTTGCTTAAAAATATTTCTCTTATGTCTGATTACTAGCTTCCAGTTGGTGTTGAGTTCTGTTGAAGTGTTGGGAAATTATAAGACACATTGCTTTAATTTAAGTTGTTCTTTTCTATAATCTTATAGCATTTTCTATCCAATATACTTTCACTCACTTCAGCTTGAGATACAGAGATTAGGTTTCCTGGGGCCATTCAGCTGTTTGTCCCCATTGAGAAAGTATTTTGCAAAAAATCTAGCAATCATGTCTAATACTTTATGTTGGTTATTCTATATTGTCCTGAATGATGGTGATTAATAGCAAACAAACCATAATACAGTTGCCCAAATATGAACAAATGTGCATATTCATGTAGCAACTGAAATTCACAAAAGTGCTTAACTTTATAATATAATCACCCCACAGTAAGTAAATAAAAGTAACACTGCAAAGTTATCGTAAAAGAAAATTGTTTCAGTGGTTGTATGTAATCTTCTAAAGCACACAAAGAAACATGTCCAGGAGAAAGTAACAAAAATATAAATACATGCTTTTATGACTTATGAAATTATTATAATTATAAAATTGACCTATAAAATTATGAACAATGACCTTTATTTGGTGTATATCCTTGCTATAAATTGTATGATTTGGTATTACAAAATCACCAAAATAGTTGTCCTTCGTGGATAGACATAACTATGATAGAGTTTGAAAATTATACTCAATTTATTGTTTTTTTTTTTTCGAGACAGACTCTTGCTCTGTCGCCCAGGCTGGAGTGCAGTGGCATGATATTGGCTCACTGCAACCTCCGCCTCCCAGGTTCAAGCGATTCTCATGCCTCAGCCTCACAAGTAGCTGGGATTACAGGTGTGCACCACCATGCCCAGCTAATTTTTTGTAGTTTTAGTGGAGACAGGGTTTCACCATGTTGGCTAGGCCGGTCTCGGCCTCCTGACCTCAGGCAATCTGCCCACCTCAGCCTCCCTCCCAAAGTACTGGGATTACAGGCATGAGCCACTGTGCCCATCCCAATTTATTGATAGACAATTGAGTTCCAAAATAATACAATGAAAAACAAGCTTTGGCAGATGGCTTTCTCCCTCTCTATAGCTATTTACTGGGTCAAATTTAACCTTAAGATATAGTGATAAATATAAATCTACGTAGAGAATTTTCTCACCTAGTCTATCCATTTTGCATCGTTTTCTAAATAGTACTCTGAAAATAATCATTTTTTAATTTTTATTTTAAGTTTGGGATACGTGTGAAGGTTTGTTACATAGCTAAACATGTCAAGGGGGTTTGTTGTACATATTATTATATCACCCAAGTATTAAGCCCAGTACTCAATAGTTATCTTTTCTGAAGAATTTTTTTTTTTTTTTTTGTCTTTTTTTAGGCAGAGTCTCACTCTTGTTGCCCAGGCTGGAGTGCAATGGCATGATCTCGGCTCACCGCAACCTCCGCCTCCCACGTTCAAGTGATTCTCCTGCCTCAGCCTCCCGAGTAGCTGGGATTACAGGTGTGCGCCACCATGCCTGGCTAATTTTGTATTTTTAGTAGAGACGGGGTTTCGCCACGTTGGCCAGGCTGGTTTCAAACCCCTGAACTCAGGTAATCCGCCTGCCTTGGCCTCCCAAAGTGCTGGGATTATAGACATGGCCACCACGCCCGGCCAGAATTTTTCTTTTTTTTTTGAGTCAGGATTACGCTTTGTGATTTAGACTAGAGTGCAGTGGTGCAATCATAGCTCACTGTAACCTCAAACTCCCAGACTCAAGCAATCCTCCTGCCTCAGCCCCCAGAGTGGTTGTGACCACAGGTGTGCATCATCATACTTGGCTAATTTTTAAGTTTTCTGTAGAGACTGGGTCTCGTTGTGTGGCCCAGGCTGGTCTCAAACTCCTGGGCTCAAGTGATCCCCCATCCTTGGCCTCCCAAAGGACTAGGATTACAGGCATGAGCCACTATGCCCAGCCTGAAAAGAATTATTCTTTTTTTCTTTTTTTGAGACGGAGTTTCACTCTTGTCGCCCAGGCTGGGGTGCAATGGCACGATCTCAGCTCACTGCAACCTCAGCCTTCCAGATTCAAGCGATTCTCCTGCCTCAGCCTCCCCAGTAGCGGGGATTACAGGCACCCGCTACCATGCCTGGCTAATTTTTGTATTTTTTAGTAAAGATGGGGTTTCACCATGTTGGCCAGGCTAGTCTTGAACTCCTGACTTCAGGTGATCCACCCACCTTGGCTTCCCAAAGTGCTGGGATTATAGGCATGAGCCACCGCACCTGGCCAAGAATTATTCTTTTAATCTTTAATGTCTTATTTTATCTTTCCACTTCAAAGATAATGAGGGCAATTTCAAGGCATTAGCCGGACAATTTTTTTTTTTTTTTTTGAGACGGAGTCTCACTCTGTCACCAGGCTGGAGTGCAGTGGCATGATCTCGGCTCACTGCAACCTCCGCCTCCCGGGTTCAAGCAATTCTCCTGCCTCAGCCTCCTGAGTAGATGGGACTATAGGCGTGTGTCACCATGCCCAGACAATTTTTGTATTTTTAGTAGGAGTGGGGTTTCACCATGTTGGCCAGGGTGGTCTTCATCTGTTGACCTTGTGATCCGCCCACATTGGCCTCCCAAAGTGTTGGGATTATAAGCGTGAGCCACTGTGCCCACCCTAGCTGGACTACTTTATTTTGGTTTTGCCACTAACAGTAATTTTTTTAGTGGAGAGAATGAAAAAGTTGGAAGGAAACATTGATAAAACTGGCTAGATATGGGGAATTATATAGGAGGCTGAATGGGGAAACTGTTATGTCTTGACAGAGGTAATAAACTAGAGTGAGCTTTGGGAAGAGAAATTTTGGTTTAGGGTGTATGTATCAATCAGGATGCTTTTGGTTGCAAGTAACAGAAAATTCAACCAAAAATGCTGGGCACAGTGGCTCACACCTGTAATCCCAGCACTTTGGGAGGCTGAGGTAGGCTGATCACTTGAGGTCAAGAGTTCAAGACCAGCCTGGCCAACATGGTGAACCCCATCTCTACTGAAAATACAAAAATTAGCTAAGCATGGTCCCAGCTACTTGGGAGGCTGAGATAGAAGAATTGCTTGAACCCGGGAGACAGAGGTTGCAGTGAGTGGAGATCGCACCACTGCATTCCAGCCTGGGCGACAGAGGGAGACCCTGTTTAAAAAAAAAAAAAAGAAAACAAAATTCAACCAAAAGAGGCACATAAAATAAGGAAAATTACTATCACGCTTAATGAGAAATTCAAGAGTAGAGTGGTTCCAAGGTTGTTTAATTCAATAGCTTGACAGTATCATCAATGGTGAAGGTCCTTTCCACATTTTCACTCTTTCATGCATAGTGACTTGCTCTTTGTCCTCTAGTTTGGTCCCTTCATGGTCACAAATGGCTGTCATAGCTGCAAGCATCACATCCTTACAAAATAATAATATAGCTAAAATTTGCACAGTAGTTTTGATAAGCAAAAGACTGCTCTAAGTACTTTACATATATTAATTCTTTTGGTCCTCACAGCAACCCTATGAGTTGGTTCTATTATCCTGTTTTACAGATGAGGAAACCAAGGTACAGGGATATTAAATAATTTGCCCAGAGTCACTAGGTAGTGAGTGGCATCACTGAGATATGCTGCAGGAATCTGGGTCCAAGAAAGGAAGAGTGGGTATCTTTTCTCATAGTCCTCATTCTTATGAGGATTATGAGGAACTATTCTTACGAGGATTATGAGGAACTATTCAGGATCCTCCACCTCCAGCATATTCCCTATCAAGTGTCATTAGCCTGACTTGCCTCGCATGCACATTCCTAAACCAATCACCCGAAAGGGGGAATGATATTATCATAGATAGCTTAGACTGAGTAAGATTAATCTCTGGGGCTGGAGAGCAGCTCAGTCTCCCCCAGAGCATACCTCAATTAAGTGAGGCTCTATAGCGGGATACAAGATCGATTTAGGGGGGCTGCCAAGAAGGCAACCAATAGGAGAGAAGTGCCATGGGATGTTGAAATGGACAAATCCAGTAGGTAGCTGAGGACACATCAAGAGGATGGAGCTGGTGCTCCACACTTGGAGCTCAGATGCATTGAGGCAGTAGTTGAAGTCATGAGAATGGGACACATTTCCAAGGAAGATATCAAAATCAGCAGACTAAAAACTGAACCTTAAAAAAATTGGTGGGAGGGATGTTTGAAGCAATAAAACAAAATGTTCAGAATTGTTTAAGCTATGTGATAGGTACACAGGGTATATTATATAATACTACTCTCTAGTTTTGTGTGTGTCTGAAATTTGGAATAAAATGGTTTGAAAAAAACAAATTCAATCCCAGAGGCTTTGCAAACTCTCTCTCAATATGAAGGAGCCCCCTGTCCTTGGTCCCCAACCTCTCGGTAGACTTGTAATTCAACCCTTGTAGAAGGTTTATATCTACCCCCATATTTTGGGACAAGTTCTGGTCCCAGGCGGGGAGACAATAAGAAGCCCTAGTGTGCCCTCTTACTGGCTCATTTTCCAGCCGTTTTTGCTGCTGGTTGGTTCTGGTAACTCAGCTGGGAGTCTCTTGCATCCTCTCCTGTAACCATTTCTATCTGGCCTCAGAGCCTGAACTTTTCAACCCTGATCTCCAATCTTCCTATGCCCAGGTCCTGATAAGTTACCTGCCTCCAGACCAGTTACCTAATTGCGAGGATCTCTGCTTACTTGCCAGAATTAGGCCTCTATGTAAAGGACATTAAATATGGGCCTTAATACAAAACCTTTTTCTTTTTTTTTTTTTTTTTGAGGCGGAGTTTCGCTCTTGTTGCCCAGGCTGGAGTGCAATGGCGCAATCTCGGCTCACTGCATCCTCTGCCTCCCAGGTTCAAGCGATTCTCCTACCTCAGCCTCCTGAGTAGCTGGGGTTATAGGCACCTGCCACCACGCCCAGCTAATTTTTTTGTATTTTTAGTAGAGATGGGGTTTCACTATGTTGGCCAGGCTGGTCTCAAACTCCTCACCTCAGGTGATCCACCCGCCTCAGCCTCCCAAAGTGCTGGGATTACAGGCGTGAGCCACCCGGCCCAATATGAAACCTTTTAAACTAATTGCACTGAAGTCCTGCATGACTCTTTCACCAAGAATTTTCGATTTGCAGGTTTCCTACAACTATATCCCTGCATACTTGTCGAATAATAGACTTGTGATTTTACTCCTATGTTCATCTCCTTGATGTCTGCTCCATGGTGAGTCCGCTGAGATTCCTTTTTTGTTTTTTTGAGATGGAGTCTCGCTCTGTCGTCCAGGCTGGAATGCAGTGGCTCAATCTCGGCTCACTGCAAGCTCCGCCTCCTGGGTTCACGCCATTCTCCTGCCTCAGCCTCCTGAGTAGCTGGAACTGCAGGCGCCCACCACCACAACCAGGTAATTTTTTGTGTTTTTAGTAGAGACGGGGTTTCACCATGTTAGCCAGGATGGTCTTGATCTCCTGACCTTGTGATCCGCCAGCCTCGGCCTACCAAAGGGCTGGGATTACAGGCGTGAGCCACCGCGCCCGGCCGAGCACAGTTTCACTAGCAGGAGAAAAAGAGCTTTCAGACAAGCAAACAGGAAGAGTTGCTGCAGATGTGGAAGGAACATAAGGGAAAAGTAGCGCAATGTTGCCTTTAGGTTTTTGAAGCATGAGCAAACCACCACATTGGATGAGCAAATGGCAATGCTATGATAAAGCAAAGATGAAGAGTTGGCAGAAATGTATACTTTATTGTAAAAAAAAAAATAACAAAATCAATGAATAATGTAAATGAATTTGGGCATAAATGCTAAACTGCTTACACAAATGGCTGTTATTAGAGTTTTCCACAGCCAAGCATATTTAAACATTTAGTAATGTTGCACCATTTATAGTTGGGCTCCATGTGAATAGTTTTCCTGATACCACCCACTGTGTTATAATCATAATCTCAATCATCTTATGTGTATGACACTCACTTTAAAACACAAAGGAGGATCTGGTTCTGAGGAAGCCAGTTTTGGCCTCCTAGGCTGTGGGGATTGCATGTAAGATGGTGATAGCTTGATCAACTTCCTCTCTAAGGAGGAAGCAGGGTTGGGGGACAGGCCCAGGCTTCAGGTCGTAGAACTGAGAAAAGGAAAAATGTCCAGCAAACTACTTGAGATCCTCCAAATGCAATTCAAGAAATACTTATCAAGCATCTATTGTGTATGATTTACAACAAAAGAAACGATGTCCTTGCTGAATTGGAGGTTATAGTCCACAGCAGGGGTACGACCTCCTCCATGCCTTTTTTTGGGCAAAGGGTCCCTTTGGTGAATCCTGTGGATTTCTTCTCAGAATAACATTTAAAAATACATAAAGCTCATTAAGATTATAAAGGAAAACCAATTATAATTAAAGACAGTTATGAAACAAGTACATTTGTGATATGCTTCTTTTTTTTTTTGAGACAGAGTCTCACTCTGTCACCCAGGCCAGAGTGCAATGGCATGGTCTCGGCTCACTGCAACCTCCGACTCCCAGGTTCAGGTGATTCTCCCGCCTCAGCCTCCCGAGTAGCTGGGACTACAGGCACGTGCCTCCACACCTGGCTAATTTTTGTATTTAGTAGAGACGGGGTTTCACTAGGTTGGCCAGGCTGGTCTCAAACTCCTGACCTCGTGATCCACCCGCCTCAGCCTCCCAAAGTGCTGGGATTACAGGCATGAGCCACCACGCCCAGCCTATGCTTCTTTATTAATGCATGAAATAACAAGATCTAGTGATGAGTATAATAATTATAATAATTTCAAAAGAGTGGTGAGTATAAATGACATCTAAAGAGATTGTGATGCTTGGTAAAGACTGGGAATCTCTGCTCTAAGCAACTTGTGACCTCGCAGTTCCCTGATTGTTTGGGCTCCCTTGCAGCTAGGGGTGATCATGTGATTTCCTCACCCAACTTTTTCTACATTACATTTAATATTGTTTTTATTTAAAACTATATATTGGGGAATGATTTGCATTACTAAGAGACTCTAAAACTCTTCATGTGGCTCTGGAGAAAGATGTTACGATTCCCATTTTGCAGAACAAACCAAGGCTCAGATAGCTTAGTTACTAGCTCAAGTCACACAGCTAGTTCGTAGCAGAGCACATTATGATGGTACTCAGGGTTTATGACACATTATGTTTATGATGGTAAACAGCAGTTTTCAAAGTTGTGACTCTTGTTGGGCTTTCTTTAATGGTTTAGTATTTTAAGCAAATAAAGCATACAACAAAGTTAACCTTCAAATCTGTTCTGGGGTGTCTCCATACTTTTTTTTTTTTTGCTCTTGGTGATTGAAAGTATGAATGATATGGAATTATCAGCCCACCTAAATGACTGAGCTTTGTATTTGTTTTTGGGTCAACCAAGGGAAGGTGAGAAGGAAGTCAAGCAAGCCAAGAAACTGTTCTCATGCCTTTCTGTAGTTGCTTGTATTCACAGGACAAGGGTCCCTAAATGTCTTCAGTTTTTTATCCTTAGCATGGTTCCCATTTTAGAAGCTGAGGTCTCAGACTCCCTTCTGCTTACATAAGGGGTGTCAGGCAATGGAGTGTGATTAAAGAAAATTTAATTTTTTTATAAGTCACTTCAATAATACTTCCTGCGGACTGTATGATCTCACGCTGATAATAAAGGGGACAGTGGAAATGTGAGATATACATATGTTCTCCCAACATGCAAAAGTGAGGAAATTAATTTACTTTACATCTGCCTCCATTATCCTGTGCCAGAGGGTCTCAAACATTGATGCGCATAAAAATCATCTGCAGGTCAGGTGCGGTGGCTCACGCCTGTAATCCCAGCACTTTGGGAGGCTGAGGCGGGAGGATCACTTGAGGTCAGGAGTTTGTGACCAGCCTGACCAACATGGTGAAACCCCGTCTCTACTAAAAATACAAAAATTAGCCAGGCGTGGTGGTGGGTGCCTGCAATCCCAGCTACTCGGGAGGCTGAGGCAGGAGAATCACTTGAACCTGGGAGGCGGAGGTTGCACTGAACCGAGATTGCACTACTGCACTCCAGCCTGGGCGTCAGAGTGAGACTCCGTCTCAAAAAAAAAAAAAAAAAAATCATCTGGGGAGCTATTTTAAAATTCACCTTTCTGAGCCTTGTCCCCAGAGTCCCTGATTTGTAGGCATGAGTGGACCTGGGAATCTCTATCCCAGAATCCCAGATGATTCGGATGCTGGTGGTCTATTCACCATGCTGTAAGAAACACCATTCTCACACAAACTTGATGAGTAGGTTTTAAAAATCTGAATTGCAGAGGCGGAGCCGCCACCCTGCCGCGACTTTCAGTCTCCGACCATGGCCTCACGCTGGTGGCGGTGTGCCCGGCTCCCCCGGCCTTGCAGGGCCTCCAGGGCCGCGCGCCGCTGCCGGCGCCCGCGCTCAGGCTCATAGGCGGAAGGGATTCGGCTTGTCTCAGATACCCTATTTTAGTCTTGTGAAGCGCTTAACATCTGCCTGTCCAAATGTATACAGTATATCACGGTTTTATCACACAACCCCGGACAGTAAAACACACAGTGGTGAGAAATATACAGATCACCGATCCTTTCAAATTCGGTTGCAGAGACTTGAAAGGTCTGTATGAGGACATTAGAAAGGAACTGCTCATATCAACAACAGAACTTCAGGAAATGTCTGAGTACTACTTTGATGGAAAAGGAAAAGCCTTTCGACCAATTATTGGGGTGCTAATGGCCCGAGCATGTAATATCCATCATAACAACTCCCGATCCGATGTCCAATTTTCACAAGCTGATTGCTGAGAAGGTTCTAGGCGGCGTCTGTTAAAAAGCATTGCTGTCTGTTAATTTGACATGTGCAAGCCAGCCACCGCGCCATAGCCTTAATTGCAGAAATGATCCACACTGCTAGTCTGGTTCACGATGACGTTATTGACGATACAAGTTCTCGAAGAGGAAAACACACAGTTAATAAGATCTGGGGTGAAAAGAAGATACGGTTTTTTGGTTTTTTAAAATCTCTCTTACCGAATCACATGCTTTTTGGACCGCGTTTGCTTTTTCAGATTTGTCTTATTAAAAAGTAAAATATGCTTGCTCAAAAAACAAAAAAACCCGAATTGCAATTAAGTCTTTGTTTCTGCCGTCCTTATGACGGCCTGGACAATTGTCCTATTACTAAATTTGCCCTTTTCTATAAAACATTGACAGCCCCTAACCTGAATAGCACTCTGTTGGGTCTAAGCTTAAATTGTCTGCCCAAACCATTTTACACCAAAGTAGGAAATAGGTTTAAGTTCTTTTAGGACATTCGGATTAAAAAAAAAATATATATATATATATATATCCTAAGGTAAGTATTAGAATACCTCTATTACACTTTTGTTTCTCGTTTGGAGAATTAACATGGCAGCATCGTCTAATTTGATAGCTGGAGGAGTCATGTCCACTTTCCCCATCGGCCTGTTAAACCCCTATCATTCATTCTTGACTCATCCTGTGTCTTTGTGAAGCCTTTCTTGGTAAACCTATGCACAAGGAAGACCCTTTATGTCGTCACCAGCCCTTGTGCATGTTTCAATTGTAGTACCTATCATCTTGTACTGCGATTGCCTAATTTATTTTTGTATCTCCAGTTCTACATACAGTACCTGGCAAACAGTAGGCGCTCAATAACTGCGAAATGAACAAGTCCATGTCAAGAGACTAGGCTGGGAGTTTTAATATCAATGCCGACTGAGAAACAAAATACGGAAATGTCAAGGGCTGGTATAAAAATAATCTCTAATAGCACAAAATCCTCCTGAAGGGAACACCTGTCCCACTTTCTCACGTTGCTTTCCAGGTTCTTCCGACACCCCAATTTCCCGCCCACTCTTCTCCCTCCGGGGTACAGGTCAGGCAGGTATCCCAGCTCGGCGGCTCTGATAGGTCGGCGATGATTTCATTGTTAGGGAACATCCGGGCCTTTCCCCTCCCCGCAACACCTCCCCAGAGCCCGGCCTTCCCAGTTTCCCACTCTCGCCTGCGCCCCACCCGCGGCTGAAGCAAAACAACCGCCTCTCCCCTGCCCACTTCTTGTCCTCGTCTGAGTCGTCCCTTCCCGTCTCCACGCCGAAGAGAGGCGTTTAGATCCTCCAATGAGGGCCTAGGAGGACTTTCTTAGCCAATCAGTAGCCAAGCCCCTGCAATTCCGGGTGGGACCAGGCGTCCACACCTATAGCTGGACTGCTCGTTGGTCCCTTATGGCGCTTCTTTTACGCGAGGCTTAGAGGTCAAATACAAGGGGGCACGGTCCTCACAGAACGGAAAGGATCCGTACAGACTCTCCGGGTTTGACCGTTTTCTAGGACGAACCAATCGCTTTCCAGATACTTCCCCGCCTTTTGCGCGTTCATTTGAAAAAAGCCGGTGTGACGGACTTGGAAATTGGCTCAGTGACTGACCCGCAAGAAAGCCAGTGACTGGGGGTTCGGATCACGAGTTGGACCAATAAGAAAAGACAATCGCTGGGGCCGGGGCTTTGCTAGGAGGAGCGCAGGTGGGCGTTATTTGATTGACGGAGGGCTCTACTTATGGCTGGTAGCGGGGGCTGGTCCCTGACGTTCGGGAGGTAGGACCTAGCGGAGGCGGGGCCGAATAAAGTAAATGGTAATAAAGGGTTGGGTCTCACTTAGTGGGCGGTGTTTGATGGACAGCTGACCTTGCCTATTGAAAGTAGCCACTGATGCCCAATGGGAAATTAGAAACCCAGAGGCGGGGCCGGGTGGGCGGGGTAAACGAAGTACGGAGGTGCCGAGGGAGCAGCACGGGGAGGGGGAGCGGTGATTGACAAGACTCCCAGCAAACCGGGGGCCGTGAGAGGGCGCGCGGCATCCCAGTGGGTGGCAGCTGGAGGCGGGGCACCCTGAGGGGCGGGGAAGGACTAGGGTGCGGGGAGGGGGTTGCAAAAGGAGCCGAGCGGCTTCTGCTCAATGGCGGAAAAGCCGCCGGTGCTCTGACGGCCTCGTTCCCCTAGCAGTTGCGGGGGAGTTTCCTGCCGGCGCGGCTGGAGTCTCTGATTCTCAGGGTTCGGTGGTTGGAAGATGCTCCAGAGAGACGAGGCTGCGGCGGAGGAGGTGGCGGCGGCCGAATCGGCAACGGCGCTAGGGTGGAGAGAAGGCGGCATCGGCGGCGGCGGCGGCGTGAGGGGCCGGGCGGTGTAAACAGCCCCGGAGGCGGCGGTCGAGACCCCGAGGGGGAAGCGGCGGCTGAGTCAGGGTCGCGCCTCCGTTGGAAACTTGGGCTGAGTACCGCGGCGGGCGCGAGCGAGGCGCCCTAGACATCTTCTCCCTCCCTTGCCTCAGGTAAGGCCGCCCGGCACCCCGCCGGAGGGGAAGCGGCTGACCGGCCGCGCCGCCGAGGCCCCGGGCCCTGGGCAGGTTTTCGCGGTGCTGCCGAGCCGCGGCCGGGGCCTCTGTCCTTCCGAATCCTCGCTGCTTTCCCTGCTGCCGCGGAGCCTAGGCAGGGGAACGCCGGGCCTGGCTCTCGGGTATAGGCCCCTTCCCCGGCCGCCGCCTCCGCTGGGCTGAGGTCTGGGAGAGGCGCAGGGAGAGAATGGGAGTTTGCTGGAACGCCTGGAAGCTGACTGATTCTCTCTTCCCTCCGCTTCAGTCTGCAAGCATCTCTTTCACACGAAAGCACTGGGGCTACCCCAAGCCTTGGCGCTTCTCTTCCTGGTGCATGCCCTGTTTGAAAACACTATCTTTTACCATTCGTTTCCTCATCAGCTTCTGCCCTACTCTGCGCTCCACTTCACTTCCTTGTTAAATCGTCTTTCTCTGCTGTCTATGCGTTCTACCCTCGCCTTCCCTCCTTAGTGGCTTTAAATTGTGTGTTTCTCTTTTCTTCGTACCCCGGCATCTCTTGCCTGTCTTCCCTAGCACCATCCTTTTCGGATGTCATTCCTAACAGTGAAGTTCTTAATTGAAACTGCCACTTATTGTCAGTACCCCAAATCTACCGGAGCCCCATTAAGAGTATAGACTGACTAGCCATATGTGGTAAATCAGTTTTTCATAGTTTAAGCCTAACAACCTTGAAAAAATTGTATTATTAAACGTAAAGTGTGAAAATAACACCGAAAATAATTTTTTAAATGAAGGACTCAGTGAGTGTTGGAAATAGTTATTTCTTCATTTTTTAAACTTGCATGACCTCTCATATCAGATTTAGCAGATCTGGGACGTTTGCCCATCTTATTCGGCAAAAAAAGTGCTTCTTAGGCGTTTGATAGCAGCCCAAATTCATCAATATTCAATTTCTTCTAAGAACAACTTGAAAACTTTTTTAAAAAGAGACGTTAATAACTGGGAAGTTGTTTTGATAGTCACAGTTAAAGAGCTTTTAAAATAGGCTCCACATGTTTAATGTATCAAAATAAAGTTGGCAGGCATGTTGTAAAAGGATTATTTAGGAATTTGAGTAGTCTTAGTGTTATGTAGCTATTTTAGGAAAAACATTCTTTTTCTGTTAACAAACGTTTACAACTACGGTGATGTGAGAATTACTGAGGCTTACTGTGGGATTAACACAGGAACTGTCTTTATTTGAGCTACTGCATGGATGAAGAAGTGGTAAATTGTTCAGAGTAGACAGTGTAAGTCACAGTATGTTCTAGGAGATGGAGAAACATGCCATGGACGCTGAATGTTAATAGATGTTATTTCATTTACTTTCTCTGTTGTGCAATAGCAAAGTTCCTATTGTTGGCCTACTTTTAAATGGGGCATTTCTAAGTAAATAGTGAGACAAGTTATTCTAATTATTATGATAGTCTTTTCCAAGTGTACAGGCCTTTTAAAAATATAGTTGAAGTAATGGTAATTTTTTAAGGAAATGTTTTTGTAGGTCTGCCAAATGGACAGTGTGTTGTTCTAATCGAAATTTTAAAATTAAGTATTTAGAACAGAATATTTTAGTCCACACATTTTCAGGGATAATCTTTATTTTGTGCTTCTTCTCTCAATGCCTTCTTTGTCTTTTTTTTTGTCTTAATGGTTGTTGTGTTTTCGCCTCTTCATTTGTTTTTGCTCTCATGAAGTCTTACAACAGTTTCTGCAGTGGTTCTTTTTGTTGCTGTATATTAGCACGAGTATTTTTATTTGAGCTTTCATACTGTAAGATTTCCCCAGTTTCTAGTACATTATCCTCTGGATTTGTTGAAGTGATTGTTCTCTTTGAAGTGACCAGCAGAGCTTTCAACACCGTTTTCTTACACTGGGTGTCTGATTTCTGTGAAGACTCTAGGAATAGGTGAAAGGCCTTTCAATTTAGTCATGTCAGTAAATACTGTTTTATGTTAGTAATTCACCTAATTACTAAATTCCTTAAGATTACATCATCTGAAGGAATAGTGTAGTGTCCAAGTAACTGTGCTTCTAAGAACAGCTGATTCACAGGTTGACAGGGTCAGAAAAAGTGGCTCTTGTTGAAAGTTATCTTTTCTATAACAAACATTTTTTATGGAATCTTTTGAATTAAAATATGATGCTGATTATGTCTTGGCAGTCTTGGAAGCTTAGAATTGGCCACGGTATCACTTAGTGATTGTGGTGATTCATTAAAAAGAGGCTATATAGGCCAGGTGCGGTGGCTCATGCCTGTAATCTCAGCACTTTGGGAGGCTGAGGCGTGTGGATCACTTGAGGTTAGGAGTTCATGACCAGCCTGGCCAACATGGTGAAACACCATCTCTACTGAAAATACAAAAATTAGCCAGGTGCGGTGGCGCGTGCTTGTAATCCCAGCTACTCAGGAGGATGAGGCAGGAGAATCACTTGGACTCACGAGGTGGAGGTTGCAGTGAGCCGAGATTGTGCCACTGCACTCTAGCCTGGGTGCCAGAGTAAGACTCTGTCTCAAAAAAAAAAAAAAAAAAAAAAAGCTGTATTTCATGAATATTTTTATATGTAACTATTTTAAAGTATTTTGTGACATTACCTAGCATAGAAAGTAGTTAAGTAGTATAATTCTAACTCTCGCTTTTAAAAATGCAACATACAGTATTTTATATTTTCTGTGAAATATGCCTTTCACAATTCACTGATTTTAGTAAAAATTAGCAAACAAATAACTGGTGGCATCAGAATAATAAAAGTTTGTTTAATCCAAAATTATAATAGCAAAATTTATTCAAGTAATAGCATAAAATGTGAAATCATGATTATGGTAAGATAATTTTCAGGAGTATGATATTCCTGAATTTTCAGTTATTCTTCACACTGTACCTGATTTCTTTTTGTTTTTCCCTTGCTGAATTAATTTCAGAATTGGAATGAAATGGAATACTGCTATTATATTAGCAGCTTTAAAGTTTTATTGTAAAATGTATCGTATATTAGCAGAATTGATGGTTAAGTGTACTGACATTTCACTATGCTATACTCAAACATTGATGGTGAAATAGAGTTTTGGGAACTATTTAATTTTTGTAGTTTGTAGTTGGCTGTCATAAAATTTGCAGAATGACAGAACTGATCATCAGCTTCTAGTGGCTGATCTAACAAGAACAGGTGAAGAAAAAGGTACATGAGCTTCATAATGTGTATTTTTTCTTTGTTTTTGTTGGTGTTTACTTACATCAATACATTGAGTTAAAAAAATGGGTTTTCATCTTTTGGATTAATTTAAGTATGCTAAAGCCATTTTAGAATCTTTACAAGTAAAATGTTTCTAGGCCGGGCACAGTGGCTCACTCCTGTCCCAACATTTTGGGAGGCTGAGGCAGATGGATTGTTTGAGACCAGCCTGGGCAACATAGCAAGACCCTGTCTCTACAAAAAATAAAGTTAGCTGGGCTTGGTGGTGTGTGCACCTGTAGTTAGCTGCTTGGGAGGCTGAGGTGGGAGGATCGCTTGAGCCAGGGAGGTCAAAGCTGCAGCGAGCTGTGATTGCACCAGTTTGCTCCAGCCTGGATGACAGAGTGAAACCACGCCTCTATTTTTTAAAAAATTCTGATGTGACTTAATCTCTTTGTGTCCATTTGATTTGAGATGATTGACACTTTTGAACATTTCCATCCATATTCCTTTTCTTAAAGACTACCTAGAAGACTAACAAGCGTGGCCAGGCGTGGTGGCTCACGCCCATAATCCCAGCACTTTGGGAAGCCAAGGCAGGCAGATCACTTGAGAACAGCCTGGCCTGGCCAACGTGGTAAAACCCAGTCCCTACTAAAAATACAGAATTTAGCCAGGTGTACTGGCCGGCCAAAAAAGACTAACAGACCAGATACTGGAATCAGCGTTATGGTGAAAAGAACCCTTTACTAAATTCTTGATGATGTTACAAAATTTTCCAAAAGTGTAATCTATATAGTGTATTTATTTCTCAGAGTATTTAAAGATTTTGAGATTTAGTTTTTAGTAACATATAACATCCTAGGAAACATAAATACTGTACAATAACTTATATACTTTTTTTCTTTTTAGTTTTCTTTTTTCATTTCTTTTTTGCCCCTCGAGATCTCATACTTCGTAGTTTTCCTTCAAATTACAGGGTGCTTTATTTCTCCCCTTTGGTTTAACTTTAATAACAACCATAAACACTTTACTTCTGAATTAATGGTAAACCATGACACAGAAGAGTGCTTAAATACATTTTTTTCTTTTTGTTTTACTATAACTAATCACATCTACAATATCTTGTTATTGCTTGGCATAACATATACCTTTTATAATAATACTCTTCATGGCCGGGCACAGTGGCTCATGCCTGTAATCCCAGTACTTTGGGAGCCCGAGGTTGGTGAATCACTTGAGGTCAGGAGTTCGAGACTAGCCTGGCCAACATGATGAAACCCTGTCTTTACCAAAAAATACAAAAATTAGCCGGGTGTGGTGGCACATGCCTGTAGTCCCAGCTACCCCGGAGGCTGTGGTGGAGAATTGCTTGTACCCGAGAGGTGAAGGTTGTAGTAAGCCAAGATCACGCCACTGCACTCCAGATTGGGCGAAAGAGTGAGACCCTGTCTCGAAACAAAAATAATAATACTCTTTGTAATAACTTGTTTAACCTCAAGAACCTTGTAGCTTAATCAATTGTAGTATTTTAATTTGTTAGTTCATATATTATACATTTGACATGGTTTATAACATTTAAAACACACTTTACTAATTTAAAACTTTTGATTTATCACACAGTTTAATATTAACTTGTAAATATAAAATGGATTCAAACTTTTCTCTTGGAGAATGTTTAAGTATCATCAGTATTCTATTTTTTAGCTTTAAATTGATTCATTTCTTGAAAATTAAAAATCTTAAAGTTTAGAAACATAACACTTCTTGGAAAATTGTTTTGCATCCTTGTGAACAAAAGAAGATCCAGTTAAATCCGATCTCATACTTAGAGGAGACAGACAAACTTTGGAAGCCATGTATTGACTATTAAGGAACTTGTCTTTCTCTTAGAGATGGTACCAATTACTGGTAGTGATATAGGGAGGATAAGACTTGTCTCTAGGATTGCTGTGATTATTGTCTACGTAGAATGGCCTTCACTTCAGAATCAGTTGTGAATGAAAAGTACATTTGTGTGCTAGAAATAGGAAAAAACCTTGTCTTTTATAGAAAACTTTTAAAATGCAGTTATGTTATCAGGTAGATTCAAACGTATAATATACAAGAAAATAAAACAAATGAATAAGTGTTGTTTGCCAGAGAAGAAGCAGTTCTGATCAATAATATGTAGAGTAATTTGTAAGAGTTTGAAGGCTTGCGAAGCGCTTTTAAGCCTGAGAGTAATGTCAACTCATTTTTAAATCTAATCGCATTTTATTTTCTTGATTGTAGGTATCAAGAGCACTCCTCGCATTGAAAAGGGCTGGTTACTGGATGTTCTTATGAGTAGGAGAATCTAGAAGTGTCAGCATGGGTGTTTAACCTATTTGGGCAGTGTTTTTCCTTTTCCTTGTTCTGACTAAAGCATTTATCTCTGAGGTGGGGAAATGGCATTTTCTGTTGAACACAGGTGGCCTTTCTTAGTCCCTTAAAAAGAGGACATGACTGGGCCTGGTGGCTCACGCCTATAATCCTAGCACTTTGGGAGGCCGAGGTGGGCGGATTGTCTGAGCTCAGGAGTTCGAGACCAGCCTGGCAGCACGGTGAAACCCCATCTCTACTAAAATACAGAAAATTAGCTGGGTGTGGCGGCATGTGCCTGTAATCCTAGCTACTCAGGAGGCTGAGACAGGAGAATCGCTTGAACCCAGGAGGTGGAGGTTCAACCCAGCTGAAATCGCGCCACTGCATTCCAGCCTGGGCAAAAGTGAGACTCCGTCTCAAAAAAAACAAAAGTGGGGGTGGGGGAACATAATTAATTCAAAGCACTCCAAATGTTAAGATTATATAGGAGATTTTGTTGAGCTTTGGGAGGCTTTCTGCTTTTATTTACTCTGAGCTACCAACCCACTGAGAAGTAAAGAATTCAGAACAGTCTAATAGTATTTAGTCTGTAACCCTCCAGCCAATTCTTATGTTCACTGAGTGCCTTCTGTGTGCAAAGGCCCCCATTTCATGCCAGTATCTGAACAAAACAGACAAAATCCCAAATCCTTGTCGTTGACGATCTTGCATTCTGTTAACCAGCAACTCACAGTTTACATTACAGCTGAACTCCTTATGTGGCTGGCTTAAAAACTTGAGTGGAAGATTTGGGGTGTGTGTGTTTTGTACACTAAACTTAAAAGCTGTGATTAGAGCTTTACTATTTTTAACAAAAGGAAAGGAAGAGGTTTTCTGTAATTGGATAAAAACTAGACTGAAAAGAGGAAAGAGGAAATATTGTTGTGCCTTAGAGAAAGACATTGGTTTGAGATTTTTTTTTTTTTTTTTTGAGACGGAGTCTCACTCTGTCACCCAGGCTGGAGTGCAGTGGTATGATCTCGGCTCACTGCAACCTCCGCCTCCCAGGTTCAGACAATTCTCCTGCCTCAGTCTCCCGAGTAGCTGGGATCACAGGCATGCACCACCACACCTGGCTAATTTTTGTACTTTTAGTAGAGATGGGGTTTCACTATGTTGGTCATGCTGGTCTGGAACTCCTGACCTCATGATCCACCTGCCTCGGCCTCCCCAAGTGCTGGGATTACAGGCGTGAGTCACCATGCCCTGCCTGGTTTAAGATTAAAAGATGACCCAAAGAGAGAAAAAGAGATCCCTGCATTAGACAGACATGAGGGAAATTTGGGGCCTTCAGGTGTTTCCATTTACTGTACATCCTTGGATAGATGAGTTCCTGGAAAGGAGGATGGGAGTAAAGGTGGAACAATAGGAGAAGGGTGAACAGGATTTTTTAAGTCTGATTTAAATAATTGGGATATACCTATAAAATATATGTTGTCATTTATGTTTAAAAAGCTTTCTGTTCTTACGTGAGTATAGCTGAAGGATTAGTGGTTGACCAATAGTGCCTGGTACTGATTTGTAATGGCTACTTTTGTGCTCTTAGCAAAGATGGCTAATGGAGCCAATTTGTCTCTTGGTTTATTGTGCACAACTTGGTCTATATATTTATCACTGCTTCTCCTTCCATAGCTTTGTTGTATTACTTAACGTCGTGCCTTTGTTTTTTCTGCATGTGAGATGGGCGTATTGCACTTAGATGTGTGAAGCAGGTGCTTAATTTTTGCTTTCTGTTCTTTCTATTGCTTTCCTACTGAACCAGTTTGGTAAAGAGGCCTCTTCTTCAGTTTATACAAACATTGCAAACTTAAGCATAAAAGATCTTTCATCTTTTTGTTCTTATTTTAATGCTTGGTGGTCTTGTGCTTTCATTTATGAGTCAGTTTCATTTGATCTTCATTGCTAAAGTGAATCAAGATTGATTTTTTTAATTTTAAAGCAAATCAACCAACTGGCTGGGGTGCAGTGGTGCAATCTCGGCTCATTGCAGCCGCCACCTCCCAGTTCAAGCGATTCTCCTGCCTCAGCCTCCCAAGTAGCTGGGATTACAGGCCTGCGGCACCACGCCCAGCTAATTTTGTATTTTTCGTAGAGACGGGGTTTCACCATGTTGGCCAAGCTGGTCTCAAACTCCTGACCTCAGGTGATCTGCCCGCCTCAGCCTTCCAAAGTGCTGGGATTACAGGCATGAGCCACCGTGCCCGGCCTAGTTTCATTTTTAATGTATTTTTGTAATTCTGTTACTTTATCAAAATGCTGATATGCAAGAGAACTTGAAATTTTGGAATATATTAAATTTAGTACTGTAATTCAGACCAGATTCATTAAGTTGTTCAACATTTGGCCATCTATCTTAGATTTAAAAATAACCAAAAACAACCTTACTTGAATTTAAAAAAATTATCTCTTGTAACTGGTTTTGTTTATATAATCTAACATTTTATTAAGTCTTTGGTGGTTGCTAGTCCTAAACTTAAGGAAATTGAGTTTGTTTCTATTCATCTGTTCTGGAGTGTTTGGAATTGCAATGTGAAAGTGAAATAACCTTTTTTTTTTTTTTTTTGAGACGGAGTTTTGCTCTTGTTGCCCAGGCTGGAGTGTAGTGGCATGATCTCGGCTCACTGCAGCCTCCGCCTTCAGGTTTTAAGTAATTCTCCTGTCTCAGCCTCGTGAGTAGCTGAGATTACAGGCACGTGCCACCACGCTCAGCTAATTTTTGTATTTTTAGTAGAGACAGGGGTCTCACCATGTTGGCCAGGCTGGTCTCGAACTCCTGACCTCAAGATCTGCCCGCCTCGGCCTCCCAAAGTGCTGGGATTACAGACATGAGCCACCGCGCCCGGCCTACATGTATGTATTTCTAAATAGCATATAGTACTGTTTTAAGAGGTGTATGTACATGACCATATACAGAATTTTTTTTTTTTTTACAATTTGTTCTTGTCACTTAATATTTTTGCAGTTCTTTTTTTGTTCTAGTCCCTTTTTTCCATAGTATTGCATATATATTGCATAGTATTCCATTGTATGATTAGAACAGTTCTTTTTTTTTTTTTTTTTTTAATAAGACAGTCCGGCTCTGTTGCTCAGGCAAGAGTGCAGTGGCTCAATCTTGGCTCACTGCAGCCTTGCCCTCCCAGGCTCCAGTGATCCTCCCACCTCAGCCTCCCAAATACCTGGAACTACAGGCGTGCACCAACACATCTGGCTAATTTTTGTGTTTTTTTTGTAGAGATGAGGTTTCACCATGCTGCCCAGGCTGGCCTCTAATCCCTGAGCTCAAGTGATCCACCTCCTTTGGCCTCCTAAAGTGTTGTGATTACAGGCGTGAGCCACCACAGGCAGCTAGAACACATTTTGTCTAGTCTTTTTTGGAAGGACATTTGGATTATTTTTGTAATTTTAATCAATGGTCTAAAACCATTTACATGCCATATATATATGCGAGAATTTCTCTAGGGAGTAAAATGGCTGAACTGTAGGCCATCCTTATCTTATAGCCCTAACTAGATATTTCCAAAATTCTCTCCAATGTTGCTATACTAATTTATACTCCTACCAGTGGTGTATTTTATATATGTATATATATATATATATATATATTTTTTTTTTTAGACAGAGTTTCGCTCTTGTCACCCAGGCTGGAGTGCAATGATGCAATCTTGGCTCATTGCAACCTCCACTTCCTGGGTTCAAGCGATACTCCTGTTTCAGCCTCCTGAAGTAGCTGGGATTACAGGCACCTGCCACCACACCCAGCTAATTTTTTTGTATTTTTAGTAGAGATGGGGTTTCACCATGTTGGCCAGGGTGGTCTGAACTCCTGACCTCAGGTGATCCTCCCGCCATGGCCTCCCAAAGTGCTGGGATTACAGGCATGAGCCACCATGCCCAGCCAAAAGTTTCTGTTGTTTTAATTTAGTGCTGTCCTATATAAATGTAAGGTAATTTAAATTTTTCTAGTAGCCACATTAATAAAAAAGACATAGGCAAAGTTAATTTTAGTAATGTATTTTATTTAATCCAGTATTTCCAAAATGATTCAATATATAAACAATGAAGTTAATTAGATATTTTGCATTCTTTTAAAAAATATTAAATGGTGTGATTGGGCTGTGTCCCCACCCAAGTCTCATCTTGAATTCCCAGGTGTTCTGAGAGGGACCCCATGGGAGGTAATTGAATCATGGGGACAGGTCTTTCCTGTGCTGTTCTCATGATAATGAGTAAGTCTCATGAGATCTGATGGTTTTATAATGGAGAGCTTCCCTACACAAGCTCTCTCTTTGCCTGCTGCCATCTATGTAAGATGTGACCTGCTTCTCCTTGCCTTCAGCAGTGATCATGAGGCCTCCCTGGCCACATAGAACTGAAAGTCCATTAAACCTCTCTTTCTTTTGTAAATTGCACAGTCTTGGGTATGTCTTTATCTGCAGTGTGAAAAAGTACTAATAAATTAAATATTTAAAATCCATTGTGTATTTTACACTTACAGCAAATCTCTATTAGCATTAGCCTCATTTAACATTCCTACTAGCCCCGAGTGGTTAGTGGCTACTATACCAAACAGCAAAGCTCTGTGTTCTTGTCTGTGTTTGATATTGAGAGTCTCTCTCTCTCTCTTTTTTTTAATCTAAGGAGAGAGAAATGGTGTTTTATTTTGACTTTAATTTTCCATCTTCCTATTAGTTTTCCTAATGACAAAATCTTACAGGCATAAATATGGAATTACTTTGCCGTTGGAATGCAGGTGTTTATTTTGTTAATTGTGTTTAAGAGTTTTTAGATATTAGATATTAGATTTAGATGTTAGTGTGTCTATAAAATGATGGTGCTAATTAAAGACTTTAACCTGGCCGGGCATGGTGGCTCATGCCTGTAATCCCAGCACTTTGGGAGGCCGAGGCGGGTGGATCACCTGAGGTCAGAAGTTCAAGACCAGCCTGGTCAACATGGTGAAACTCCGTCTCTACTAAATATACAAAAATTAGCCAGGTGTGGTGGTGGGTGCCTGTAATCCCAGCTACTCAGGAGGCTGAGGCAGGAGAATCGCTTGAACCCGGGAGGCAGAGGTTGCAGTGAGCCGAGATCCTACCATTGCACCACAGCCTGGGCAACAAGAGCGAAACTTCGTTCCAAAAAAAAAAAAAAAAAAAGACTTTAACCTCAAGTCAACTCTTAAAATATTCCCCAAAATGTGTATTTGGATTGAAATGAATGCTTGGAAGGACAGTACTTGAATGGCAATAATAGGGGTAGGAACAAGGCAATTGCTTAATACTTAAGGGAAACAATCCTTTGTATGTATTTCTTTTCCTTCATATATTTCTCCCTTTGTTTTGCTTAATCTTGATCTTTCTTTCCTCACTTAGGAAGAGTTGGCTGAATGGATCTGATCTAGAGCCAAAGATGTTCTCAAAAAGGGCTACAGGGATAGACTGACTTTGGGAGTTGGGGATACTCTATGCCCATCATCAGGAAACAAACCAAGTAATATAAATTCATTAGTGTGTCGTCTGTCCACAGTAAGTAGGTGTAATTGGCTAGGTGATTTAAATGAATCAGCAGAAATAAAATTGCTGGAAATCAAGGACTGCTTGTACTTAGTAAATGTTGCAGTGGATAATAGAGGTTAATCAGCATTCCAATAGATTTTTAGGTCTCTGCCAATTTAATATTTCTGGGAATGTTGAAAAATTTAACTAGGACATTCTTTCTTGAAGAAGGATCTTTTTAAATTACTTTTGTTTTTTTTTGAGATGGTGTCTCACTCTGTTGTCCAGGCTAGAGTGCAGGAGTGTGATCATATCTCACTGCAGCCTTAAACTTCTGGGCTCAAGCTATCCTTCTGCCTCAGCTTCTCGAGGAGCTAGGACTACAGGCGTGGGGCACCATACCTGGCTAAGAAGTGTCTTTTAAGTTAACACATATTTTATTTAGTACCTACTAGATGCCAAGGTCACGAATTAGGGTGGGAAAGGAGCTAAGAAGAGCAAAAATGTTAAAAGGAATCCAAATGATTTTATAGGAGTGGTGAGATGGTGGTAGGAAGAGTTGGGATGACATCAAGGTGGAAGAAGTGTTTTGTTTTGTTTTGGAGACAGGGACTTGCTCTTTTGCCCAGGCTGGAGTGCAGATCACAGCTCACTGCAGCCTCGATCTCCTAGGTTCAAGCAGTCGTCCTACCCCAGCCTCCCAAGCAGCCGGGACCACGGATGTGTGTCACCATACCTGGCTAATTTTTAAATTGTTTGTATAGACAGAGTCTCAGTATGTTGCCCAAGCTGATTGGTCTCCGACTCCTGTGCTCAAGTGATCTTCCCATTTTGGCCTCCAGAAGTGCTGGGATTACAGGCATGAGGCACCATACCCAGCCTAGGAAATATTATTTCACAGGCACCTTGAAGGATTTGGCTAGCTAAATAAAGTAGAAAAAACTGACTGTGAGGTGGGAATGACCATGATGAAGTTGAGCTGTGTAGAGCCTAGGCATGACAAATTAGAGAAGGTTCTTGATAAGGGTGTAAAAAACCACTGCATCTTTTAGGGACATTTAAGGTGTGTTTTAGGGAAATGAAGCTCATGATAATCTGTAGGTGGATTAGAGGAAGATGGGGTTGAAGTCAGGGAGATCCACTAGGAAGAAGTTAGATAATCAATGCATTATGTGATGATGCTAAAATTAGGATGGTAGGGTGAGAGAGACACTGAAAAACAAGATTGATGGAACATAGTGATTTAATGGTGGTTGAATATATATCAAAAGATTTATGGCTTCTGTCCTGGATTAATACTAGAGGAATGCTGTTACTAATACAAATAGGTGGGTAGGCATATGAAGGTGGCTTGGGTGCAGAGATGAAGTTTTTGATTATGTTATATTTGAAGAGAGATGTAGCATAACCAAGCTTTGTGTTTAAAATCTAGACTAAAATTCATCTGAAGTCAGTGTAGACATAGCTTAAGCCATGAGATTGCATCAGAGGGCAGATACTGTGTTTTGGGTTGAAGGTTAATTATTATCTTGGGACCCCACTTCCCTTTTTCAGAGGGTACAGAAAAAAGAATAAAGAATAAAGAAAAAAGAATAAAGTTTTTTTGATTTGAGAGTGTTTTGAAAGTCAACACAACTGTTAAGAGTTTCCAGAATCGAGGCGTTACCAATAGTTTGAAATGCCACAAAGTACCTTATTTTGAGAAGCTTCTTCTTACGACTGATAGTTGGCTAATTCTACCACACAGGACATCAGTGTTTGAGCTGTTTGGTCAGGAATATTGGTGTTTTGGGTTCTGAAATGGCTGTATGTTATATCGTGAGAAACATTCTCTATGGACGATACTCCAGACATATGGGAAATACTAGTAATTTCTTTTTTTTCTTAATTTTTATTTATTTATTTTTTTGACACAGAGTTTTGCTCTTGTTGCCCAGGCTGGAGTGCAATGACATGATCTTGGCTCATCGCCACCTCCGCCTCCTGGGTTCAAGTGATTCTCCTGCCTCAGCCTCCTGAGTAGCTGGGATTACAGGCATGCACCACCATGCCTGGCTAATTTTTTGTATTTTTAGTAGAGATGGGGTTTCTCCATGTTGGTCAGGCTGGTCTCAAACTCCCCACCTCAGGTGATCCACCTGCCTCGGCCTCCCAAAGTACTGGGATTACAGGAGTGAACCACAGTGCCTGGCCAATACTAGTAATTTATAATTACTTTGTTCTTGATTACCTAATATTTAAGTTTTCTAATTGTGATTTGCTTTTCTTTTTTTACTTTTCTCTTTAGTTTGTTTTGAAATAATAGGTTACAGGTTTCCTCTGTTTAGTAGGCACTTTTTCCTAGTTATGCTTTCTTTGACTCTAGGGGCTTTATTTTTCATACTTTTTTTCTTTCTTATAATTACTTTGTGTAGAATTGGACCGTGATGTTTTCCTGAACTTTTAGGAAGGTAGGGTATGTGTGGATTTTTTTGTAATTTAGATTTTCTTCTTAGCAGTTTTTCTTTAGTGTAGAGCTTCGTCTAACAAGGGAGCATTTATTTCAGAGTTTATGGGATCTAGATTGCTCCAGCACTATCAGATCTTGTTGTATATTGGTCCCTTTGCATGACCCCAGCAGTTGGGTCTTGCAGAATTCCCTTTCAGTTTTAGCTGTTACTAGATTATCCTGTCACACTTTTCAGTGAGTAGCTATTGGTGATGTTGGAGTTTCTCTCATCTCAGGATCTTCAGAAGCCTGTTTTCCTTTTGCTTCCTTTTGCACAAATGCTAATACCACTTGGGTCTTATAACAGTTTGTAGTTTATGGGGGAATAATACCTTTGTTGTTGGATTGCTTTGTCTGGGGGAGGATATTAAAAACCTCTGCTGTGACCACCACTACCATCTTAGACTGTCCCATGTGCATGTTCTTAACTACTGTGTTGTATTACTTGCCAAGTGACATTCGATGAAATCAGACCATTTAGATGAGGAATATCCACATTTTGCCTTGAACATTCTTCCCGTGTGGTTTTGGAAACAAATATCTGCACAGAGTAGGATAAGTAAGACAGAATAATAGGCATTTAACTGGATGGAGAGTCAGTCTCCAGAATCAAGTACAGCTGGATACTGGGATAAGGTTTACATAAGTTGTTAGGTAGGCCTGAATGACCTAAAACCAGAGGAAGCCAAAAGGCCTGCCTCCTCATCACCACCCAGTAAAGCCTAAAGCTTCAGCTTCTTTATTACATAAGTACATTGAAGGGCATACCAGTGAGCCCCAGGAGGAAGGGAGAGAATTAGCCAGAGAGCTTTTTGACCCAACTTTGAGCCTGAGGATGAGATTTGGCTTTGGAATTGGACTGCATGATTTGGTATCTTAGTTTTTTTTTCTTCTTTTTTTCAAGACAGAGTCTCGCTCAGTCGCCCAGGCTGGAGTGCAGTGGCGCGATCTCGGCTCACTGCAAGCTCCGCCTTCCGGGTTCACACCATTCTCCTGCCTCAGCCTCCAGAGTAGCTGGGACTACAGGCATCCGCCACCGTCCCTGGCTAATTTTTTGTGTCTTTATTAGAGATGGGGTTTCACCGTGTTAGCCAGTATGGTCTCGATCTCCTGACCTCGTGATCCGCCCGCCTCGGCCTCCCAAAGTGCTGGGATTACAGGCGTGAGCCACTGTGCCTGGCCTAGTTCTTAGTTTTACCACTTGATAGTTGTGTGTCTTTGGCAAGTTCTTAACCTCATTGTATGTTTCCTTATTTGTAATGTAGTGATTATAATAGTACCTTCCTCATAGGATTATTGTGAGGATTAAATGAGTTCATGCCTGTAAATACGTTGAAACAATTCTTAGCACACAGAAAATGTCTGCTGCTCTAATAGGTATCCAGTGGTTGTTCTTTTTGATAGGACATTGACCTGTTAGCAGCATTTGACGCAGTTTATCACTTCCTCCTCTGTAAGCACATTTTTCTTTGTTGTCAGGGGTACCACACTGTTGGTTTTCCTCCCACAACTCTGGTTGCTGATTCTCAGTAATTTTTACTGCATTTTTTTTCGTCTCTTGACCTTTAAATGTTGGAGTGCTCAAGAACTTAGTTCTTTAGTGTCTTCTCTTTTTAAATTATATTTACTCTGTTCTCAAGGGGTTTAAGTGGAGATTTAATTATCATATAAATGCCCCCGAATTTATGTCTTCATTCTTGATCCCACTCCTGAATGCTTTATTTCTAGATCCACCTTCCTGCAGTATCTCCACTGGACATATAATAGACATCTCTAACTGAACATGTTCAAAACTGACTACTTGATAGATTATGCCTCCCTTCTTCTCCCCTAAGTTGCTGTTGGCACAGACTAAATCAGGGATTCTTAAGCTGGAGCCCACAGACCCACATAGGGATCTATCAGTAAAATTCAGGAGAATCATGTTTTTATTTTCACTAATCTCTAACTGAATTTTAACATTTTCTTCAATTATCAATGTAGTATAGCAATACTTTTTTACTTGTCTTCTTTAGAAGTCAGATATTTCTATATCACTTTATAGTTGTTGCAGGTATCTTAAAATATTATTAAACTCACCACTACTTCAGAATTATGACACTTATTAGACCGGCCACTAGATACTGTTGTGTTAGTGAAGAAGACATGTATTACTATGCCAAGTTTTAAAAAATATTTTGATAATGACTTTAATATTATTGGGTTTTATAGTAATCCTAATTATTGTATACATTTTATGCTTACCTGGCTTCTAAACTGTTTTGCCTGTTTTTACATTTCATTTAAATGGAATCATACATTGTATACTCTTTGATTTCTAGTTTCTTTCAGCATTGTTAATGAGATTCATCTAAGTTCCTGCCTATAGTTGTGTCTTGTAGAATTTGGAAAAGCATGACAAGTGACGTTAAATTAATTCCTCTTGTATGATACCTTGCCCTATGTTGAGAACTGCTACTTTAAAGTTGATTAAGTGGTAATTTTCTGTTTTTGATATAGCCTGAATAAATACTTTTCATAGGTCTGCATGTAGTTTGGTTTTTAGAGCACACTGTATGTATTCAGTGTGATAGATTTTTTTTCTCAGATTAAATTTGCGACTAAAGCAAAATACCACTGTCAACAAAGCTATTTCCATTTTATGAACTATATTTTTCTTGTTGAAAGGCTTGGAGAGGGGTAAGTTACACTGTTGTCCTGAGTTTGAAATTTCTAGCTGAGCTTTTGATTTAGGACAAGAAAATCTAAATTATTCTTGTATCTGGGGTCTCTCACTTATGATTTCAGAGAATCTGATTTACTGAATAAATTTGTTTTCATAATCTTGCTCTAATGTAGAGCTATAGTTTCCAGCTTTTGGAGAATTATTGAAAGTGACTAGCCTATTTTTATCAGTAACATCTCCTTGCCATTGGACCTGGGTGTGGTCAATGCCAATGTTATTCAGCAATTATAATGAAAACTGTAAAATATCTCTTAAACAATTATTCAAGCCCTTTTGAATGTCAGTTATGATTTTGAAAATCTGAAGTGAATGCCACTGATACTACAGTTCATCAGAATTGATTTGGAAGAGGGGAGGACTTAAATAATTTAATTCTGATGATACTAAGAATTGGAAGAAAGGATGTGAGCTACATGTTCTGTTTCTGTGAGTTTACTGATGGGTGGAGTTGTTTTTCTTTTGCTTCTCATTCAAGCAGTATAGGATTTGATGCAGGTGTTTGTGAATGAGTATGTTCTGTAAGGTCCTGGAATGGTGTTATTAGTATGTGACTTTTCAAGCATCTCTTTGAACTTAAGCTGGTTATTAGATTTTATTACTACTATCATTTATTTTAGCAATGTTTTATAATAATGAAAGCCATTAATCTACACATTGTCTAGGAACAGGCTGGAAGTGAAGAGTACTTGGCTATATCATAGAAATATTTCTTGGTAACACTTTGGAGTATATGTGGCATCAGTTAAATTTTGAAGATAGAAGCACATTATTTTAAATATTTCATGTGTACAAGCTTTTTTTCTTTTGAGACAGGGTCTTGCTCTGTCATCGAGGCTGGAACGCAGTCATATCATCTCAGCTCACTGCACCCTCCACCTCCTGGGCTCAAGCAATCCTCCCGCCTCAGCCTCCCAGGTAGCTGGGGCTACAGGCGCACACCACCGTGCCCAGTTAATTTTTGAAGTTTTTTTTTTTATAGAGACAGGGTCTCACTATGTTGCCCAGGCTGGTCTCAAACTGCTGGACTCAGGCAATCCACCCGCCTGAGCCTCCCAAACTGCTGGGATTATTGGCGTGAGCCATTGTGCCTGGCCTGATTTTTAACTAAAAGGTTTATACAACTATTTAATGATTTTTCATTTAGACATTATCATTTGATTTTCTGCTATGGAATGTCAAAGGAATTTTCTGTGGTCTAGTTTTGTTGATGAGAAGTCTCGTGCTATTTGGATTCTTCTTTTTGTGTAGATGACTTTCTAGCTCTACTCTTACCCCCAAAAGCTTAAATAAAATTTAATTGTAGTACAAAAAGCACATAATACAACATAACCATCTTAACCATTTTTAAGTGTACAGTTCCTATCAGGCCATGGTTGCTGCAAAAAAGAAAAATAAGCATACACTGCAGTAGTGTTAAGTATATTCACATTATTGTGCAACAAATCTCCAGAACTTTTTCATCTTGCAAAACTGAAACTCTATGCCCATTAAACAACAGCTTCCCCTTTCCCCTTCTACCTCCAGTCCATGGTAACTATCACTCTGCTTTCTTTTTCTATGAATTTGACTGTTTTAGATACCCCATGTAAGTGGAATCATGTAGTATTTGTCTTTTTGTGACTGACATGTTGTCCATGTTGTAGCATGTGACGGTATTTGCTTCACTTTTTTTAAGGCTGAAGAATAATTCATTCTGTGTATATACTACATTTTGTTTATCCATTCGTTTGTCATTGGACATTTGGGTTGCTTCTACCTCTTGGCTGTTATGCATAATATGGGTACTACGATCATGGGTGTACAAATAGAAATGTCTCTTTGAGATCCCACTGTCATTTTTTTGGATACATACACAGAAGTGGCATTGCTGGATCATATGGTTGTTTTATTTATAATTTTTTGAAGAAGCGCCATACTGCTTCCAAAAGCTTTTAAGTTTCTTTTAATTCTTGGCCATCTGAAAGTCCATAATGATCTGTCTAAACATGGGATCTCTCCCCTACTCTGCCTCTCCGCCAAGCAGTAGGCTTTGAGTCTGAGTATTTGTATCTTCCCTCAGCTCTGAAAAATTATTTTTGTTTTATTGTTTCTTTGATAATTTCATTTCTTCTCAATTTCTGGAATATTTGGTCCAGCATTGCATTTCCTGGATTGAACCTCTGTGATGTTCACCTTTACTTTTTTTTTGAAATGGAGTCTTGCTCTGTCGCCCAGGCTGGAGTGCAGTGGTGCGATCTTGGCTGACTGCAAGCTCCGCCTCCCGGGTTCACGCCATTCTCCTGCCTCATCCTCCCTAGTAGCTGGGACTTACAGGTGCCCGCCACCATGCCCGGCTAACTTTTTGTATTTTTATTAGAGACGGGGTTTCACCATGTTAGCCAGGATGGTCTCAATCTCCTGACCTCGCCATCTGCCCACCTCGGCCTCCCAAGGTGCTAGGATTACAGGCGTGAGACACCGCACCCAGCCTTCACCTTTAAATTTTTTAATTTGATACACAGTCCAGGAGATTGCTTTGGCTTACTTTAACTTTCAAAAACCATCAAGAATTTTTGGGTTTTGTTTGTTTGTTTGTTTTTAAGAAGGGGGATGGATTGAGGCAGTCATGTTTAAATCTGAAAAGCAGTTTTTTTGTACTATGTTCCATTTGTTAACATCCTGTTATTCTATGGAAGCCAGATGAAGTATCTTTTTGAATCTGAGGATTCTGATTTCTGATTTAAAAGAAGAAGTCTTCTTTGATTTAGTTTTTTCCTTCTCTTCTCCCAGTGTTTATCATGGCTTTAGTGCTGCTGAGTTTCTTTCTTTCTTTCTTTTTTTTTTTTTTTTTTTTGAGACAGGGTCTTGCTTTGTTGCTCAGGCTGGAATACAACAGTACGATCATGGCTCACTGCAGCCTCAACCTCCCAGGCTTAAGCAGTCCACCCATCTCAGCCTCCTGAATTGGCTGGGATCACAGGCACGCGCCAGCATGACTGGTTAATTTTTTAATCTTTCGTAGAGTTGGGACTTGCTGTGTTCCCTGGGCTGGTCTTCAACTCCTGGCCTCAAGTGATCCTCCTGCCTCAGCCTTCCAAAGTGCTAGGATTACAGGCATGAGCCACTATGCCCAGTTTGCCTGCCTGCCTGCCTGCTTTCCTTCCTTCCTTCCTTCCTTCTTTCCTTCCTTCCTTCCTTCCTTCTTTCCTTCCTTCCTTCCTTCCCTCCTTCCCTCCCCTTCCCACTCCCCTCCCCCTCCCCCTACCTCCTCCCCCTCCCGCTCTTTTCTTTCTTTTACTGGGATCACATAGCAACAGAGGAAGCAAGATAGAGAGGGGAGGTGCCAATTTGGGTTTTTTGTTGTTGTTGTTTTTCCCCCAAGCACTTCAGCCTTGATCTTCTGGGCTAAGGTAATCTTCCCACTTCAGTCTCCCGGGTAGCTGGGACTACAGGCATGCCGCCACCACACCTGGCTAATCTTTTTGTATTTTTTATGGAGATGAGGTTTCACCATATTGCCCAGGCTGGTCTTGAACTCCTGGGCTCAAGTAGTCCACCTACTTCAGCCTCCCAAAGTGGTGGGATTACAGGTGTGAGCCACCATGCCCAGCCAGCTGCCTTTGTTTCTTCACATGCCTCATTATCCTTAGCTGTTTATACTTATCCTTAAATATGAATAGAGAATTCATCTTAAGTTTCTTGAGAAAAGACAGAACACTTCTGCTTTTTGTCTGTATGAGAGGAGACTGGGGTCGATGGTTCTCTATAACTTAGTTTCACCCTCATTCTTACTTGCAGGCATGATCCTATTTTACTACATCTGTGAACGTACTATGAGTTCTCAAACTGTCTAGGATTCCCTCCGCAGTTCTAACTTGCTAAGCTGCTGGTCCTTCCATTCTTTTTTATTTTTATTTATTTATTGATTTTCGAGAGCCTCTGTTGCCAGGCTGGAGTGCAATGGCGCGATCTCAGCTCACTGCAACCTCTGCCTGCCAGGTTCAAGCAATTCTCCTGCCTCAGCCTCCCAAGTAGCTGGGATTACAGGTGCCTGCCACCACGCCTGGCTAATTTTTTGTATTTTTAGTAGAGATGGGGTTTCGCCATGTTGGCCAGGCTGGTCTCGAACTCCTGACCTCAGTTTATCCACCTGCCTTGGCCTCCCAAAGTGCTGGGATTACAGGCATGAGCCACTGTAGCCTGCCCATTGTTTTTTATTAATCACTGCTTCTATCTGCTTTATGGCTTCCAAAGGCTTTTGATATCTCTACCCATTGATGGCATACCTCTTGCCCCCATTTCCTGCTCTTAATTTTTCATTGCTTCGTGTTTTACACCTTTTTAAAATTTTTCCTTTACTAACATTTTGATGGCATGTTGGGAGGGATTAGAGATAAATGGCTTTGTTCCACCTGTCTTGAACTAGAAACACTTTTATCATGTGGATTATATCGTGTGAATGTGAATGTTTTCATTACAAAAATATTTCACAAAAGATTAAGCTACCATTGGGCATTGTGGACAGATCATTATTTGATACTAGTAGAGTGGACAGATCATTATTTGATACTAGTAGAGAAATTTGAGTTTATTTGATTTTTTTTTTTTTTTTTTTTGAGACCGTCTTGCCCTGTTGCCCAGGCTGGAGTGCAATGGCCCAATCTCAGCTCACTGCAACCTCTGCCCCCAGGTTCAAGCAAGTCTCCTGCCTCAGCCTCTCGAGTAGCTGGGACTATAGGTGCCCGCCACCACATCCAGCTAGTTTTTTTGTGTATTTTTAGTAGAGATGGAGTTTCACCATGTTGGCCAGGCTGGTCTCAAACTCTTGAAGTCACGTGATCTGCCCGTCTCAGCCTCCCAAAGTGTTGGGATTACAGGCGTGAGCCACTGTGCCTGGCCAAGTATATTTGATTTTGAGAAAATATTGAAACTTACTCTCATGTCTTTTTTTCCTGTATCACTTTTTGAAGCTTTTCTCCCCTTTGCTTGTTCTTACTTTTTAAGGCATTTTTTTCCATTTCTTTTGAAAGTAATTTTAAAGAACTCTAAAAAAATTTAGTAGGCAGATACATTTAAATGAGTTGATCTTTTATTTGTAAGCGTTAGACCAGGCGTCTGTTAAAACAGAAGTGACATTTATTTTGGCTAAACAGTTTCTGTTCTACATATGTGTTTACATTGCATTTTCACACTCCATAAATTGAACAGCGCAAGTACCCATATTTTTGTTGACTAAGTTTTACTGTAATATTTATCAAGGAAATGGGTATTTAATGACCATTTAATAATAAAATAAATTGTACAATTATTGTGTTGAAATAAGATTTTACTGAGACATGAACTGTTGTTATATCAGTGTGTGCAGCTTATTTGAATAGTCTTGCAGCATGAACATTTTTGCTTCTTAACATAAGGATCCATGTTCTCATCACTAAGATTTAACAGACATTAACATTTTGCTGTTTGCTTCAAATTGATCTCAGAGGCATGTTAACCAACTTTAAATATTGCCACTTCACTATTTCCCTAGAAGTAAGTACTATCAAGTTGGTCTTAGTAGTTTTAGTGTTTATACAACTCAAGCATGTTTTTAAATACTTTTGCCACATATTCATGTATGTAAACTAATCTGTTGCTTTGTAAATTTTATTTGTTTTTGTTTTTGTTTTTTTGACACGGAGTCTCGTTCTGTTGCCCAGGCTGGAGTGCAGTGGAGTGATCTCGGCTCACTGCAACCTCTGCATCCCAGGTTCAAGCTATTCTCCTGCCTCAGCCTGCCGAACAGCTGAGATTACAGGTGCCCGCCACTATGCCTGGTTAATTTTTTTCTATTTTTAGTAGAGATGGGGTTTCACCATGTTGGCCAGGCTGGTGTCGAACTCCTGACCTTATGATTCGCCTGCCTCAGCCTCCCAAAGTGCTGGGATTACAGGCGTGAGCCACCGCTCCCAGCTTCTGCTTTGTAAGTTTTATAACTTTGCATAATGGCATCACACTGTATGTATCATTTTCCAGCTACTTTGTTTTGATTTACTCATGGTGATACAAGTTAATGTAGTCTATACTTTTAAATTCTGTAGAGATTTACATTGTATCAGCATTATTGTATGCTTCTGCTTGTATATATGTGAAAATTTCTCTGGGTGGATACTCTATAACCAACAATTCTCCAGGAAATTATATGCATTTTTATTCTACCAAATATCACTCTGGAGATTTCTCATGCTGTTTGGGTTCCTAATTCTTTATGTGTGACTTATTTTTTCCCCTTTTTTCCCTCTGGGAAATGTTAGGTTTTATCTTTATCACCAGTGTTTTGAAATTTCAGTTGCTTTTTGTGTCTCTGTATGTGTGTGTGGTTGGTTCTACTTTCAGTCCTGACACTTAGGGTGTTTAGTTCTCTTTCCTTTTCTTGTTCTTTCTCTAATAGCTGTTAGTTTCAGGACTGATCCTGCAGCTTTCTTAGTTTTATTCTTTACTACTTTGAGTCTGTTTGGTTTTTGTGAAGGGGAGGGGTCTGGGGGATTTTACTTTTGATTTTTTTTTTTTCAGTTTGATTTTCTAAACTTTTATTGACAATTTTCTGTCATTTTAATTATTTTTATTTTATGTTATGTTATGTTATGTTATGGTATTGTATTGTATTGTATTGTATTGTATTGTATTGTATTGTATTGAGATGGAGTTTCGCTCTGTCGCCCAGGCTGGAGTGCAGTGGCACGATCTCGGCTCACTGCAACCTCCATCTCCTGGATTCAAGCGATTTTCCTGTCTCAGCCTCCCGAGTAGCTGGGATTACAGCCCACAAACCATGCCCGGCTAATTTTTGTATTTTCAGTAGAGATGGGGTTTCGCCATGTTGGCCAGGGTGGTCTCAAACTCCTGACCTCAGGTGATTTGCCTGCCTCGGCCTCCCAAAGTACTGGGATTACAGGTGTGAGTCACTGTGCCTGGCCTGTCATTTTTATTTTTAAAATGTTTTCTTTAACTTGACATTATAATCTTACATATGTATTAGGTATAAAATGATGTTATAACATATGTATGCAGTGTAAAATGATTGAATCAAGCTAATGAACATATCTATCACCTTACATAATTATTATTTATTTCACCTGTCTAACCACAACTTTCTATCCTTTGACCAACATCTCCCCATTTTGCACCACCCTCCCAGCCTCTGGTAACTACCATTCTACTCTCTGCTTCTATGAGTTTGATTGTTTTAGATGTCACATGCAAGTGAGAATATACAATATTTGTCTTTCTATTCCTGGCTTCTTTTACTTAGCATAATATCCTCCAGGTTCATCCATGTTGTTGTAAATGACAGAATTTCCTTCTTTTTTTAAGGCTGAACAGTATTCCATTGTGTATATATACACCACATTTTCTTTATCCATTCATTCATTGATGGACACTTAGGTTGATTGCATAACTTGGTTTTGGTAAATAATGCCACAGTGAACATGGGAGTGCCGATACTTCTTCCACATACTGAATTCAGTTCCTTAGGGTTATATACCCAGAAGTGGGATTGCTGGATCATATGGTAATTCTGGTTTTAGTTTTTTGAGGAATAGATAGTTGTCCAGAATTACTGTAATAATTTACATAACCACCATCAGTGTACAAAGGTTCACTTTTCTCCATATCCTTACCAATACCTGTTATCTTTTCCTAATAGCCATTCTGACAGGTGTGAGATGATATGTCATTGTGCCTTTAATTTGCATTTCCCTGATGATTAGTGAGGTTGAGCATTTTTTCACATATCTATTGGCCATTTGTATGCCATTTTAATTTCAAAAAGCACTTTTCTTTCCTCTGAATTTTTTTATTTTGAAAAAAATTTTTTTAGAGACATGTTGTCACTCTGTTACCCAGGCTGAAGTACAGTGGCCCATCACTACAGTCTTGAACTCCTGGGCTAAGGCAGTCCTCCCGCTGTAGCTTCCCTAGTAGCTAGGACTACATGTGCTTGCTACTGTACCCAGCTAATTAAAATTTTTTTTCTTTTTTTTTTTTTTTTTTTTGAGAGACAGAGTCTCGCTCCATTGCCCAGGCTGGAGTGCAGTGCTACGATCTCAGCTCACTGTAACCTCTGTCTCTCAGGTTCAAGTGATCCTGCTGCTTCAGCCCCCCAGTAGCTGGGATTACAGGCACGTGCCACCATGCCCGGCTAATTTTTGTAATTTTAGTAGAGATGGGGTTTTACCGTGTTGGCCAGGCTGGTCTCGAACTCCTGACGTAAGGTGATCCACCCGCCTCGGCCTCCCACAGTGCTGGGATTACAGGCGTGAGCCACTGTGCCCAGCATAAAAAATTTTTTTTTATAGAGACAGAGTCTCACTTTGTTGTCCAGGCTGGTCTCGAGCTACTGGCCTCAAGCAATCCTCCTACCTTGAACTCCCAAAGCCCTGGGGTTGCAGGCATGAACTACTGCATCACCCAGCCTGGTTTTGTTTATTTGTTTGTTTGTTTGTTTGTTTTTAATATCTTTTTGGTTCATGAATAGAATACTTTTTTATTTCTCTTAAGGATTTTTTTTTCCCTAGTCCTTGCATGGTTTTTTCCTTCTGATTCCTTTTTCTTTGTTTGATTTATTTTGCTTTTCATGTTGTATGTTTCCTTTCAGTATCTGGTAATCTTTGGATAGCTCCTCATATTTAAGTGTAACCCTGACAGCCTTGACAGGGATGTCATTTGATAGGCCTCGCTGTGGGATGATTGTGGAGACCAAGCATTTTATGGAGTATTCCTGTGTGTAAGTAATCTGTGGGTACTTTCTCTGGGACTAGTGAATTTCCTCAGAGAGCAATAGAGCTGTTGCCTGCTTGTGGTTTCCTTGATTTCTGGGAGTTGGTAAAGAAGGCTGAGCAGGCCGGGCGTGTTGGCTCATGCCTGTAATCCCAGCACTTTGGGAGGCCGAGGCGGGCGGATCACGATGTCAGGAGATCGAGACCTTCCTAGCTAACACGGTGAAACCCCGTCTCTACTAAAAATAGAAAAAATTAGCCAGGCGTGGTGGCGGGCGCCTGTAGTCCCAGCTACTTGGGAGGCTGAGGCAGGAGAATGGTGTGAACCTGGGAGGCGGAGCTTGCAGTGAGCCGAGATCGCGCTACTGCACTCCAGCCTGGGCGACAGAGGAAGACTCCATCTCAAAAAAAAGAAGAAGGCTGAGCAGGCTGAGCATATCAGCATTCATTATGCAAATTTATAGTTTATATCACTGGTTTTCTGTAAGGCTTCTTGCTCTGGTCCTCAGCTAAATCTGCTGTCTCTAAACCCAGAGTCTCTATAGTTCACTCTTTGCAAGATAGACCTCCAGTCTTTTGCTTTTTTTTTTTTTTTTTTGAGACGGAATCTTACTCTGTCACCCAGGCTGGAGTGCGGTGGCGCAATCACTGCAGCCTCCACCTCTCAGGTTCAAGTGATCTTCCTGCTTCAGCCTCCTAAGTAGCTGGGATGACAGGCGCTTGCCACCACACCAGGGCTAATTTTTGTATTTTTAGTAGAGACAGGGTTTCACCATATTGGCCAGGCTGATCTCAAACTCCTGACCTCAGGTGATCTGCCCGTCTCGGCCTCCCAAAGTGCTGGGATTACAGGCGTGAGCCACCCCACCTGGCCTTTTCTTTCTTTCTTTTTTTTTTTTTCAAGAGACAGGGACTCACTGTGTCGCTCAGGCTAGAGTATAGTGGCATGATCATAGTTCACTACAGCCTCAATCTCTTGGGCTCAAGTGATCCTCCTGCCTCAGCCTCCCAAGTAGCTGGTGCTGCAGGCATACGCCACCATGCTAGGCTAATATTTTTCCCCAATTTTTTTTGGTAGAGATAGGGTCTTGCTATGTTGCCCAGGCGGTCTTGAACTCCTGGCCTCCAGTGATCCTCCCAGCTAGGCGTCCCAAAGTGCTTGGATTCCAGGCATGAGCCACCATGCCCAGCCCAGACATGTATTAAAACTACCAAACAGGCCAGGTGTGGTGGCTCACACCTGTAATTCCAGCACTTTTGATGTGGGAGGATTGCTGGACGCCAGGAGTTCAAGGCTGCAGTGGGCTATGATTGTACCACTGCACTCCAACATGGGTGACAGAGCAAGATCCTGTCTCTAAAAATAAAAAATACATGTCTGCAACCTATTTAGTAATCTTCTCCTTTGAGTGGTGGGGTCTACGTTCCTTTGTCTTCAATCTGAACAAGACTTAGTGACTTTCTTGTAACCAATAATGCAGCAGAAGTGACTTCTGAGGGTGGGTCAGAAAATACCATGTAGCTCTGCCTGGGAAACCAGGTGACATGTAAGAAGCCTGACCGTGTTGAAATCCTCAAACTGGAGAGGCCACATACAGAAGATACTCCTTGGGACAGTCTCAGCTAAATTCCTAGCCAGCATCCCTCATCAGCTGCCTATCATGTTAAGTGAGCTTTCAGGTGACCTTCTCCCCAGCCAGTATTTGTATGCAGTAATATGAGAAAACCCAAGTGAGAACTGTCCACTTGAACCCTTACAATTAATGAGCCAATACTGATACATTGTTAACTAAAGCCCATAAAGCCCATTCTTTATTTGCATTTTCTTAGTTTTAACCTAATGTCCTTTTTCTATCCAAGATCCCATTAAGGATGTACCACGTTACATTTAGTCATCATGTCTCCTTAGGCCCCTGTTGGCTGTGGCAGTTTCTCAGGCTTTCCTTGTTTTTTATCGCCTTGAAAATTTTGAGGAGTACTGGTCAGATATTTTGTAGGATATCCTTCTATTGGAGTTTCTCTAATGCTTTTCTTATGATTAGACTGGGGTTATTATGGATTTTGTTTTGGAGGAAGACCACTGAGGTAAAGTGCCTTTCTCATTAGATTATGCCAAGAATATAAACCGTTGATGTCAAGTTTGATTACCTGGCTGAGGTAGTGTTTGTCAGATTTCTCCACTGTAGAGTTATTCTCTCCCTCGTTTTCATTTTGTACTTTTTGAAAAGAAAATAACTGCCCAATCCACCCTTATGGGGTGGGAAGTTGTGCTTGACCTATTTGAAGGTGGAAGATCTACATAAACTGTCTGGCATTCTTCTGCATTAAAGGTTTGTCTGGTATCCCCATTCATTTACGTATTCAGTCCTTTATTTTTATCAGCAAAGACTCATGAATGTTTGTACTATGGGTTATAATCCAATATTACGTTATTTTGTTGCTCAGATTGTTTATCCATTAAAAAAGAAAATGATCTGTCATAGACCAAGAGTGGTTATAACATCTCAGAAATAGAATCACTGGATCGGAATTTCCAATTATTATATAATCTTGGTATTTTTAGGATACATTTCTAAGCCACCTTAGCATGTTTGGCAAAATCACAGGTGGAGAGATTTTCCATAGCCAGTCTACCTTGCTTGTACTACACTGTACTTGGAATGACTTAACTGAGGCTTACCTTTTAGTTTTCATTTTTTAAATAAACTTTTAATGTTGAAATAATTTCAGATTTACAGAAAAGTTTGCAAAGGTAGTACAGAGTCTTCCCCATCTACCCCCTACCCAGTTTCCACTAACGTTAACTTTTTTTTTGAGACAGGGTCTTGCTGTGTCACCTGTCATACCACTGGAGTGCAGTGGTATAATCAGGGCTCACTGCAGCCTCAACCTCCCAGGCTCAGGAGATCTCCCACCCCAGCCTCCTGAGTAACCCAGGCTACAGCCGTGCGCCACCATGTCTGGCTAATTTTTAATTTTTTGTAGAAATGGAGTCTCATTATGTTGTCCAGGCTGATCTCGAACTCCTGGGCCCAAGTGATTCTCCTACCTTGGCCTCCCAAAGTGTTGAGATTACAGGCATGAGCTACCACACTTGGCCACTAATGTTAACTTTTTGCATTTACTGTAGTGCGTTTATCAAAAACTAAAAAAAACTAACATTACTCTTCTGTTAACTAAACTCTAGTCTTTGGATTTCACCAGTTTTTCTAGTAATTCTGTTTATCTGTGTCAGTATCCAGTCAGGGATATGACATTGAGTTGCCTTTTGAGCCCCTGAACATTTATATAACTATTATTTATTTTTTAAAAGGAAGAAAAAAGCTTGCGATACATTAGCCACTGAAGCCCAGAGTTTGAGAATGCAAGATTTAGGCTAGTCTTAATAGGTTCGATTTCTGATTAGCCACTTAGTTGTGTTGTCTGGATACCCTAGGTATCCCAGTTTTCTCAAGGTAAAATGAGAATATAAATAGTGCTAACCTTACTAAGTTGTTATTAGAATTAAATGATATAGTGTATATCAGTATCTTAGTGTAGTGCCTGACATATAGAACTCATTAAAAAATGAGGCATTGTTATCGCTATTTATGTTACTTTTCTAGTCGAAAGAGCAACTTACTAGCCTTCAGAAACCTTTGGGAAAAATTTTATCCATGAGCCTGAAGCATCCCTAACACCACCGCATTTTCTTTGATAGGAAGCAGATGGGATTGACAGATTGTGCTGTTCTTAAGCCACGCTTGCCAATGTCCATGTGCCCCCTCTAAAAAAGTGTGCCAAGTGCAGTAAGGAGGAGAATTTTGAAGTATTTGGTCGTCTTTTCTTGAAGTTTTATGATTTTTTGTTTGTTTGTTTTTGAGACGGAGTCTTGCTCTGTTGCCCAGGCTAGAGTACAGTGGCACGATCCCGGCTCACCACAACCTCTGCCTCCCAGGTTCAAGCAATTCTCCTGTCTCAGCCCCCCGAGTAGCTGGGATCACAGGCACCCACCACCATGCCCGGCCAATTTTTGTATTTTTAATAGAGACGAGGTTTCACCATGTTGACCAGGCTGGTCTCAAACTCTTTGCCTCAAGTGATCCGCCCGCCTCAGCCTCCCAAAGTGTTGGGATTACAGGCATGAGCCACCGCACCCAGCCTGAAGATTTTTTATTAAAGGTTTCCCTGATAATTGTTTGCTTTTTTGATATTTGTTTTTCTAAAGAGTAGAATTTAAATAAGTTAATGTTTGTGAAGCATTTAAGACAGAGCCTACCACAGAACAGGCACTACAGAAGTATTTGCTTGTTCCTTGGTCCCTCAAATAAGATAAAAGCGTAACATAATGTGCCTCTGTTACAAAAATGAAACGAAATAATAAGAGGTACGAGGGCCATTAACTCTCTCAGATTACTTCCCTGGTTGTCTCTGCAGGGGCTTGGTTTCGGACCAGACCTATGTGCAGTCTGCCCCATCATGCTCTTAAGACTGTTGAAGATTCTTACTTTTGGTCATAGGGCTGGTAAAAGTGCAGGTAGTGTCTGGCATTTGTAATTACTAGGGAATAAAGGGAGAATGAATTAGTTTAAGCAGTTTTTTCACTACGTATTTTGCAGTTGAAAATTTCATTACAATCACAAGTATCCCATATATGGCTACTAGGAAGAAATGGTCATGGCCGGGCGTGGTGGCTCATGCCTGTGATCCTAGCACTTTGGGAGGCCGAGGTGGGCAGATCACAAGGTCAGGAGTTCAAGACCAATCTGGCCAACATAGTGAAACCCCATCTCTACTAAAAATACAAAAAATTAGCTGGGTATGGTGGCGCGTGCCTGTAACCCCAGCTACCCGGGAGGCTGAGGCAGGAGAGTGGTGTGAACCTGGGAGGCGGAGGTTGCAGTGAGCCGAGATTGTGCCGTTGCACTCCAGCCTGGGCGATAAAGCGAGATTCCATCTCAAAAAAAAAAAAGAGCCGGGTGTGGTGGCACGTGCCTGTAGATCTCAAAAAAAAAAAAAATAAAAATAAAAAAAAAAAAAATTGAGCCAGGTATGGTGGCACGTGCCTGTAGTCCCAGCTACTTGGGTGGCTGAAGCAGGAGAATGGCTTGTGAACCTGGGAGGCAGAGGTTACAGTGAGATGGCACCATTCAACAGAGTGAGACTGTATCCCCTCACCCCCCAAAAAAGAAAGAAAAGTGATTTAGTAAATACAGCCAACAATTCTGTTTCATTTGCATTTAAGTATCTTTTAAAGTTGCCTTTCAGATGAAATAGCCTATACAAGCAAGCATATAAAAATGTACTTAGAACTAGGCTTTAAAATCATTGTATCACAGAGAATTAAACCAGCATGTTCAAAAGTAATCAAGCATATTCTGTTACATTGCTCTCAGTACAAAATATGACATTCTACTGATAGAATGAAAAATAATTTTTACATGATTTTAATCTTATCCTTTCAGGACTCTTTTTCTATAAATACATTTGTAATTTATTAATACAGTATCACATATAACCCAGGAAAATTATAAAACTGGTATGTAACTTATAAATATTTACATATATATATCGAGTGGTTCATCAGATTTTTTTAAATGGCGATATGTAATTTTATTGTAAAGTTCAATAATGATCATACCTGGAAAAAATCTCACAAAGATACGTAGACCCAAATGGAGGTAAATTGATCTAGACCAGTGTCTCTCAAAACTTTAAATCACCAGCATGCTTTTTTGATGATTCCATCTAAGATCTATTGAAAAAAATCCTTAGGTGTGGGAATAGGGCTATGGAGTCTGCATTTTGAGCAGATATAACAGCAAACATTTTATGGTGTTTATTGTGTTTTAAGTGCTGTTTTAAGCACTTTACATTGACTCATTCTTCACAGCAGCCCTATGAGGTATAGGTACAGGTGACTAAGAAATTTGCCCAAGGTCACCTAGTTAGAGTGTAGGGTTAGCATTGTATGTAGAAAACATACCAGAGAATTCTTTTGCATACTTTTGGGAACCATTACTCTAAGTCTAATCTAAGTCATTTGAAATTGGGAAAGCTTTATTCTATAAAATAGTAAAGTTGGGTAGGCGGGGAGAGGGTGATGCATAGTAGTACTTTCCAATTCTAAGGATTTTAAGTCTTTGTCAGTCAACACTGGGTAGCTACTTCATGGATTTTAAGTTCAGCAAAGTGAAGTCCATTTTTTAGCACCATGTTAAAGGTATGTTTTTAACAGAATCAAAGTAATGATAAGGTTTTCAGTTTTATAGATATATAGTAAAAGTGATAAAACCAAATGTGTGTAGAATGGAGATTTTTATGTTTTAATTGAATTTTGGGGTTGTCTTTAGGTTCACTGGGAGGAGAAATCTTGATTTCAATACTTGCTTTTGAAAGTCTTCTAAAGTATATTAGTATACCTTCCTACCTTGATTTATTGAACAAGATGACTCACTGTTTTGAATATTCTCATTGTCCAGTCTTCTGTAAACTTACATGTCGAACCCTAGACTCACCTTGTAAATTAAATCAGAATGAAATTATTAATGAAGTTTTATTTCTTGTTTTTTCCTTTCTCCTAGAACAGTGGTCTCAACGTGGCTGCACATACAAGTCACCAGAGAGGCTTTTAAAAGATGATATCTGTGTCCCATCCCTAGGGATTCTGATTTAATTGGTCTGATTATTCTTACGCGCTAGGGCTGAGAAACCACTGTTCTGTAGGATGTAGGGGAGGAAATTTCTTGGGCTTTTGTTGTTGCTCCCGTAAATTAGGATAATACTAAAAAAAATACTTGAGGTAGGAGTTACTAGACTATAGAGGGAATATTGTACATACATTTTCTGTCAAATTTAAACATTTAACACCTGCATTTTTTATTTCAGATTTATTGCTAAACATGGGTGCATTTTTGGATAAACCCAAAACTGAAAAACATAATGCTCATGGTGCTGGGAATGGTTTACGTTATGGCCTGAGCAGCATGCAAGGATGGAGAGTGGAAATGGAAGATGCACACACAGCTGTTGTAGGTATTCCTCACGGCTTGGAAGACTGGTCATTTTTTGCAGTTTATGATGGTCATGCTGGATCCCGAGTGGCAAATTACTGCTCAACACATTTATTAGAACACATCACTACTAACGAAGACTTTAGGGCAGCTGGAAAATCAGGATCTGCTCTTGAGCTTTCAGTGGAAAATGTTAAGAATGGTATCAGAACTGGATTTTTGAAAATTGATGAATACATGCGTAACTTTTCAGACCTCAGAAACGGGATGGACAGGAGTGGTTCAACTGCAGTGGGAGTTATGATTTCACCTAAGCATATCTACTTTATCAACTGTGGTGATTCACGTGCTGTTCTGTATAGGAATGGACAAGTCTGCTTTTCTACCCAGGATCACAAACCTTGCAATCCAAGGGAAAAGGAGCGAATCCAAAATGCAGGAGGCAGCGTGATGATACAACGTGTTAATGGTTCATTAGCAGTATCTCGTGCTCTGGGGGACTATGATTACAAGTGTGTTGATGGCAAGGGCCCAACAGAACAACTTGTTTCTCCAGAGCCTGAGGTTTATGAAATTTTAAGAGCAGAAGAGGATGAATTTATCATCTTGGCTTGTGATGGGATCTGGGATGTTATGAGTAATGAGGAGCTCTGTGAATATGTTAAATCTAGGCTTGAGGTATCTGATGACCTGGAAAATGTGTGCAATTGGGTAGTGGACACTTGTTTACACAAGGTATGTAAACTTTTTTGTCATTAAAATAACATGTTAATTTTGAAAAGTTACGGTAGGTAAAGTTAAGCTAACTTAAAATTTTAAAACTTTTAATATTTTCACAGAAGCTGTATATTTTGAAGTACTTTACCAGAAATGAAACCATTGTTTTCTTTGCCATCCTTGTTTGTCCCAGCCTTCTAATTTGAAAATTAAGCTTGATAAATTTGAGGCATTTGTTGTCATTTAAGTACTTCATAGCTTGTTGCTGTAGCAAAAGCATTTACACAGAGTGACTTTTTCTTGACATTGGCAGTAACCATCTTATGCCTGATTATGAAGCAGCTTGATAAAATATGTATATAGTAGAATTCTGTACTAGATATTACTAAAAGATCAAGAGCCATGTGAAATATTGGAAGATGTACTAGATGCCTAGCCTGTATAAAATTTAGTCCTGAGCCTCCTAGCAGTGAAGACAAAAACTGAAATAAAAATATGGGTTGTATATTTCTCATTGTCTTCTAAAAGCAGCTCTTATCTGGCAATACAATCTAAAAAGGATTTACATGTGGCTCTCTAAGTAATACATGACTTGGATAGTATCTTTTGTAGAAGATAAAATTCTTTTCATATAGATGTTTTTATTATTTCTGATTAAAAACCAAAGGCTTCTATAAAACATAATCTTGTGAAAAATTCCTGTGGAACACTAAAGTTTATTTAGATTTGTAATTTTGTATGAATCATTGCTTGATACAGTAATAGAAAAAAAGTCCAGAGTAATAGATAATTGGCAATCCTTTGAATATCTTTAAAATACTCAGTTGTTTCAAGTGGGTTTTTGACAGCATCTATATATAATTCAATTAAAATTTGAGTTATCTGGCCAGTGTCTGGAGTGTGTAAGTATTTGACTGAAAAGATACCAAGGTAAAACTGACCTTTAGTTACATGAAATAAATAAAGGGTTTGACTTATTTATTCTGTCTAGATTAGAACCACTGTATCTCCCTACTCCAAAATGTACTGTGGAAGGTATGGGCATAACCAGAAAGTTTTTCAGAAAGGATCTCTGGGTCTCTGGAAATGCCCAGATTTTGGTTAAATACCGATTTCTTTTTAATAGAATGGAAAGAGGCAGTTTTAAAAACAGAAGATTTAAAGGCCGTTCTTGTCAGTGGACAGCCTTTTTCTGAAAGGATTTTAATGATGGTACCTCTAGCTCCTCTGATTTTTATTTTTAACACACTGTATCTTTTTACTTCTGGATGAGTTAAGTAAAGAAGTATTGATGGTTGTCAGTGATCAAATAGTAAGTGGGTCTAAAATTATGTATTTGTCTTTGAACTCTAAATGAAGCAATTCTGACCTGTAGATTTTTGAGACAAGCATAGGCATATGTTTGTTGCCTGACTAGCTAATGAAAACAGCATTTTCCCCAATTATAAAAAAAAGGTATATACTTACTATTGGAAAAAAAATCCAGATGATGAAGAAAATATAGAGAAACACCCAAAATTTTGCCATCCACCCTAAGTCAGCTACTTTCATTGTTGTGGTGTATATTGTTCCAGTCTTTTCTGCCTGCCTGTGAGTGTGTGTATTTTTATAAAACCGAGATGATTATACTTGTTATTCTACAGCCTGCCTTTTCCAACAATATATTGTAGAGAGATCTCCATGCCTATAAGTATTGATCTGTATCATTTTTCTTGGCTGCGTAGTATTTTATTGAAAGAATGAGGTTGTGAGGGAATAGCCAAAAAATCTATTAGGTCTGTAATTTGGACTAAGGAAAGAAGTTTGTGTTAGTAGATTAACTCACTTATCCATTGAAAGGATGCTAGTTTTTGAGAATTTTGACTCGACCCTTCTGAATGAGGTTTAAATATTTCTGGTGGTATATCTTCACTTGCTAGCTTTTATCAATTTAGAGTGATTAAATGTTCATGTTGATGGTGTTAAAAGATTCTAGATGGCATCCTAGAATCTCAGAAATGAGGAATGATAATAACAGACAAGAAGTTGGGGCCCATGATTCATTCAATGTTAATGGAAGCTGACCATCATAGTTCCTTCTAATGGAGCTGCATTCAAATTGAAATCAGTTTGGAGGTTTGAATTGAAACAAAACAGACTTAAAATTATTTTTGAACCTTTGAAAGTTACTTATGGAAACCTTCATTTCTGTTTAACTTCGTAATTTTGTCTTTCCATTTATTTGTATTGTAAAAGCAAGGGTTAGCAATAAGATCAAATATAATTACTTTGAATTTACTCAGAAAAATTGTAAGTTAAAAATTCATGGAAAGCACTTAGCGATTGCACAGTAGTTACCTGCTGTAAGAGGAGAGGAAACATTAATAAGTAGATGTTTCCCTGATAAGAGATTTAAATGAAGTCCTAGTTTTTTCTAACACCTCCATCACTTGTCATACTTTCATAATTTATAAGCACTTTTATCTTAACTCATTAAATCTTGGGAGGTTATCATAATCATAATCGTGGTAGTATTAGTAAATTATTGCTTTCTGTAAGCCAAACACTATTCTAAATACTTTACATATTTTAACTCATGTAATTTTCACAACCATATGAGGTAGTTAAGATGACGAGGTCAGGAGATCGAGACCATCCTGGCTAACGCAGTGAAACCCCGTCTCTATTAAAAAATAGAAAAAATCGGCCGGGCGTTGTGGTGGGCGCTTGTAGTCCCAGCTACTCAGGAGGCTGAGGCAGGAGAATGACTTGAACCCGGGAGGCAGAGCTTGCAGTGAGCCGAGATCACGCCACTGCACTCCAGTCTGGGTGACAGAGCGAGACTCCGTCTCAAAAAAAAAAAAAAAAAAAAAAAAAAGATAAGCATTTTTCAGGGTTGCCAGTTAATATTAATCTGTAAGTGTTGTATGACTGTGGTCAGGTATTATCCTATTTAAATTAGGTATTTAACTCGAGGGGAGAATGGGAGCTAAGAAAGCAACCCTCCCATTTTATTTGCAATGCTGGCATTTATGGTGTTTACTGCCAACTAATTTCGGGTTGCTTAAAATATGTAACTGCCACGTGCATAGCTTTTCATAACTTGTAAATGATACATACTTATTAATCCTCATAGTAACTTTCTGAGGTGAACAAAATAAAAAGTTTTTTTAATTTGCAAGTAAGGAAATGGAGGTTGTTTGATATTAAAAGATATCCATAAGTCATATACTTGGTGAGTATTGAGGCTGAGACTAGTTTTCTGACTCAAGTTTAGTATTTTTGTTAACAATATTTCCCAGAAGGGCCTGATAAAATAAAGAAGAGTGGGTGTGGGTGTGGGTGTGGGTGTGTGTGTGTGTGTGTGTGTGTGTAAGTGTCTGTCTGTTTCGGTTTTCATGGTCTGAGAAATTTTTCCCCAAGGGAAACATTAAGACTAAATTTTTTTTGTAACAAATACAGAGATGTTTGAAGTAAAGTGATTCCCCTTGATGTTTCTGCTTTCCAGTCTCATCTCACTTAGGGAACCACTGCTCATGGTTTGCTGTATATCTTTCCAAATGGTTCTCTGTGATTATTGATAGAAATGTATAAACGTAAAATAGGATTTTTTCTTTTTTTGTATTTTATAGAAAAAGATCATGCTATGTTTGTTACTTTGTCACCTGTTTTGTTTTTCTTAAATTATAAAAGTCGGTATTCTTTTAAATTGTTCTTTTAAAACATTATTTGATTTTCCAAAATTTCATTTATATACCATCTACCAGAAGCCTATTTATTTTAAAACATGAGATAGTACCTCATAGTTGGATAAAATTGAGGGAAATTATCATTTTCCAAAGGCAACATCATTCTATATTAATTTATATAACATAGAAAATGTAACCCCCTCAATAATTGTTTAGTTCTAAACTCAGGAGAATTGCTTGAACCTGGGATGCAGAGGTTGCAGTGAGCTGAGATCGCGCCATTGCACTCCAGCCTGGGCGACAGAGTGAGACTCCGTGTCAAAAAAACAAAAACAAACAAAAAACTGTATCAGATTGTTTTCTGTTTAAGTTTAGATGCCCTTATTTATGGCAGGGGCACTGGCGTCTTTGATCTGGTACTATGATTATTAAGAGTGTTAACTGCTGTGCTGTTGTAAAAAGTAAAAAGAACATGTAATAATCAATTTTTATATGCAGAGCTAATTTCTTTAGTTATCCAAACTGGATTTAGAAAAAAAAATGTTTTATTTATGGACTTAGTGAAAACTTTATACTGATTATACAAGGATGTTTTGTCTCTAAAAAACAATGGCACAAAGGAAAGGACCTTTTCTGTTGCTGTATAACAGCTACTGAAACATATTCATACTTGGTGTTTAGGGGAAAGCCATCTTTACATAGAAATAGAAGCAAGCCAGGCAAGGTGGCTAAGAAGCAACATCACTGAAATCACACATGCCTGAGATGTAAATATAAATTATTTCCCTTAAATGTCTTTGGAGAACCATAAATTTATTGGAACTCTCTTTCAATTAATTTTCCAAAAGTATTTATATTTTATAACTTACAAAAATCGAATGGAAATTAGATAAGGAAATGTTCCACAATGCTCATGTTGTTGTTACCAAAAACTCAAAAGGGTTAAAAGAAATTAGATTTCTAAAAGTGTAAGGTGTTAATTCCGTTTATGCATAAAATTGCTTTATAAAGTGTAATTATGCTTGATTCTTTTTTTGTTGTTGTGTTTTAGAAAGGGTGTCTCACTGTGTTGCCCGGGCTAGTCTCAAACTCCTGGCCTTAAATGATCCTCCTGCCTCAGCCTCCCAAACTGCGGGGATTACAGGCAGCCACCATGCCCAGCTGTTTGATTCTTGAATATCCATGGTGTACTTTAAAATTATTTTTAATTAAAAATTTTTGCTTGAACTGCCCTTATGACATTTATACAAGTATATTCATATAACCAAACACATACAGTATTTCTAATATAAAAGTTTTGGTGGGTTTCATTAAGGAATGAATTAATTTGGCCAATTTGGAAATGGTTTTTCCAGATAACCGGGAATCTAATGAAATACTCAAGTTGGTTCCTTGTTCCAAAGCACAACAATCTGTGACAAGTTAATTTATTTTGAAGTCTTCTGAAGACCCAACCTTCACTGCCTTCAAACTTTACTCCCATTGAATTAGGAGGTGAAGGCAGAAGTTATTCAAGGCCACCTGTCTTTTGGGCTGTGTCATGTAGGTTCTGAAAGGCATAAGTCTGAACCGAGCCATGCCTGCCTAGATTCTAGTCATAATAACTGAAAAGACTAGAAAGGGTGTGGTCTTGGTTTCTTTCACTTGAGTTGGCAAATTTGGCAAACACTATCAGACAAAATAGCCTACCACCTCCACTGACTTTGTTTTTTAGAGTGAACAGAAAAAGAAAGTTTGAAAAAAATCGTTATTCCAAGAACAGTTTCATCTGCTCCTGCTCTTAGAAACTCAGTTAAAGTAATATACCTTTAGAAAAAGTAATGAGAACGTATTTTTAATTGATTGCACATAATCTCATGGTACTAGAGTAGTATATATGATATGCTTTTTTTTTTTTTGAGAGAGAGTCTTGCTCTGTTGCCCAGGCTAGAGTGCAGTGGTGTCATCACGGCTCACTGCAATCTCCACTTCCCAGGCTTAAGCGATCCTTCCACCTTAGCCTCCCGAGTAGCTGGGACCTGGGACTACAGGTGTGTGCCACTAAGCCCAGTTAATTTTTGTGTTTTTTGAAGAGACAAGGTTTTGCCATGATGCCCAGGCTGGTCTGGAACTCTTGGGCTAAAATAGTCTGCTCACCGAGGCCTCCCGAAGTGCTGGGATTATAGCCATGAGTCACAGTGCCTGGCTTTATGCTTTTTTTTTTTTTTTTTTTGGAGACAGTCTCACTCTGTTGCCCAGGCTGGAGTACAGTGGTGCAATCTCAGCTCACTGCAACCTCCACCTCCCGGGTTCAAGTGATTCTCCTGCCTCAGCCTCCTGAGTAGCTGGTATTACAGGTGCGCGCCACCACGCCTGGATAATTTTTGTATATTTGTGTAGAGATGGGGTTTCACCATGTTAGTCAGGCTGGTCTTGAACCCCTCACCTTGTGATCTGCCCTCCTCAGCCTCCCAAAGTGCTGGGATTACAGGCGTGAGCCACCGTGCCCAGTGTATGCTTCCTTTTTAACATAGGTAATTTGTGATGGTGTGGTTAAAAGGGAGAAATAAAATATGTCCTTAAATTAGCTATTTTAGCCACTTTATAAAGATTCTGAAACTACTTGCGACTATATAGCAATCTGATGTCTTTTCTTTTAAAAGTTATCACATGACTACAGTTGGATCTCAGTTGTCCAGTTACAGTCCCCCCTGTTACTGTGCCCTCTGAATAGTTTCTTGTATTAATAGTTGTGGGGCTGGGCGCGGTGGCTCATGCCTATAATCCCAGCACTTTGGGAGGCTGAGGTGGGTGGATCACCTGAGGTCAGAAGTTCAAGACCAGCCTGGTCAACATGGTGAAACCCCATCTCTACTAAATATAAAAAAATTAGCCGGGCCTGGTGGCCGTCACCTGTAATGCCAGCTACTCAGGAGGCTGAGGCAGGAGAATTGCTTGAACCTGGGAGGCGGAGGTTGCAGTGAGCCAAGATTGCGCCATTGTGCTCCAGCCTGGGCAACAAGAGCGAAACTTTGTCTCAAATAGTAATAATAATAATTGTTTAGTTTAGTATTTTGGGTATTCTGCCGAATAACAATTTTCAGCTATGTTAAATTCATGGAGTCGTAGCATTGCTCTGAGGCAGTTTAAAAGCTAAGCTGGAAAACATTTGCATATGTGTTTGGGAGGATCCATTGTGGACTTAAGCCAGTTTGGGAATAGACAATCTTGAGTGGGAAATAGTTTAGAAGATTTAATATGTATTGAAGATATCTTCATTTCTCAGACTGGAATGGCTGTGGGTAATAATAGTTCACCAGAATTAAAAATACAGAAATGCTTACAGATATACCCATACCTAGACACCTTGTTTCTTCAAGTTGTGTTTTTAGTAATTCATTGGAATAAAAATGAATGTGTTAAACATAAACGTTCTGGATGATTAAATAAACTATAATTGCTTAAAGTATTTTGAAGTAAATAATAGTTGATTGTAGAAATACAATTTTTTTTCTTTTTTTTCTTTAATACACAGGGAAGTCGAGATAACATGAGTATTGTACTAGTTTGCTTTTCAAATGCTCCCAAGGTCTCAGATGAAGCGGTGAAAAAAGATTCAGAGTTGGATAAGCACTTGGAATCACGGGTTGAAGGTAAGACAAATGCTTTTTAAAAATATAGACAGGCCAGGCACGGTAGCTCATGCCTGTAATCCTAGCACTTTTGTCGCCTGGGCGACACACCAAGGCTCTGTCTCAAAAAAAAAAAAATTTAGAGAGGGAAAGTATTCTTTTTGTTTATCAAATGATTATTTTAAAATTTCCTGGTCAGGCGCAGTGGCTCACACCTGTAATCCCAGCACTTTGGCAGGCTGAGGCGGGCAGATCATGAGGTCAGATCGACACCATCCTGGCTACACGGTGAAACCCCGTCTCTGCTAAAAATACAGAAAATTAGCCGGGCATGGTGGCACACACCTGTAGTCCCAGCTACTCGGGAGGCTGAGGCAGGAGCATTGCTTGAATCTGGGAGGTGGAGGTTGCAGTGAGCCGAGATTGCACCACTGCACTCCAGCCTGGGCAACAGAGTGAGACTCCGTCTCCAAAAAAAAAAAAAAAAAATTCCATAGGACAAACAAGTATTTCAAAACAAGTCCTTGAAAAAACACATCTATCTGTCTAAAATTTACTGTCTTGGACCAATTTCTGGGGATTGATTGACAGGGAGAAGACAAATATGTCTGTTTCACCACCAAAGAGAAACATAATTTGAAGGTAGTTCGTTAGAGCTTGCTGGTTTATTTTTTCTTTCTTTTTCTTTCCCTGCGTACATTCCTAGTAGTAAGTGGAGAATCCAGTGAAATTTCCCCTAACAGTGTCATGAAAACAAGTACTCTTAATTCCGCTAATACTAATTCTCCCTTTTCGGGTTAATTATCATTGGAATTCATTACGGTATCCTTTCCCTTTTATTGATAGAGTTAACATTAGTGTTTCAAAAGATTATTTTACATATTTTTTTAAACTTCATTTGGCAATAAATTTTTTTTTTTTTTTTTTTGAGATAGGGTCTTGCTCTGTTGCCTAGGCTGGAGTACAGTGGCATGATCTCGGCTCACTACAGCCTCAACTCCCTGGGCTCAAGTGATCCTCTCACCTCAGCCTCTCCCAAGTAGCTGGAACTACAGGCACGTGCCACCACAGCTGGCTAGTTTTCTTTATTTTTTGTAAAGATGAGGTCTCACTGTGTTGCCCAGGGTGGTCTCAAACTCCTGGACTCAAGCAGTCCTCCCACATTGGCCTACCAAAGTGCTGGGATTACAGGCATGAGCCAGCACAGCCAGCCTAATAATTTTAAACATACAGAAAAGTTGCAGAAGTATTACAGGATCTCCCATGTACATGTAGTGTCCTTTACCTAGATTCCTTATTTGTTTATGTAATACCACGTTTGGCTTATCTCTATATATACTTTCTGTAACATTCTCATTTTCTGTCTCCCTCCTTCCTTCCTTCCCTCTCCACCTCTCTCTCCTCTTATTCCCCTGCCCCCCATATTACTAACCTTTTTCCTGAGCCAAATCAATTGAAAGTTGCAAATATGATATATCAGTACTACTTAATAAAACGAAGATTACATGACACTACATAACTGTAGTATATCCATAAAAATTAGGAAATTGACCCAGCACGGTGGCTCACACCTATAATCCCAGCACTTTGGGAGGCTGAGGTGCACGGCTCACGAGGTCAAGAGTTGGAGACCAGCCTGGCCAACATGGTGAAATCCCATCTGTACTAAAAATACAAAAATTAGTCGGGCGTGGTGGCAGGTGCCTGTAATCCCAGCTACTCCGGAGGCTGAGGCGGGAGAACTGCTTGAACCTGGAAGGTGGAGATTGCAGTGAGCCGAGATCATGCCACTGTACTCTAGCCTGGATGACAGAGCAAGACTCCATCTCGGGAAAAAAAAATTAAGAAATTAACGTTGATACAATATTACTTTGTAATCCACAGATCCCATTTAAATTTCCCTAATTATCCCAGTAATGTCATATGTAGGTCCAGGATGCAGTCTAGAGCATGTGTGCTGCATTTAGCTGTCATGCCTCTTTAGTCTCCCTCAATGGAAAAAGTTCCATAGTCTTTTTTATTTCTGTTGACCTTGACATTTTTCAAGAGTACAGGTTTGTGGAATGTGCAGCTTGGGTTGGCTGATGTTTCCTCTTGATAAGATTTAGGTTATACATTGGCAGGAATACTGTGGAAGTGATTCTAGATTCTTCTCAGTGCATCACAATCAGGGAGGCATGTGATGTTGATTTATAATGTTAACATCTTTTGTGACTTGCTTGGGTTGTTGTCTTTCAGGTTACTTAATTAATAATTATGTTATACCTAATAAGTATTTAATAAATATGTTATACTTATTCATAAGTATTCTATGGGGAGGCACTTTGAGATTGTTAATAACCTATTGCTCATTAAGATTTTAGCAGATAGTTTTAGCATCCATTTGCGATTTTTGCCTGAAGAATGATAGCCAACTGGTGATTTTCTGATTCTGTCTTTTTTTTTTTTTTTTTTTTTTTTATGATGGAGTTTCGCTGTTGTTGCCCAGGCTGGAGTGCAATGGCATGATCTTGGCTTACCGCAGTCTCTGCCTCCGGGGTTCAAGTGATTCTCCTGCCTCACCCTTCTGAGTAGCTGGGATTACAGGCATGTGCCACCACACCCGGCCAATTTTGTATGTTTAGTAGAGAGGGGGTTTCTCCATGTTGGTCAGGCTGATCTCGAACTTTCTGACCTCAGGTGATCCGCCCGCCTTGGCCTCCCAAAGTGCTGGGATTACAGGCGTGAATCACCGCGCCTGGTTTAGTCATTCTTTTTATATGTATTAGCATTTTACTGCAAGGAAAAATGTTCTTTTCTGCCTGTTTGTTTATATGAGCACAGACTCACGGATTCCTGTTCTATTCATTGTATTATCAACTGTTTCAGGCAATGAGAGCCTCTTAAAACTTGTTGTAGCGTCTTTTTGTCCTGCCTGCAGCTATACAGTACTACAGGATTTATTATAGTTTTCTCCCTTTTCATATTTATAACTCTCTTCTACAGAAAGAAACCTGTCCTCTACTGTCAACCCAACAAATCTGTCACGGCTAACTCTCATGCATATGCCTTCCTCACTCCAAATTGCCCATCCCAGTTCACCCTATAGCCATCCTAAAGCTATGCTTACTGTGGTTAGGCATGAATATCCCATTCTGGATCAATTTGTGGCCACTATTTCCCCCTCCACTCCCTGAAAGATTTGTTTTGCTTAGCTAAGCAAATCCAATCGTGTTGGACAAAATTATTCAGGAACATGAGAAGGGAGAAGCTAGTCTGTTTATCTTTAACATAATTGCTGATATGTTTGAGTTTAAATCTGCCGTCTTTCGTGTTTCATCTATTTTTTTTTATCCTCCATTCTTGCCTTCTTTTAGATGTATTCCAGTTCATCCTAGGATTTGCTTATTAGTTACACATTCTTTAAAAAATTCCGTTTAGTAGGCCAGTCATGGTGGCTCACGCCTGTAATCCCAGCACTTTGGGAGACCGAGGCGGGCAGATCACGAGGTCTGGAGATTGAGACCATCCTGGCTAACACGGTGAAAACCTGTAACTACTAAAAATACAAAAAGAAATTAGCTGGGCGTGGTGGTGGGCGCCTGTAGTCCCAGCTACTCAGGAGGCTGAGGCAGGAGAATGGTGTGAACCTGGGAGGTGGAGCTTGCAGTGAGCCAAGATCCTGCCACTGCACTCCAGGCTGGGCGACAGAGCAAGACTCCGTTTCCAAAAAAAAAAAAAAAAAAAATTCCATTTAGTAAAAAGGAAAAAATTTAGTGGTTACCCTGAGAAAATGAAAATTTTTCAGTCTTAAGGCCCTTTTTTTTTTTTTTTTTCTTTTCCACTTTCAACCCTGAGAAGCTAAGTATCATAATCTTAATATAACCTTTTGGTTTTATATATGCTGTTTTTAAGATATGAAATTACTTTTTATAAAGTTAGATTGTCAATCTTTTTTCTTTTCTTTGTGGGAGGACTTTGATATCATACCAAGCTCTTCCACTCAAGGTTACATAGTTACCTGTATTTTCTCCTAACACTTTTATGTTTTGATTCTTTTTTTTTTTTTTGGAGAAAATACATTTGAATGATATAACTTACGATGATGGTATAATAGTTCGTTGAATTTGGCCATTTTGTATATAGTATAATAGCTTTGTTGAATTTGGTCATTTTGTATATAGTAGGCCACAGTAATTGGTGAGAGTTTTGAAGTGTGAAGATGTGTGATTTCTAATATGTAATTACAATTAAAAGTATAAAACCAAGAAGAGAGTCTTTTGCAAATTTGGAGAATGGGGATTTATCTTTTCTGTCTCTACAACTATCTAGCTATGCACCCTAAACAATGTGCTTAAAGTTTTTTTTGCACCTACAATTTCCTCAGCCCTAAATTAATCTTGTTTTTAGGTCTCAATGCTTTTGAGTTTCAATGAGTCCTGCTTTGAGGGTGATGAAAACGTGAGAAACATGTAAGAACACATTGAAGATTATGTCAGATGCGGTCATATTCCTATTGATAATATCATTAAGAGGAGCTGTTTTTATAGGAGTTAATATTTAATGATAAATTGTAGTATATTGGGGTTGCAGATTGCTGACTATAGTTTATCAGAAGGTGGGAGGAATTCTCTTAGTTTCCTTCTTCCTCATTCATAAAGAAACTGGGTAGTTTTTATTTTAGGAAGAGCTCTCTAGTTTGGTCAGCTGGCTGTTATGTGAACTTATCCAACTTGCTTAACCCCTCAAGGCACCAGTTTCTTTATTGGAAACTAAAGATAAAAACACCAACCATAGAGTTTTTTGTTTTTTGAGACAGAGTCTCGCACTGTCACCCAGGCTGGAATGCAGTGGCGCGATCTCGGCTCACTGCAAGCTTAGCTGCCCGGGTTCACACCATTCTTCTGCCTCAGCCTCCGAAGTAGCTGGGACTACAGATGCCCGCCACCATGCCTGGCTAATTTTTTGTATTTTTAGTAGAGATGGGGTTTCACTGTATTAGCTCAATCTCGTGACCTCGTGATCTGCCCGCCTCGGCCTCCCAAAGTGCTGGGATTACAGGCGTGAGCCACTGCGCCCGACCCCATAGAGTTTTTTTTTTTCTTAAATAAATTGTTACAAAAAAAGCTTATTGATGACACTTGTTAAAGATGGTAAGGCAGATATTTTTTCGGGGGTGGGGGGGGCATGGCAGTAGATATAGGGACCACTATGATAGAATCTTGCAGTGGCAGAAAGAAATTAAACTCAACTTGGGGTCCCATAAAGATAAGTGGAATTTATAACTAAGGAGCTGAGTGCTTGAAGGGAGTGTCAGTGGATGGAAAATTATTACTAAGAGGAAGCATCAACATAAGGGGTTTCTGGCTAAACTGACTTGATAGCATGGCAGGCCAGGCTAAAATATCCAGAGTGGTCCTATATCAAGTGTGTGGGGGTTTTCAGTAAACTGACTGAGCAGGATTCTCATTCAGCCTGGTTTCTACAAGGACAGAGAGGGAGCCTAAAGTTCTCCTAGTCAGAAAGAACTCAAGAGTCTTGCTGAAGGTTTGGTCCAAGCAAAGAGTTTTTGTCAAAATAAATGAGAATTATGTTTGTTAAGCACCTATTATGGTGCCTAGCACGTAAGTCCTCAGCAAACTGTAACTTTATATGAACTCTTAACTTCTGTAATAGCCACATTTTAATTTCTTAAAGGTGTGGTCAATTCAGTTTAACATGAGTTAATAATTTAATATTAATTTTCTTCTGCATAGTTAGTAACTTTCTAAAGTATATATTATATAGGAGAGATAACAAATATGTAATATGATCTCTAGGGCCTGTAGCAAATAGTTATTATTAATCAGGAGACAAAATTGTTAGCTAGGCAGCCACTACAAATCAATTTAAGTTGGTACTTAAAATGTAACTTCACAGTAGCTTACACCTATAATTCTTGGGATGCCGAGGCAGAAGGATTGCTTGAGACTAGGAGTTCAAGACCAGCCTCGGCATCATAGAGCTACAAAAAAGTTTTAAAGATTAGCTGAGCATGGTGGTGCACACCTGTAGTTCCAGCTACTTGAAGACTGAAGCAGGAGGATCACTTGAGTCCAGGAGTTTGGTGTTACAGTGAGCTATGATGGCACCACTGCACTCCAGCCTGGGCCACAGAGTAAGAACATGTCTTTAAGAAAAAAAAAAAAGTAACTTTTTATTTGTAAAGCAGTGTTCTTCAGGAGCATTATGTTTCTTCTGGGGTTTTAAATCATGTAATATGACATTAAATTTTGTGGTAAATACATTCTGGTGTACTTGGTAAATCTGTGTGTATGCTTTTAATGATGACTGGTCAGGTGGGAAAGGAATAATATTAAAATAAACAGGGAATAGTAGTTCACCTGAATTGATGAATTATATATTTAATGATTGCTTTCTACATACAGGTTTACTCAGTGTTTATTGAACATGTGTCACTGAGGATATAGCAGAAAAAGAAATCTCATAGAATTTGTATTCTAGTAAAAACCTATTTTTTTTTAATAGAGAAATAAAATAGAGTAAGTAGAGAGCAACAAGGAATATTGGTTAGAAATGTCTCTGTGAGGAAGGATGTTTGAGCAGCCGTGCTTGGAGAGAGAATATCTGAGGGAAGAACATTCCAGGCAATGACAACAGCAAAGACTAGGAGGGAATGTTCTTAGTGAGTGCAGCTGGGTTAGAATAAGCCAGTAGAAAACTAGAGGAAAATTAAGAGGTTTGTAGGAGGCATATCATGTGAGGACTTTGGACTTTGACTTGTGGGAATTCATTGGAAGATTTTGAGTACAAGAGTGATTTGTTCTTTTTTCCAAAGGATCTCTCTTAGTTGCTGTATGGAGAAGAGATTGTATAAAAGGGACAAGAGAAGCCAAAATACCGATTAGAAATTATGCATTAATGCATGGTAGTGGTAAATTGGACTAGAGTAGAGGGGTGTAAAAATGTCTGGTGACATTTTTGGTGTCATAGCTGAGGGGGTGCCACTGGCATCTAGTGAATGGAGGCCAGGGATGCTGCTTAATATTCCACAGCACACAGGACAGCCCCCACAACAAAAAAATTGTCTGGTGTAAAATGTCGGTGTTGTTGATGTTGAGAAGCCTTATACTATAAGACACAGATTTAAGGTAGAAAACTTACAGTCCTGCTTTCATGAAGCTTGCAGTCTATGACCCAATAAACATCGTGTATGTGGGAGTATATAGCATTATGGTATACAGTACATGTCATGCATATGGGAGTGTATTGCAGTGTACCTACTCAGACTTAGGTCAGAGAAGGATTTGAGAATGTGACATATAAAATTGAAACCTCAAGGATGAAAATAGGCATTCATAGCTGGGCGTGGTGGCTCAGGCCTCTAATCCCAGCATTTTGAGAGGCTGAGGTGGGTGGATCACGAGGTCAGGAATTCAAGACCAGCCTGGCCAACATGGTGAAACCCCATCTCTACTAAAATACAAAAATTAGCTGGGTGTGGTGGCACATGCCTGTAATCCCAGCTACTTGGGAGGCTGAGGCAGGAGAATCGCTTGAACCAGGGAGTCAGAGGTTGCAGTGAGCTGAGATAGTGCCACTGCACTCCAGTGTCTCAAAAAAAAAAAAAGGGACATTCACCATACAGAGGGGTTGGATTAGAGTGAAAAGTGTTCCCAAACCAACGAAAAGAGTATGTGAAGATCTAGAAGTAGAAGTCTTTGAATGGATCCTTTGGAGATGAGGGAGGCGGGCAGAGTTGAAAGAGTAGTGGAAGTCAACGTAAGGGTCTTGTGAGGCATGGTAAACAGTTGTTTTGAAAGTAAGGCCTGGGCTGGGTGTGGTGGCTCATGCCTGTAATCCCAGCACTTTGGGAGGCCGAGGTGGGTGGATCACCTGAGGTTGGGAGTTTGAGATCAGCCTGACCAACATGGAGAAACCCCATCTCTACTAAAAATACAAAATTAGCCAGGCATGGTAGCACATGCCTGTAATCCCAGCTACTCGGGAGGCTGAGGCAGGAGAATTGCTTGAACCCAGGAGGCAGAGGTTGCAGTGAGCCAAGATCACGCCATTGCACTCCAGCCTGGGCAACAAGAGTGAAACTCCGTCTCAAAAAAAAAAAAAAAGCTGTAGAATGTAACTATTTCAGGTAAGTATCAACTTGTAAAAATGATTTTTAATTTCTCCCCTTTTTCTTATAATTCTTATCTAGCTAAACTTTTATTATCCTTTAGTAATGGCATTCATAACTTTTATATTGTTTTTACTTAATATTAGATCAGAAGTATTTTTCCATATAGCTGTTACTGTATTCATCAAGACACCTATTTCGTAATTTTTAGTGATTATAAACCATTTCACTCAATGGCTACACCAAAGTTTTTAACTGTCCTCTTGTTGGTGAACATTTAGTTTGTTCCAGTTTTTGCTTTTTATGAATAATGCTGGAATGAACATACATATGCAAATAACTGTTTTTTCTTTTTTCCCCCTGCATAGCAATGTTTCAGTCAATAAGTAGCTTTTTGTATTACTTCTTAAAAATTTTTTGTGTGTTGATGGTAATTTTTTTTAATATATTTTAAAATAGGTACTACCAAATAGTATCTCTTGTTTCACTTCTTGGTGAGTACTGGCTTATCACATTAATTTAGGAACTTTTTTTAAAAAACCTACAGAGATTATGGAGAAGTCTGGCGAGGAAGGAATGCCTGATCTTGCCCATGTCATGCGCATCTTGTCTGCAGAAAATATCCCAAATTTGCCTCCTGGGGGAGGTCTTGCTGGCAAGTAAGTAGAACAAAAAGCTAATTTTGAGTTCGTTCATAATTAGTAATTAAATAATTTGGGGTAAAAAAACTTAAATCAGAAGTACATCAATTATCTAGAGGTGAAATGGGTTAGTGTTTCTTATACTAGAGAAGAACTCTTAAAACTTCAACCAAAAACGATTTTTTAAAAGGAATTATCTATCATACTCTTTGAGTATGAAGGTCCTTCTTTCCTTGCTAAGGAGTACAAATGGATTGTGCAAAATCAGATTCTGAGAGTAAAGTGTAGAAGGTATGTTCTTGACAAGTATAGAGTGTACCAGTTACTTTTTTAGTGTGGTCAGGATGAAATATTGAGATATTCACAAGCTTAAAATTCTGTGTAATTTAATAAAACTAAAGCATGTTTTTTTTTTTTAGGCGTAATGTTATTGAAGCTGTTTATAGTAGACTGAATCCACATAGAGAAAGTGATGGGGTAAGTTTTATTTTATTTCATAAGCATTTGAAGTAATTTCACAATATAAATACTAAATATGAATACATTCACATTAACGAAGTCTATAATAAATTATAGTCTGTAGTAAATTACTACTGCTTTTCATTTTAAAGTGTCAGTTAAAGTTTAAGAAAATGTATTGAAATGAAGGTAGAGATAAAATTTTGTTTTGTAGATAGTTTTGTTGTCACTTTCTGGGCATCAAATGACCTTTTTTGTTTGGGCTGTCTTTATTTCTTCTCTATATGTCTGCTTTTCCTTCTTCTCCTTTAAACCTTAATTTTGAGGCAAGAATGCTCTTTTAAATATCTCAATTTCTCCTCCAGCAGGCTGCTGCCATCACCAGAAGTTAGTGATAGTGAGTGAGTTGTTATTTTAATAACTAGACCTTTCAGTACCCCTGTATGCCCACTTGGAATACCCGAGGATAGTTTTTTTCTAATATTATTGTTGTATTATGGGTACATGAGTGTTGAGCTGAGATAACCATTTCTGTTGTACCTTGCTGTACTTCATCAGAGCAAGACTCTATGCCCTTACCTTTTATTTTGCTTTTCTTCGAAATGTCAGTGAGCTGCCAGCTGCCCCTCTATATTGTTTTGTTTTGTTTTAGTACTATTACCAGGAGACAGAAGTGTCCTTTTTTTTTTTTTAAATCCAAGTTAGTTCAAATAAGTATTTTTCTCTTGGGTTTTCAAGTTTTTATGTCTAAAAATAAATTATTTAATTTTTAATATATATGCTTCAAAGCTTTAAGGGAACCAAACAGAAATGAAACTGATTGGGAGGAAGAGTCCACCTCCAGTCTCCAGCTCCTCTTGGCAGATTGAGAGAGAGAGTATCCATTGGCTAGAAATCATATGTCATCTCAATTGCATTATTTGCTAGGATTCATTGTTGCACAGCAATATAATATGATTTCTTTTCCTTAACAGTAAAAGTTATCCTGGCAAAAAGGAAAATTTAATAATTAATATAATTTTAGTGAGTCATATAAAAGTGATGCTATATATTGCTAATTATAATTTATATCTTGGTCTAGAGCAGTGATTCTGAGTCTTTTTTTGTGGCAGGTTCCTCAGAGTATTAAGAATTGTACCCAAGGCCGGGCACGGTGGCTCATGCCTGTAATCCCAGCAGTTTGGGAGGCCGAGGCGGGCGGATCACCTGAGGTTGGGAGTTCGAGACCAGCCTGACCAACATGGAGAAACCCCGTCTCTACTAAACATACGATATTAACTGGGCATGGTGGCGCATGTCTGTAATCCCAGCTACTCGGGAGGCTGAGGCAGGAGAATCGCTTGAACCCGGGAGGCGGAGGTTGTGGTGAGCCGAGATCATGCCATTGCACTCCACCCTGGGCAACAAGAGCGAAACTCCGTCTCAAAAAAAAAAAAAAATTGACCCAAAGCTGAGAAAATTAATTTAAAAATCCAAATATTTTATGTGATCCATCAGAGAACCCTCAAAGAAATGAGTATAGGATGTTGACATATGACTAAAAGGATGGTGGTAATTTGGAAGGTTGAGAGAAGAGAATCTTAACTCTTCAGCTAGATTATAGATTCTTCAGGGCATCCACTACCTTGATTAGAGGAAATAAGCCCTCAGAAGACAGTTATTGATTCATTATTAGCCATAGAAGTACTCCCATTTCCTCAGGTGTTTCAAAGTGTCAACCCTCATGTGTAATCTTTAAAAATACATATATATATATATATATACCTTGCTGGATTTTGGGGTCCTTCATAGTCTATTTTTACTCCAAACAAGGTTTTCTGTTTAACATATACCAAGGATAACTTTTAAATTTTTTAAAAAGAAAAAATGATTACACATAGTAGCTACATAAACAGGGAATAAATAGGCAACGGAACTATGAAACTGGGGGGAAATGCTCAATATATAAACCTTACCTTAAATAGATTATTATTTGGCTATAGAAATGGGATATATGTACTTAATTACCTTTATACATAAATGTTCTATCAACATCAGCAGATCAAACACTGACAGTGTGTTGTATAGTGGATTCACAGAGGGAGAAGACTAGAAAACGTAAGACGTGACCCCACCTGTGTGTCTAGTGCAGCTTACACTGTAGTTATAAACACACCTTAAATGATCAAAATATTTCGTATAGCTTGGTAACAAATAAATGACAAAATCCAGAATGTGACCATTGCCATGTGACTTGGACAGTGATTGCTGTAAAAGTTCAGCTGCTTAAGCAGGGGGAAAGTCAGCTTCTTAGAGAAAAGATAGTATTTGAAGAATGATTTGAATGGTAGAAATGACATGAGGATGATGACCTTTCAAGTGGACTAGAGAGGCAAGGACAAAGTATAAGATATCTTCAAAAGAAAGGACATCTTTTTTGGCTAAAGCAGAGAACTGTTGTGGTGAAAAATAAGAATTTAGGTTGCAGAGGTACTTGCTAAGAGACCAGCCTTTTGAACATCATTTTAGGGTAATGGACCACCTTATGTTTAGAGCATAAGAATGATAGATTCAAAAAAATATCTGTGGTATTTTAATCTGTTAGAAACATTTACCATATTAGATTAAAGAGATGCAGGCAGTCAGGTAGTTGTGAAATAATTACAGAGACCAAATGGTAACTGTAGACTTATTATCATTACATAGATATGTGGATTAAAGGAACTTTCCTTGTTTACTGTGAAAACTGACTTTACAGCCTAGAATTTTAAATGGGGAAATATTATATGCCTTTCACAATAATCACTAACTTAGAAAAATGTTGAACTATAATTGCAAGTAGCAGAAATGTGCTGAAAAATACCGCAGAAGGAGAGAGAATGAAGAAAATACAGACGTGATTAAATTCTGAGCTCTTAACTTGACCCACTGTAGCAAAAAGCTAGCCGCAAAGGTGCTCCATAAATGCTTCTTAACAGTGTGGATGATGTCGCCGGGAGCTGGATGTTAACTTGCGGGGTGGGAAAGATGAAAGTATGCTAGAATTACAGAAGAGGAGAAAGTTGGAAGGTATTATAAAAATTAAGTTTTTTTAAATAACAAAAATTATTTTTGTTTAGATATTTAAACAAAGAATTCTAGCCAGAGTTAAATCAGAGGGTTTCTTTAGACTCCTGAATGTCTGCTTTATGTCGGAGAGAATTGTTCTGTTGTAAATGATTATAAGTAGTACCACTAGAAATAGGGATTCATTCATTTTTCTTATAATTAAGACATCTTTTAAATAAATATTTTTCAGAAAGTAGAGTTGAGTATAAGTCATAAATTAAGTAATTTTAATATATATTCAGAAAGGTTACTATTTAGGGGAAACTTCTTAAGTTCTTTACTAAATTTGTTTTTTAGTATGTGTTCCATACTAAACTAACTTTTTAGAATGTGTTCCATCTTCTTACCACAAACAATATTGATATTTTCCCAACTTTTAAAATACAAATTTGTAACAAAGGGTTTAGCCAGGGATTCTTAGTCTAGGGATTCACGAATCCCCAGAAATCTTTTGGAAAATTTCCAGAAAAAGCAAAACTACATTTTGCTGTAAGTTGTCTTTATATTAGACAGGGCTCTGGGATCATACTCCTTCCCTTTTTCTAAAATGCTAGTTTGTGTTTTATAATTAGAATATAAATTCTGTGAGATCTGGGACTTGATCTGATTCATTTGTGTCTATAGTCCAAGCACAATCCTGGCATACGGTGAAAGCTCAGTAAATATTTTTTGAATAGGAAATATTTGTATTTATTCATTTCTAGTAATTTTCTTAAGGCTGTCCTTAAGTCATATATTTAAAAATTAATTTGAGGTTACTAATTGGTATGAAAGTCTGTATTTATAGAGTTTTATACTTTCATGCAAAAAGTTCTTCCCTTGAAAAAGACTCATAATGCTTTTGAATTAGTATGCCACTGATCAAGTAGTTGCACAAGTTGGTAATTTTCCAAGGGTAAAGTTGAGCAGGGGGGTGACCTGTATTTACCCAGCTCCTACTTGTGCCAGGCCCCTTATTTATACACACACAGAGTCATAGGTAATCTTCTCAGCACCCTTCTTTTACACATGAGACTTACAGAGATGAGGTAGTTTGCACAGGTCACAAAGCTAAATAAATCATGCAGCCAGAATTTGAATTAGTCTGACTCCTATTCTCTTTACATTATTCCATGTGGCCTCTTTAAGGTAGAGATTATGTATGTCTGTACCCCACCTGTGTCTACCATGCAGGAAAAATCATTTCCCATTCTTTTGTAAATATCATGTTTATCAGTCTTAAGATACTCTATTTTATTGATTGAGACAGGGTCTCATTCTTTGTCCCAGGCTGGAGTGCTATGGCACCATCATGGCTCTCTGTAGCCTCAACCTCCCAGGCTCAAGCGATCCTCCCAGCTCAGCCTCCTGAGTAGCTGGGATTACAGGCACACAGCACCACACTCGGCTAATTTTTTGTATTTTTTGTAGGGATAGGGTCTCGCTTCATTGCCAGGGCTAGTCTTGAACTCCTGGGCTCAAGTTATCTTCCTACCTCAGCCTCCCAAAGTTCTGGGATTACAGACGTGAGCCACTGCATCCAACCACAAGATAATCTGTTTTTAATGGTAAATATTTTATAAAGTTGTTGAAAGGAATGAGTTAAGCCCAATTCCTTGTCAGTTATTTTTCACTTAAATACACATATTTATCTTAATCCAAAAACGGTTTAAGGCATTTTGATCTTAGAGAAGGGAAGGAAAAACAGGATAGATTAGTCTCTTTTTGAGCCCAAAAGAATCTCTGTATTGTTTTCAGATTATTAAATTTTGCATGCATTTTTCTGTTTTACTTTAAACGGATAAATGCAATACCCATAGCTGCTTTTACATTTTTATATCACAGTTTTTAGAACTATGTGAATATTAGTTTTTTCATATTTACTTTTTATTCACTTGTCAAAGCATTGCTATGGAGAAGACCTATACTGTTTGAAAATGCAGGCCGGGCGCGGTGGCTCATGCCTGTAATGCCAGCACTTTGGGAGGGCGAGGCAGGAGGATCACGAGGTCAGGAGATCAAGACCATCCTGGCTAACATGGTGAAACCCCGTCTCTACTAAAAATACAAAAAAAACAAAATTAGCCAGGCGTGGTGGTGGGCGCCTGTAGTCTCAGCTACTCGGGAGGTTGGGGCAGGAGAATGGTGTGAACCTGGGAGGTGGAGCTTGCGGTGAGCCAAGATTGCACCACTGCACTCCAGCCTGGGCAACAGAGTGGGACTCTGTCTAAAAAAAAAAAAAAAAAAAAAAAAAAAAAAGAGAGAGAGAGAGAAAATGCACTAACATTAGTCACTATGTTTTTAAGGTATGATTGACATAACACTTACCTTTGCTATGTGGTCTTGACCATTCAAATGACACTGTCTAAAATTATTCATTAAATTTGACATGATTCTTCAAGTAACATGTAATTTATTAGAGTCTTCATTAGTCATCAATTGTATCACATTTTGTCATACTGGAGAATTTTTAGTTTAAAAATTTTTTTGTCTGACAAGCAGCACGTAGGACTTCATAAGAAACATTTTTACTAGTGTTTACTTTTTCTCTACTGTTATAAGTAGTCATTTTAAGAATTTTGGTTATGGGCCGGGCACAGTGGCTCACGCCTGTAATCCCAACACTTTGGGAGGCCGAGGTGGGCGGATCACAAGGTCAGGAGATTGAGACCATCCTGGCTAACATGGTGATACCCTGCCTCTACTAAAAATACAAAAAATTAGCCGGGCGTGGTGGCGGGCGCCTGTAGTCCCAGCTACTCGGGAGGCTGAGGCAGGAGAATGGCGTGAACCCGGGAGGCAGAGCTTTCAGTGAGCTGAAATCGTGCCACTGCACTCCAGCCTGGGTGACAGAGCAAGACTCCGTCTCCAAAAAAAAAAAAAAAAAAAAGAATTTTGGTTATGAGAGCTGTGTTTCAAAAGATAAATATTGCTGCAAATAAATATTAGCTGGTTAAATTTTATTTTTTAAAATGTGCTTAGTTCCCTTCCCCCTCCTATTACTACTCTCTGCTTGATTTATCTAATTTCTATGTCTTATTTGGTGTAAGTTAGTATTTTCATCATGAGAGATTCGACTTTTAAGCTATGTTAGTCTAGCTGATAGTAAAAGCTTAAAAACTAGGGTGGATGGGAGATGTCCTGAATTCTCATCTCAGTAATTGCCTTCAATTTACTTTACAGAATAATTGTAAACATCCCAGCTGATATGATAGTTTAATCAACATAACTAGTGTTCTATAGTTTTATTAATTTTACTATATTAAGGAAATATAAACTTCAATATGAAATAACCTGTGGTGTTCTATAATAATTTCACCAATATTTCTTTAGTAAGAGTCTTACCTGTATGAGGTACTTCCTATGCAAAAAAGGTCACTCGCCATAATGTATTCAACAGAGCGCAAAGATAGACATTGATGTTAATTATACCTGTGCACAAATCAGAGCCCTGCCATTTACTAAGATTGTCACCGTGACAAATAACTTAAATCTCTCTGAGCTTTAGTTTCATCACTTATAAAAATGATAACTGGAATCCTTACTTTGTAGGGTACCTGTGAGGATTCAGTAAGATTATGTATATAAAGTTCTTAGCACAAATATTATTTTTCCTTCCTTAGATGGTAGGAGGACATAGAATGGAATATGAAATTGTCTTTACTCTAAAAGAGTTTGCAGTCTAAGTGGAGAGTCTTGTGAACCGTTGCAAGGTAGAGTTAATTGCTATAATAGATGTGTAAAAATAGGTGTGCTATATCAACTGTACGAGTTCAGATAAAGAAAGTGCAGGAACCTAGATAATAGGTTTCTCTTCTAATATTAATGAAAGCCCATGAGAGAGTTACATAACAGTGTTTGGAAAAATCAAATATAATGGCTGCGGAAGAGGTTTCAGTCCTCTATTGTCTATCCAGAGTGATGAGAAAATGTAATTTGCCATAAGATAAAATGACTTTTAAGTGTGGTCATTAGCTAAAGTTCTTCTCAATTTAGTGATTCTGTAATGTCAGCCATTGCAAATCCGTGTCTACTTGATTTATTGGTTTGGTTTTCTTTTGCTTTTTATTTTTTTATTTTTCATTTTTTGAGACGGAGTCTCACCCTGTCACCGAGGCTGTAATGCAGTGGTGCAATCTCGGCTCACTGTAACCTCTGCCTTCCAGGTTCAAGCGATTCTCCTGCCTCACCCTCCCAAGTAGCTGGGACTACAGGCATGCACCACCACGCCTGGCTAATTTTTCTATTTTTAGTTGAGATGGGTTTCACCATGTTGATCAGGCTAGTCTCAAACTCCTGAACTAAAGTGATCCACCTACCTCGGCCTCCAAAAGTACTGGGATTACAGGCATGAGCCACCGTGCCTGGCTATGGTTTGGTTTTAGTATGTCTTTTTTTTTTTTTTTTTGAGAGAGAGTCTTGCTCTGTCGCCCAGGCTGGAGTGCAGTGGTGCCATCTCAGCTCACTGCAAGCTCCGTCTCCCAGGTTCACGCCATTCTCCTGCCTCAGCCTCCTAAGTAGCTGGGACGACAGGTGCCCGCCACCACGCCCAGCTAACTTTTTGTATTTTTAGTAGAGACAGGGTTTCACTGTGTTAGCCAGGATGGTGTCCATCTCTTGACCTCATGATCTGCCTGCCTCAGCCTCCCAAAGTGCTGGGATTACAGACCTGAGCCACTGCGCCCGACCTAGTATATCTTTTAAAAAGCAACTTCTCTTCCCCAACTGTCACTACTATAGCAATTCACAGAAATACAGGTGATTAATAATGTAAGTGTCAGTTGGAAAGCGAGAGGTACTTTATCTGTTGAACTTGCCAAAATTGACCCAAATACGACAAATGGAACAACCTTTCATCCAACCTTATTAATAAGTCCACCTCCAAATTGAGTCATGCCATTTAGTCTATATCAGTGATTCTCAACCCTGGCTGTATATCAGAATTACCTGTCAGGCTTTAAAAGAACAACCCAAATCCACTGAATCTGTGTATTTTGAAATGGAACTTTGGCATGTGTGCAATTTTAAAAGCTCCACAGGTAATTCCAATGTGGAGCAAGGGTTGATAATCACTTTATGTGTAAATCTTTGAAGCAGATTTTGTTTTAATGTCCTGTAATTTTTTTTTAATAAAATGGTAGGTTTTTATCTTTTTTTTTTTTTTTTTTTTTTTTGGTTTGGGGGTTTTCGGGGGAAGAGGGTTGTAGGCCCTGCATTAAAAGGTCTTTGTGATATACCGTAAAGTAGAAAATTTCCTCTTAAAGACTGACAAGGTTTATCATTAGAGTATACTTATCACATGTTGTTCCATCTCAACCCTTCCTGAATAGATTAAAATGGGAAACTTTTTATTTATTTATTTATTTATTTATTTATTTATTTATTTATGAATGAATGAATGAATGAATGACAGGGTCTTCCTCCATTGCCCAGGCTGGAGTGTAGAGGCATGAACATGGCTTACTGTAATCTCAACCTCCTGGGCTCAAGTGATCCTCCCACCTTAGCTTCCCAAGTAGCTGGGACCAGAGGTGTGTGCTGCCACACCTAATTTTTTAAATTTTTGTTTTGTAGAGACGGGGTCTCCCCGTGTTGCTCAGGCTGGTCTCAAACTCCTGGGCTCAAGTGATCCTTTGACCTTGGCCTCCCAAAGTGCTGGGATTACAGGCATGAGCCACCAGCCCTGGATGAGAAACTTTATTTAGGGAAACATGTTTTAAGTCCACATAATAAATTTTGCAATTAAATGACAGCTAATATGCTTGTTGTGGAAAATTGGAAAATTCAAAGAAAATAAAGTATCTAGAACTCCCTACCCATTATCATTATATTGCTGTATTTCCTTTCTTTCCAGGTATTTTTACATATGCTAACATGAACAGATACACAGACGTATATGTATCCAAAAAGCATGGGCCATACACAGTATCATCTTTTTTTTTTTTTTTTGGAGATGGAGTCTTGCTCTGTCGCCTAGGCTGGAGTGCAGTGGGTGTGATCTTGGCTCACTGCAACCTCCACCTCCTGAGTTCAAGCAATTCTCCTGCCTCAGCCTCCCGAGTAGCTGAGATTACTGATGCACACACACCATACCTGGCTAATTTTTGTATTTTTAGTAGAGATGGGGTTTCACCATGTTGGTCAGGCTGATCTCGAACTGCTGACCTCAGGTGATCCACCCATCTCAGCCTCCCAAAGTGCTGCGATTACAGGCATGAGCTACTGTGCCCGGCCCAGTATCATCCATTTTTTGCCATGAGGATACTTCCCCGCCCCATCCCCACCACCACCCCGTCTGAGGCAGGAAAACAAGCACTTTTTTTTTCTTTTTCTTTTCTTTTTTTTTTTTTTTTTGAGATAGAGTCTCACTTTGTCACCCAGGCTGGAGTGCAGTGGTGCGATCTCGGGTCACTGCAACCTCCGCCCTCCGAGTTCAAGCGATTCTCCTGCCTCAGCCTCCCGGAGTAGCTGGGATTGCAGGCACTTGCCACTGCGTGCTGCTAATTTTTTGTATTTTTAGTAGAGATAGGGTTTCACCATCTTGGCCAGGCTGGTCTTGAATTCCTGACCTCGTGATCCACCCGCCTCAGCCTAACAAGCCCTTTTTTTTTTTTTTTTTTTTAAGAGGGTCTCACTCTGTCGTTCAGACTGGTGTTCATTGGTATGGTCATGGGTCACTGAAGCCTCAACCTCCTCGACTTAGCTCAACCTCTCGCCTCAGTTCCCCAAGTAGTTGGGACTATGGGCGTGTTCCTTTTAAACATTTTTTGTAGAGATAGGGTCTCATTGTGTTTCCCAGGCTGGCCTAGAACTCCTGACCTCAAGGAATCCTCCTACCCGTCTCCCAAAGTGGTGAAATTGCATACACGAGTCACTGCTCCTGGCCAATGAGGGCAACTTTTTAAAAAATAACATTCATCTGCTCTCATTTTTCTAATAAAACATTGCCATTTATTATATGGCTTTATTAGTGTTATCTTTGTTGCAAAAGTATATGTAATAGTCTCTAAAGATGGTTAAGAGTTTGTGTCACATCAACTGTATCAATAACCTATTTTGTATTTTATTTTCCCAATATTTTAAGATGAAAACTTCCAAATGTATTTAAAAAGGGGATATGATATGTTGGAACAGCTGTATATTGTCTCTCTAGATTCAACAACTGTTAACATTTTGCCATAGTTGCTTTATTTTTCTTTTTATATCTACTGTTTTTTTTCTTTCTTTGACTGAACCCTTTGAGAGAAAATTGCAGACATCATATTTTACCTGTAAACATTTAAGCATGCAGCTCTTAAGAATGAAGATATTTTTCAGCCAGGCACGGTAGCTCACACCTGTAATCCCAGCACTTTGGGAGGCCGATGCAGGCAGATCACCTGAGGTTGGGAGTTCGAGACCAGCCTGACCAACATGGAGAAACCCTGTCTCTACTAAAAATACAAAATTAGCCGGGCATGGTGTCACATGCCTGTAATCCCAGCTACTCGGGAGGCTGAGGCAGGAGAATCGCTTAAATCCTCGAGGTGGAGGTTGTGGTGAGCCGAGAACATGCCATTGCCCTCCAGCCTGGGCAACAAGAGTGAAACTCCATCCCAAAAAAAAAAAAAGAACGAAGACATTTTTCTGTATAACCATAATACCATTATTATACCTAAGAAAATTCATTTTTTTAAATTTATTTTTAATTTTTGTGGGTACACTGTAGGTGTATAAAAAAATAAATTGTATAATATTGAATATCAAGTTTAAATTTCCCTAGTTGTCACTAGAGTGACTATTGTAATTGTTATTTTGAATCCCAGTCTAATCAAGTTTATCAATCAAGCACATTAAACAAGTCTTTAATCAGTCAAGCCCCTCACCTGTTTTTTTCCCCTTGAAACTGACTTTGAAGAATCTGAGCCAGTTTTTTACAATACGTCCTGCATTCTGAATTCATATGATTGTTTTCTCATGTGTGCTCTAACTTGATCCTCTATTCCCTTTTTTCCTGTAAACTGGGAATTAGCATTATTAGATTCATTCTAAACATTTTTTGGCACGAATACAGGACATGACTGTACTTTATAATGCATCATATCAAGAGGCACATACTGTAAAGATATCTTTATTTTAGTCTGTCGGCTTAACTGTGATCAGCTTGGATGATTAGAGCTTGTTCTGTACAGTATTAAGTAGTTACTATTGTAGAAACCTGTAGATTTTCCAAAATTCACTAAAATATGAAAGGATTGAGTAGTTTATTATTCATACTGAGAATACTTAATTTATTTTTATCTAGAGATGTTTTTATCAAAATAAGAGCAAAAAGTAAATACAATTTTTATCCGTAAAAACTCTAAAATCTTTCAAAAATCTGTTTAAATCTATATAGTTTTATGTTTTGTATTTCCTACTTATTTAGCAGAAATGATGAAGAAACTGTTCTGATGGCCTGCTTTTCTGTCCTTTTCCTACTGCTTTAAACATTGATTTTCTTTTGTACTAAATCATATAGCCAAATATTGTTTAAGTAAGTCAGTTTTAGGAAATGCTTGTGTTGCTGTTGAATTATAAAAGCTGAGTAAATTTCAGATTAAACTTTAAATGACTGTGAAATAAGACATAAACTAGTTAATGGTAATTTGCTTAAAATGACTTGAGATTATTATTGGAAGTTTTTATTAATTGATACAGGTAAGAATTGATATTTAATAAAATGTTCTCATGCTTAGACTATATTACTTTTCGGTAGAGAAATTAGTATTTTGCTGTAATGTGTTATGAAATACATGTGATATCCTAGTTTGTCTACTGACACTGGGGTCTTGAATCTTAAAAAAAGGCCTCCGATGAAGCAGAGGAAAGTGGATCACAGGGAAAATTGGTGGAAGCTCTCAGGCAAATGAGAATTAATCATAGGGGAAACTACCGACAACTTCTGGAGGAGATGCTGACTAGTTACAGGCTAGCTAAAGTAGAGGGAGAAGAAAGCCCTGCTGAACCAGCTGCCACAGCTACTTCTTCGAACAGTGATGCTGGAAACCCAGTGACAATGCAGGAAAGCCATACTGAATCAGAAAGTGGTCTTGCTGAATTAGACAGCTCTAATGAAGATGCAGGGACAAAGATGAGTGGTGAAAAAATATGACTTTCCTTTTTGGTAATATTTTTGTGATCTTTGATGGTTTTTAACCTAGGAAGTGTAATGTATGCATTTATATAACTGTTTTGTTATTTGAATCTTGGAAAACTAGTTTTATTATATTCAGATAGCCTTGTTTTTTAAAAAGGCCTTTGCATACACCTTTATGAGATAGTGTAAAATTGACTATTTATAGTACTATGGATTTAATGAAATTATATGTCATTTCACATTGTATGCCAGAAATTAGGCTACCAATTATGAATTAAAGTCAGTAGTTAAATTAATACTAGATAGAATTAGAAATTTTGATTAGAGAGATTATGCTATATTATGGAAAAACTTGTTAATGTAGAATTATACTGCTTCATATTATTTTACCTATTAGTACACTCATAGTTAGCTTTGTAATAAATTTATGTTTTCTTTAATAATTTTAGTTCTTCAAAGAATGGCTGATGCTGGCCTGTAATTTTTCTTTCAAGGATGATAATTTGTGTGTTGTTTGATTTGTTTATATTTTACATCTCTGTAGTTTTATTTTTAGAAGTTGTGAGATATTGGATGTGTGGCTATTTTTCCTTTCTCTGTATTCTTTATGAAACATAACTTTTGAAAAACCTATGTATTATTCATACAGCTTTGGTTTGTATATTCTGTATAGCCTAACTACACACATCAAAATGTATGTCAACCAAGTGTTTAGAATGAAATTATAAGTGTTTAAGTCCAAATAAAGCATGTGATGTGGAATAATCTATGCATGTTGTACTTATTTTTGAATTAATTTTTTAAAAACAACCAAGTTTGGTATATTGGAAGAATACCCATTAGAAATTCATTTGTATTTATATAACATTTAGAACACTTTTGGCTTACCTTTTTTCATTAACAAAAAGGAAAAGTTTAATATTAAAATATATGTGTTGCATACTTAAATCTATTCTTTTTCTTATCCATCTTTTGTGGTACAAAATATTAATCTTTGGACATTATGGGCACACATTAGACATGTGAGAAAATTGCCACAGTGAGCATTTTAAAGATTGCAGAATTGTCCATTTTGTTACAAATTTTTGTTAGTTATTAAGAAATTGAACAATTATGGGCTATTTTTAAAATAGTGGCAGATGAGAGTTTTTGTTTAAAGGGATTTTTAAATTATAGATTTGTCACATAGGGAAAAATATTTTTTAAAAATTATTTTATAACTGTAGAACATTAACTTTTCGTCTTTACGTTTATATTTATATCATGTGTCTAAAGTTGCTTTAAGTTACCATAAATTGAAACTTCGGAATCTTTGGATGTTATAGCTGATGTTTTGATGTATTTTTCCAATGCCAGAATATTTTTAAGTGCTTTGAGAAAGGAAGGCATTTGATGGAGAGGGGAGGAAAATAACCCAACCCAGTTATCTATCCATATTAGATACACGTGTACACACACAATATGCAATACACAACATCTCTCTGTAAAAGTACCCTTTTCAGACAAAGAAAGGAAGGTAATTTGTTCATCAATTTTGTTTTCTTTTGAAATTCAATCCAATCTGGAAGTGGCATAGGTAAATAATAATATTCTTCCTTTTCTCTTCCTGTAGGGTGCTGGAGATCTAGAAGACCCATGGTAGCCTTAAAAACCTTCTAAAATGCTTTTGATTCTGAAAATTGGGGGAAAAAACTTTTAATCACAATTTTCTTCAATACAAGGGGAAAATATTCTTGCGGATTCCCAACGTTTTGTGATATGAGCAGAAAATCATTAGCATTTCCCATCATTTGTTCATATTTGTGTTTTCTGACAGTTGCCACTTGTAGCATTGCCTGTACTACAGTATTTTTTGCCAACCTCAGGCATACTCGTTACATCTGTATTGAACTTTCGGCCCTAGAAACCAGTGGAGTTATTTCACCACAAATCAACAATGTGCCTGAGGTGCATGGGAAATATAGTTAGCTATACTCTGAAAATACATTATGTTTTTTTTCTTTAAACAAAACACACAACATGTAAGCATGTAAGAGTAAAGAATTGTATGATATGTTCCTTTTTTCAGTTCACCAAGTTGGAAGCCTTTTGCAGCTCTGTGGCTTGGAATTTCATTTGAGCAATTTCTATAGGATATGTATTTATTATTGATTGTTATTTAATTTTTTTCCAATTTTACCTGTATTACCAAACTGGGTTCTCCAATAATGTCCAAATTGTAATGTTGCCTTGCTTCAAGATAAAGTGTATTTGGGAATAATATTATAAACCCTTACAAATTTTATGCATGTATCTACTGCATCCTTCAACTCTCACTAGAAAATCTTTTGAAACCAAATGGATTAATTTATGGCTATTTATAATTTGCTTTGACATCTCACTGTTGGAAATTTTTTAAAGATGAGATTTGCCTTTATAATGTAAATTGTGATTTTTGTTTTACATGTGGGTTTCTATAGTTTTAATTTTTTCAGCTTTTAAGATACGAGTTTTGTGTAATTTGGTATTTTTAATCATTTATGTTATTTTAAAAGCTCAGAATATCACATTGAAATTACTATAAATACATTTAAAATTATCTATTTTAGATCTAAGGAAATACTACAGAGATATTTTCATGGGTTCAGTAACTTTTCATTTTATAACATTGGGCACGGTACAGAGTGATTGTCACATAAGGTACTTGAAGATTTATTAGTTTAATTCTATTTTTACAGTAACCTTGAATTCTTCTGAGTTTTGCATGTATTAAATTCAATTAATGCTGAACATGAAGAGTAAAGTATTTATCTGAAAGAAGTTTCTGGGTTAGGAGAAGTAATGAATGTATCCATTTGTACATGGTTTACATGTTGTGGATGCTTTGTAAACATTTTCCTGTATGTTTAAATTGTGTTTCAGCAGGATGTAATTGCCCTTGTGTGTAGTTAAAATGAGTCATCATCTGGTCCTTTGTGAAATGGAATTCATGGTATTTTCTGTAACGTTTTCCTGAAGCTGTTTCTGGAGAGCCACACATTTAAATACAGACAGCTTTCCTGATCATTTGATTTATTGTGCACCTGATTTTTGGTCTAAAAGGAATTATTGCCACAATATATTTTATTTATTCTTTAGATTTTAGCCTTGTAAGTTAAAGTGCTTTACATGATGATGTGAAAAGCTGTTTGTCCCTTTACTGGGTTTGGGGGGTTGTTAAAAGATAGGGAATGAAGAATGCAAAATGGTTTATCGTTCAAACTGTCCACTCTGATCCAACCCTGTACTGATAGTACTTCCCAGTATGATATTGTGATGTTTCATACAATGCAGTGAACATAACCAACTTGTTACCTAAATAAAGAATTGATAAAAACAGTGTGACATATTACTATTTGGTATGATTCAGTTTTTAATGTTATTTTAAACTTCTTATATGGTTGGCATATTTCTGAAAATTTAATTCCAAAGAGGAATTAACCAAACTGTACAGGACAATATTAACCCCTTCTGTACTCTAGAAATATTTATACTCCTTTTAAAAAAACCTGCCTTTGGCCGGGTGCATTGGCTCACACCTGTAATCCCAGCACTTTGGGAGGCCAAGGCGGGTGGATCACGAGGTCAAGAGATCGTGACCATCCTGGCCAACACGGTGAAACCCTGCCTCTACTAAAAATACAAAGATTAGCTGGGCATGGTGGTGCTTGCCTGTAATCCCAGCTGCTTGGGAGGCTGAGGCAGAAGAATTGCTTGAACCCAGGAGGCGGAGGTTGCAGTGAGCTAAGATCGCGCCACTGCACTCCAGCCTGGCGACAGAGCGAGACTCCGTCTCAAAAAAAAAAAAAAAGAAAAAAAAAAACTTTTCCGGCAGGGGGCAGGGTGGGGGTTACTGGTGCTTGAAACAGAAATAATGTATGAGTTAGTAAAAGAAAAACCCATATTCAGTGTTGACTCATCTGAATTTCCTAGCCTGGCTATTCTCAAGTATTTTGGTCTGAGGACCCACTTATACTCTTACAAATTGTATACTCCAGTGAACTTTTGCTTTTGTGGATACTATCGATATTTACTATATTAGAAATTAAAGCTGAGAAATTATACATACTGTTTTAATTTGTTAACAAAACAATTACATGTTAATATATAAACCATTTTATGAAAAATAATTGTCTTATAAGTTAGGATACAAAAATTCAGTGTAAAAAGGACCATTTTTCATTTTTGTGAGCCCTTTAATGTTGAACTGAATTCTTGTTTGTGCTTTTGCGTTCAGTCTGTTGAAGTGTGGTATGGCCCGATGGTTGAAGTTTATGAAGAAACCTGGCCTCACACAGATAGGTAGTTGGAAAACAGGAATATTTTAGTCACTTCAGATAACTGTGGATATCAAAACTTGACAACTGATAGTTTCTTGAAGATTGGTTGCAATGTGAAATCGGAAAGTTTATTAGAGGACTTTTCTTAGTTTGTTATGTTAAAATCCACTGGGTCTGTCTTGCATTTTGAATGGACCTTCTGGCTATGCATGATTTTGTCACATCATGAATTAGTCATTTGGAAAATACTGGTTCACTGAATTATGCAGTTCTTCTAAATATTGATCCGTTATTCTGCAATGATTAAAGTTTTTTGTTAAGGGTAGGCACAGTGATTCATGCCTGTAATCCCAGCACTTTGGGAGGCCGAGGCAGGCAGATCACCTGAGATCGGGAGTTTGAGACCAGCCTGACCAACATGGAGAAACCCTGTCTTTACTAAAAATACAAAATTAGCCAGGCATGGTGGCGCATGCCCGTAATCCCAGCTACTCGGGAGGCTGAGCCAGGATAATTGCTTGAACCCAGGTGACGGAGGTTGCAGTGAGCTGAGATCGTGCCATTGCACTCCAGCCTGGGCAACAAAAGCAAAATTCCATCTCAAAAAAAAAAAAAAAAAAAAAGACTGCTTAGCTGAATGTGGTAGCTTATGCCTGTAATAAAGCAGGAGGATTGCTTGAGGCCAGGAGTTCAAGACCCGCCTGGACAACATAGCAAGACCTGGTTTCTACACACAAAAAAATTCTAAGTACTCTAGCATGGTGTCACATGCCTATAGTCCCAGCTAGTTGGGAAACTGAGGCAGGAGGATTGCTTGAGTTCAGGAGTTCAAGGCTGCAGTGAGCTATGATCCAGCCACTGCACAGCAGCCTGGGCAACAGCGAGACTCCATCTCAAATTTTAAATATATGTCTCTTTTATATTAAAAAAAACTCAAATTTTAAAATAACATTGTGAAGGAATAAACAATCTAAGCAACAAATGCTTCCAAGCTGCTTCACCGTTAGTTTATTAACCTGAGTAGAATTTACCACCAAGAGTCATAATTTCTTAATGCTAAAAGTAGAAATCCACTGGGAGTTGCATTGTCATTGAAAAAAAATTATAATGAAGGCCAGGCGCAGTGGCTCACGCCTGTAATCCCAGCACTTTGGCAGGCCAAGGCGGGCAGATCACTTGAGGTCAACAGTTTGAGACCAGCCTGGCTAAAATGGTGAAACCTGTCTCTACTTAAAAAATAAAAATAAAAAAATTAACTTGGTGTGGTGCTGCGTGCCTGTAGTCCTAGCTACTCGGGAGTTTGAGGCAGGAGAATCGCTTGAACCTGGGAGGTGGAGATTGCAGTGAGCCGAGATCGCGCCACTGCACTACAGCCTGGGCGACAGAGGGAGACTCCGTCTCAAAAAAAAAAAAAAAAAAAAAAAAAGTTGTAATGAACTGGTCTTCCTATATGAAAATAATGGCGCTGTCTTGCTAGTTGTGATTCTTCTTTCTACCCAGGCTTTAAAATGGTTTTTAATAACAGGAGAAATAATATTAGTCGGGGAAAAATGTTTCTATAATCATATTAGCCGTATATTTGAGCCAGGAATTGACAGCCTCATTAGTTTACTTTTCAAACTGCCTGATATATTTTCTGAAACCTTGGAAAATACGCAAACCAGAGGAATATATGGTGCCCAAGTCTTTATCCAGCTTCAATACTTGAAATTAACTGGAACATGTCCATCAAATATCTTTTGCTGACCAAATATTATTCTTCCTTGTCTTGAATTTAAGGTTATATTTTTTAAATGACATCTCACACTGACATTTCCTCTTCCAAATTGCCTTCATTTGTGTTTTGAAGTTCATCTGGTTTAAGTATTAAGGGAAAACGTGATAAGATTTCTTGTGGAACACATTTTGTTTTGAGAAGCTAAATAGTATTTAGTGAAAAATAGCAAAGTGTGATGTTTTTCACATATTAGACAATTCCTAGTTGTGCAAAAAATCCATTATATATGTAAAATAGTCAAATGTTAACATAATTGTTAAGATGAATTCAAGCAATGATTTAATTTCAAAGCAATTCTGAAGTTACTTTTTAAATTCTGTACTAGAAAATGCACTGAAATGAAGTTACTTGCTTTTAGTTCATAATGGGCATTATAACAATTTGCACTGTCGTTTTTATGCTAAATTGCTTTTAAGTTTTTTTCTGTTCAACTTTGGGAGTTATTTTGTAAACCCTAAAGAAAATGCTAAACAAGTGTTTGTTTTTGCCTGTTGTTTTGATGATTCGTGTATGTTACATTATGGTCTAGAAGTAAATAGGTGTAGCTACTAATAGAGAATACATTGCTTTTCAGGCAGCATCACCGCCATTTCTCACTTCCTGCTGGCTTTTCTGGCTGTGGTATTTTCTCCCCCTTATTTCCTGTTTCAGTTTTATTTTACCTGCAAACACCACTTACTAGTACACTGTTTTGTGCTCAGATGTAACTGGCAGATATGCTCTTCTAATTCAGAGGTGAGGGGCACTTAGGAAGTCAGTATTTCTGCTATCTTGTAAGTATCCACAACTCCAGTGGGACACAAAAGAGCCATACCTTTTATGGAAAGGTAGAATGAAAGACTGGGCTTTACTTCTTTTAACTAGTAGACCTAGTCTATAATATTGGCAACAGTGATTTTTTTTAATGATTAAATCTGTGCAACAAATGTATTCTTTCCATATAACATTCACCTATAATGCATTTAAGATGAAGAGGACCAGTACCACCCAGGAGTTACCCTAATGGTGGGTCTGATACCTTCTTTCCCTCTCCTGAGTCGTTTACACTTACTTTTTTGGGCACTGATTATGAAGAGGTGGTTTTGCTTCATTCCTAAGTCTTGAAGTTATGAAATGCAATTTATTATTTATTATTATTTGAGATGGAGTTTCATGTTTGTTGCCCAGGCTGGAGTGCAATGGCACGATCTCGGCTCACTGCAACCTCCACCTCCCGGGTTCAAGCGATTCTTCTGCCTCAGCCTCATGAGTAGCTGGGATTACAGGTGTCCACCACCATGCCCAGCTAATTTTTTTGTATTTTTAGTAGAGATGGAGTTTCACCATGTTGGCCAGGCTAGTCTTGAACTCCTGACCTTGGGTGATCCGCCCGCCTTGGCCTCCTGAAGTGCTGGGATTCCAGGCGTGACCCACCGCACCCAGCCTGAAATGCAATTTATCTTAACAATTAATTCCACAGTGACATGATATAGAGTACCATGGGGTTTATTTTCATGAGATTTTGCCTATGAATAATAATTATATAGTATAAAGCTTATTTTAAATATTTAATATTTGCTATTAAAATTGTAATTAAGACTGCTTATAATTGGTATAGCACTTTGGTTCTACTGAAGTATACTCTTGAAAGTTACTGGGTTCTGCTGGGCACAGTGCCTCACGCCTGTAATCCCAGCAGTTTGGGAGGCCGAGGTGGGTGGATCACCTGAGGTCAGGAGTTAGAGACCGGCCTGGCCAACCTGGTGAAACCCCGTCTCTACTAAAAATAGAAAAATTAGCTGAGCCTGGTGGCGGGTGCCTATAGGCCTAGCTACTCAGGAGGCTGAGACAGGAAAATCTCTTGAACCTGGGAGGCGGAGGTTGCAGTGAGCCAAAATCGTGCCACTGCACTCCAGCCTGGGCGACAGAGCGAGAATCTGTCTCAAAAAAAGGAAAAAAAAAAACATTTTAGGGGGAGCTTGAGCTACATAAACATTCTTAAGTCTAGTTTACTTCGGACTGTAACTAATTTTAAAATGCGAAGTCTTCATGAAAGTTCTGTAGGCTCCTAAAGATCCTATACTCCAAGAGTTAATTAAATCCAATAACTTTAAAATGTATTTTAAATGGTTGTAATAATATATTTTACATGTACAATCAAAAGCCTTAATGTAAACTGAAATTATTTCACTAAAAATCCTAACTGAAAAAAGGAGGGGAGAGGAGGGAGAGGGAGAGAGAGAGGAGGAAAACAAACAAAACAGAAAATTGGCTGGACGTGGTGGCGTGTACCTGTAGTCCTAGCTACTTGGAGGCTGAAGCAGGAGGATCCCTTAAGCCCAGGAGTTCAAGTCTGCAGTGAGCTACAAATGGATCACTGCATGCCAGCCTGGGTAACAGAATGAGACCCTGTCTCTAATACAAAAAAAAAAAAAAAAAAAAAAATCCGGTTGGATAAGCATGAAATAGTATATAATTTGCATTTCTGATTACATGTGAGAAAAACATCTTTCCTATATATATTGGCCATTTGAGTTTCCTCTTTTCTGAATTGAATGCTCACACCACTTGTCCATTTTTCCATTGGGTTTGTCTTTTTCTAATTGATTTGTCTTTTTCTATATAGTCTAGATACCAATCCTTTGTTATGCGAGCTGCAAAACCTCTCAGACTGTTTTTCTTTTTTTCTTTGTTTATGCAGTCTTGCTATTTGTCATTTTTTTGCTGTATGTTTTTCTTGTTTAGGAAATCATCCTCATCCCAAGTTCATATAGTCTCTAATTTTTTTAATTTATATATTTTCATTTTCATATCAGGTGGATAATGTAGTAACAAGGCTGAGGGGAGGCACATCTCATGTAAGTGTGAAAACCCAATCATCATGCTTGTGAACTACAGAAGGATCTCTAATGTTACCTTCCAGCCATTTTAGAAGTCTACCTCCCAAGCACATATATTTAGGTTTTTAATCATTCTTGAATTTCTTGTTACATAGTATGTGAACTAAGGAATCTTTATTTTCCATCCAGCTAGCTAATTGTGCCAACACCATGCCACCCCTGTCAGATTCCCATTCCCCAAATATGTGTGGTCCATTTCTAGTTTCTTCTGCTCTATTGTTTTTTTGTTTTTGTTTTTGTTTTTTTTTTTTGTCTAACCCTGTGGAAATATCACATCATTTAGATTACTATAGCCTCTTAAGTGCTGACATCTAGCAGGTATACATTGTCTTCACCATATTTAAATTTAGTTCCTTTTATTTTTCATTTTCAAGACAAGGTCTCACTCTGTTGCCCAGGCTGGAGTGTAGTGGCACCATAGCGCACTGCAGCATCGAACTCCTGTCCTCAAGCAATCCTCCTGCCTCGGCCTCCCAAAGTACTGGGAGTACAGACATGAGCCACCGCACATGGCCTAAATCTAGTTCCTTCTAATAAAATGCAACTAATAATCCACATTCTAATATAAAGAGCTTGCATCCATTTGGGGATATAATATTGAAAATTGTTCGCCCTTCCTATAATTATTTTGTGTGTTTCTGTTGTACATTTACATTTTTAATTGTACTCTGGGACCATGTTGCTCACTCATTTTAACCTATCACTCCCTTTCCTCCCCCTGTAAAACAGGATTAGTAACTATACCATGCCAAGTCATGTGGGAGCCTAAGGCAAATGGAAAACTCTGTAATGATTATTTTTTTCCCTTTTTCTTTTTTTCAGCAGAGAGTAGATTCTGTCTTATTTAAAATGTTTATATTATGTTCGTCATTTTGCATTAGTTTTGACTTTTTTAATGTTGCATTAAAATATCTAAAATTTAAAAAAAAATTTATCTTGATTACTTGCCATTCCTTAAATTTTGTCCCCAAAGCAAGTGCTTCACCCTGGTCCCAGATGATATGTGAATTCCTGGGCCTTTGAAAAGACAATTTTCCTGATTTAAGGCAGATGTTCCCAAGAAGGAATAACTCCTTAGCCTACTAGTACCCATTAGCATGAAACAGCGTTTTCTGGGGTGGCTCAGTAAAATGGAGGGAGCGCTAAGCTAAGAGAGTCCCGAGCTCCAGCAGCAGCCAGGTGCTGTTGGCTTCCTTACGCAGTGAGCTGTCTCTTAATACTTTGAAAACATGATGCTGAGAGAAAGCAAGTTATAAGGGGATGTCTTGTATGTAAATTTGTCTCCAAAATTAATTCCAAAACACTTCATATTTTAATTTCTTTGAAATTGGGAAGCATCTTTATTTTTATTTTTTTTTTTTTTGAGACGGAGTTTCACTCTTGTCGCCCAGGCTGCAGTGCAATGGCGCGATCTTGGCTCACTGCAACTTCCGCCTCCCGGGTTCAAGTGATTCTCCTGCCTCAGCGTCCCAAGTAGCTGGGATTACAGGAATGCGTCACCACGCCCGGCTGATTTTGTATTTTCAGTAGGGTGGGGGTTTCTCCATGTTGGCCAGGCTGGTCTCGAACTCCCGACCTCAGGTGATCCGCCCCCCTTGGCCTCCCAAAGTGCTGGGATTACAGGTGTGAGCCACCGTGCCCGGCCAGGAAGCATCTTAACAATTGTCTTTGACTAAGGCAGCCATCATGGCATAGTTGCACCAGCTTGGTCATATCTCAATTCACAATTGGGTTTTGTACTGTGTCGGGAATACATGTGTTAATATTTAAGTGCTGTTTAAAATGTCTTCAAGGCCAGGCTCGGTGGCTCACACCTGTAATCCCGGCACTATGGGAGGGCCACCTGGAGAGATCACTTGAGGTCAAGAGTTCGAGACCAGCCTGGCCAGCATGGTGAAACCCCATCTCTACTAAAAATACAAAAATTAGCCAGGCGTGGTGGTGTGCACCTGTAATCCCAGCTACCTGGGAGGCTGAGGCAGGAGAATCGCTTGAATCCAGGAGGCAGAGGCTTCAGTGAGCTGAGATCATGTCACTGCACTCCAGCTTGGATGACAGAGCAAGACCCTGTCTCAAAACATAAAATGTCTTCAAAATGATTATATTATGATTTGGCATATAACACAGAAATAATAGCATATGTAAGATTAAAAAAAGATCTGTCCTAAAAACCTGTTATAATAAGTATTAGAAAATAATCTTTTTTTTTTTTTTTTTTTGAGACGGAGTCTCGCACTCTCGTCCAGGCTGGAGAGCAGTGGCGCGATCTCAGCTCACTGCGAGCTCCGCCTCCCAGGTTCACGCCATTCTCCTGCCCCAGCCTTCCGAGTAGCTGGGAGTACAGGCACCTGCCACCACGCCCGGCTAATTTTTTGTATTTTTAGTAGAGACGGGGTTTCACAGTGTTAGCCAAGATGGTCTCGATCTCCTGACCTTGTGATCCACCCACCTCGGCCTCCCAAAGTGCTGGGATTACAGGCGTGAGCCACCACGCCTGGCCAGAAAATAATCTTAAATGTTAACAAAACATTATTTCGTAGTTTAATTGGCAGCATTTTTTCTTAACATATAAAAGAATGGTACGTAAAATAATGGAATCTTAGAGTTGATGAAATATGATAGGTACAATTTATGGATAGTAGTATGTACATATAAAACACACATGAAAATAATACACATTAACTTTAGAACAGTGGTTACTTTTTTAAAGATATTGGGAAAAGGAGCTTTTTATTTTCTCCTTAAAAAAGGTAAAGATGTCAAAATGTGAAATCTGGGCAATAGGTAAAATTGTTGTATTTTTCTCTAATTTTCCATATGTTTGAATTTTTCATAAAATCTTGAGTTAAATAAAATACAGAAACAAAATTCAGTGTCCTAAATTGCCTTTCAGGAAGAGGGTACACATTTACAATCTTAATAGTATACAAGAGTAGCTATGTTTTTCACTTTCTTACCAGTGTTGCACATTGCCAAGCTGCTGGGTAAAATATTGTAACCTACATTTTCTTGATTTAATTCCCAATTATTTGATTACTAGTGAGTGAAAATGTTTTTCTCATATTTGCTTATTCTTTTATTGTAAGCCTGCTCACACATGTTAATTGGCAGCATTTTTTCTTAACATTAAAGGATATTCTGTTTACATATTTATAATTTTTCTTGATTTGTGAGAGCTCTTTATACATGTAGGATTTTAACCATTATTCTGTTACCTATGTCATGGATTATTTTCCTGAGTTCGCCATTTGCCTTTCAATACTGTAATACTGTGTATGGTTTGTTGTTGTTGTTTTTAAGGAAAGATATTCACAGATTGGACTAAGACCAAAGGACATCTAGCCATACTGAAATGACCTAATTTTTGAAAAAAACACAATCTCAACCTCATAGGGATTTCCCCCCCAAAAAAATCACATCATGCAACTTCTGAGCTTTTTCTTACACAATAACTTTTTGTTTCGATGCCAGCTTTTCCTACAGGCAGAATAAGGGCTTTCTACTCACTATGATTGGAGCGGTACTAGAGAGAGGGCTAAGATGCTCAGAGCTGAAGAGTATAAGAGAGCTCTCCTTGGTCAAAAATATTCCCTTTTACCCTTCATATACACTTTTAAATCAAATAGGATTTATTTTGTTTTATTTTACTTTAAAAGAATTGAAAATTTACATACAGTAAACTACAAAGAGCTTTTGTGTTAAATTTGATATGTTTCAACAAGTGTCATACTTTTACATTCAAAATTTTCAGAATTTTCTTTAACAGTTTCATCAACCTTCAGTTGCATACAAAGACAATTTTTTATATCCTAAGTAAATATTTACATATATTTTAAGACATTGGCCTTTTGAATATTTGTACTTTAATACAACTGGAACTTATTTCTGAGGTAAAAATCTAATATAACATTTTCCTATAGATTTTTCCATTATCCCTTTATACCAGCTGTTACATAAGCCAATCTTTTCTCATTATTTGAAGTTGTCCTTTATGACATATTCATGTATATGCTTGTATTTTTATAAGCATTCTATTTTATCGTTTTGTGTTGTGTGTCAGTACCATGTCATCTTAATTATCATAGTTTTACTATACATTTTATTATCTGATAGGGAAAATGCCCCTTATTATTCTACATTTACAAAAATTGAATGTGTTTATTTTTCCAGATGAATTTTTCAATAACTTGGCCAAGATATCCCTGCCAAATAAAAATCTCATTAATGTGTTGATTGAATTGTTGTATGTGTAGATTAATGTAGGGGTCATTGGTATCTTTAGCCAAGGTGAGTTCCACCAGGAAGATGCTACATCTTTCTATTTATACAAGTGTTTTTAATGTCCCCAGTACAGTTTTGTAATTTTCTCCATATGATCTACACCGTTCTTAAATTAATTCCTTGTTATTTTATATTTCTTATTGCTGTGATGAGTGAACCCCCCTCCTCAGTATATTTTAAATGTATACCTTCTTAGACAACTAGTTTTATTTACTTACCAACCCCAATCCTGCAAGAAAAAAAAAAACCATATATATATATATATTTCAATTTCTATCATATCCACCAGATGGCAGTCTTGGGCACGTCCATCTGTAAACCTGCTGAGAGCTCTGGTGACAAGAAAGGCAGTGGCTGGCAGACCTTCCAAGCACTCAGAAGCACGCGGACAAAAAGGTTTTTTTGTAAACCCGAACGAAAAATAAACCCAGCATTATATAATTATAGTATTTGTACTGCTGTTAACCTTTAATCTTATAACCCATTAGTGGAGACAGAGAAGGACTGTCACTGTGCCCTTCAAAATCATATTTTTTCCTGTCCATGTGATAAACACCTGTGGCTTCTTGGCAGCACTTTTGGTTTGATTCCAGGGACTCTTATGGTTAAAGGCAGGCTTTAATCTGGCGTTGTTTTCCTTCTCCTAAAAGCACCATTTAAATCGGAAGTTACTGGATTTCTAAACGGTTAAGACCGTCTTCCGACTGGTTTTTATCATTCCCAGATCTCTTCTGAAAGGAGGTGGTGTGCATAGTTAATATGAAAGGAACTGGCTTGTTCTACGCGAATACAAATCTGAATAACTCTTATATATTAGACCTTTTTTTTTTTTTACTTTAGTGACTTCCAGTATCTATATTTAGAAGTGTATAATTACTTGAGATATATATATATATATATACACACACACACACATATATAGTGTGTGTGTGTGTATCTATGTGTATATATATACATATACACATGTATTTTTAGGGCTTTTGGCTTTTTTAGGGCGGGACACGTGAATCTGGCAGTTGAGACAGAATTTTTCCTATAGCGGTGTAACAGTGTACAATACTAAACTAATGAAATGTCTTTCACTATCAACAATTTACGTATCCATGCTGATTGCTTTAACACTAGAAAAAATATGCCAAAATAAACTACATTTTCTAGGCGCTTTCACACCAAAAACACACACACACAGCTGCTTGCCCATTTGAGAACAGCCAATAAAGCAAACTCTTTGAATGATTTGTGGTTTTGTGTCCCCAGAAGTTTTAACAGTAGTTCTGAAGATTTGTCATTTGTGTGTGCTTCAAAGATAGAGTAATACATTTTATAGCTGGGCAGATCTCTAACTATATAGTTATAAAATCTCAAAGCTGAGAAAACCCTGAATGCCAGATGATCTTTCAGCAGCCTCTAGTGTGAGTGTCAGGAATGAGTTCATTTCCATCTTTGATCAGCTCTGCCTGTCGTGTTGCATCTCTGCTTCTTCTCCTCAGTTGTCTTATTAACCCTCGGGGCTATGAAAATAAGTATTTAAAAGCTCCTGGAACCCACAAAAAACACTAAGCCTTGAGAGAGATGTAGTTGATCTGAGTCACATATGCTAACAACTTTTTATTTCCCTGATTATTCTTCCTGTTCTGTACAATGACTAGAGAGAATAAAACTACATCAGGTACAAAAACCACCTGCCTTCTTAATTAATGACCTTTGTTATAGATTAACTTCTCCTTTGTTGTCCTGCTTCACTTAGATCAGATGACAGAAAACCCATGACTACACCCTCTGTAAAAGGTGTTCAGTGTACCTTTCCCAAGAGAAACACTGCCTGTAACCAAATTGCTGTAACTATGTGCCAACCTTGTATGAAAAATGTTGCAATCCTGCCAAAAACTCCTGTCTCTGCCTATGGAAATGAAACCTTGAGCTTCCTTCCTTCAGCACGCTGACTCCATTCCTTTGGAGCTGGTGCTCCTGGGTGGGCTGTCCTCAAACTCTGCGCTTGAATTATCTGTTTAAATTAGATTCTGACCTTTTTGATTATTTTAGGTTGATAGGGCCAAAATTTAACCCCACCTATTAGGATGACTTCCAGCATATTCTCTTTTCTGTCCCCCATTATTTCATTGATTACCATTATATATCCTAACGCCAACTGTATTCACCATCCAGGACCCTTTTCTCCCAATGTGCTCTCATTTTCTTGATCATTCTTAAAGTATGCAACCCAGAACTGAACATTTATGGGTAGCAGAACTGTCTCCTCCTTTATTCTCATTAATACTTTTCTGTTCTTCTATTTAACACCGAAATATTGAACTAGATTTTCTGGCAACTGCATGATACTGTTTGAGTCCTTCGAGCTTATTTTTGGTTGGTGTTTTGGTTAACCTATTTTGCAGGACCTTTATTTGTTCCTATTAAGTTTTCTTGGGTAAAATTTATTAACCTTTTGAGTTGGTTGTGGATTTATCTAAGATATGTTAGCTATCTTCTTCTTTCCAGTAACTCCAAAATTTCATACATAAACCTCCCATACTGAATGAAACAGGTCCAAGTACTGAGGCCCTGTGGGAGGCCTCAGAAACTTCTCTTCAGTAGGATGCAAATTGACCAATCTTTTACTCAACACCCATTAGGTAAGAATTTCAGCAATGTACTGATCCACTTATCTGCTCATATTTCTCCAGTTTATCTACAAGGATATCATAGGATTTTACATTCTTTGCAGAAGTCACTTGCATATAACCCAGCTTAAGCGGAGGCTTCACTTTGACCTATTCCTCTAGGTCCTTGCAAATTTTTGGTGTTGGTTTTTGCTTGTGGTATTGCTTGCATCATTTATGCATTTTAAAAATCCTGAGCTTGTTACAATTCTTCCTGTGTAACTGCTGATTTCTTGGTTTTGTTTTTATTGTTGTTTTATTATTTTTAGGTACCTCTGCCTTTTTATTCTGTATGTATGTTATACTTCAATTAAAATATTTTTAAAAATATCCCTGATGCATTGAAAAAAATCAAAACTACAAGTTGCTCTGCAACCTGAAGGCCAACTGTAGCAGTGTAGGTTGGTTAAGGTAGAACAGTGCCTCATCCACAGACACCAGTCGCATCACAGACACGTGGACTTAGATGTTGCAACCACTCTCCAGCAAGTGGCAGGAAAGTGTTCTAATTCTAATGAAACTAGTATAGTTATATTGCAACAAATACCTGACAGGTGGAAGTAACATGACTTGCAAAAAAAGTGCTTTTTTTGGAAGTGGTTTTTCCAATTTACCAAATCTGCCACATGGGCCAGCAGCAGCCCTGGAGCCTTGAATTCCTCTGGGAGAGGAGACGAGGTAGCTCTGCACCCTACATTCTCCCCTACCTGATATATATCCTCTTTCTTAAATAAAAAAAATAAAAAAAAAAAAAGAACAATGGAAAAAGGCGACACTGTAGGACTGTGGCACAGGAATTAAGCAGCATCTGAGCAATCTTAAAGGACCAGTTTTGGTTTCCTAGGCTGGAGTTCAGCCTTTTTGGAAGGGCCTGTGACACACTCAGTATGTCCTTCTACAACTCTTATTCTCTTGACTTCCTCAGTCACCAGGCTGAAAAAATAGCAAATGAGAAAAAGTAGAAAGGAAGGGAATGCCCCAGATGTAGATAGCATTGTAAATTTCTGCAGATATATGTGTTATTTATAATGTGTATATAGATAGTGTATATTTTTGTGCACATTTCGGTATATATGCTATACTTCAATAAAATTTTAAAGAACCTTGAATAATGCAATAAACCTTCATATATATTTATTTATATGAGGTTTCTGTTGGTGGAAAACATGGAAACAGTTGAATAGATGTGGATATGCTTCGGAGAATATGGATTAAAATATAAATTACATGTATGAAAAAGTCACTTTCAGGGAAGGAGGGCACACCTTCCAAGAGACAGGCAACAGTTTAGTCAGGGTAAGCTAACTTGCTATAACAGAACCAAATCTGTAATGTTCAAACATAACAGAAGTTTATTTCTTGTTCATCTATAGACCAGGCTAGGTGTTCCAGGTCAGAGGCTTCTTCTCTTCCATGTGGTGACTCAGGTTTGAGGCATTTTGCATCTGGTGGCTACTATCACCCAGGGCCTTATTGTTATATATATCCCACCAGCACAAGGGGAAAGAGAGCAAGGGAAGGGTACCCCTGCTTCTTCAAAGCCTCAACCTGAAGGTGGTGCACTTTGTTGCTATTCGCACTTCGTTGATGAGAACATGGCCACACTTAGCTGTAGGTGCAAGGTGTGGGGCTGAGAAACTATTCCTGGTTAGTAGCTGCATCGCAGCTACAACTCAGTTACTATGGAAGACAGGAAGCACAGTGTGAGAGCAACTCCTGTGTCTGCCACAGGCAGCCATTCTCCAGAGCAGGTAAACAGGGTCCACCACTTCGGAGAGATGAGGCATACATATTAAGGCACTGTGGACAGAGAAAACGAATGATTCAAACACAAACTTCAAAAATGAGATACTCCACGCACCCACCAGAATTACTAAGATTAAAAAGACTGATAATACCATATGTTGGCGAAGGTTTGTAACAACCAGAACTGTTGGCATTACTGGTGGAAGCATAATGACATAATCATGTTGGGAAAAGTTTTGGAGTTTCTTTTTTTCTTTTTTTTTAATTACACTTAAGTTCTAGGGTACATGTGCACAACGTGCAGTTTTGTTACATAGGTATACATGTGCCATGTTGGTTTGCTGCACCCATCAACTCATCATTTACATTAGGCATTTCTCCTAATGCTATCCCTCCCTCAGCCCCCCCACCCCCCGACATGCCCCAGTGTGTGATGTTCCCCTCCCTGTGTCCATGTGTTCTTGTTGTTCAGCTCCCACCTATGAGTGAGAACATGCTGTGTTTGGTTTTCTGTCCTTGTGATAGTTTGCTTAGAATGATAGTTTCCAGCTTCATCCATGTCTCTGCAAAGGACATGAACTCATCCTTTTTATGGCTGCAGAGTATTCCATGGTATATATGTGCCACATTTTCCTAATCCAGTCTTTCATTGATGGACATTTGGGTGGGTTCCAAGTCTTTGCTATTGTGACTAGTGCCACAGTAAGCATACGTGTGCATGTGTCTTTATCATAGAATGATGTATAATCCTTTGGGTATATGCCCAGTAATGGGATTGCTGGGTCAAATGGTATTTCTTATAAAACAAAACATACACCTACATTATGTCCCATCATTTCCATGCCTAGGTATTTACCTAAGAGAAATAAAACATATGTCCTGCCTAGTGCAGTAGCTCACACCTGTAATCCCAGCATTTTGGAAGGCCAAGGCAGGCAGATTGCTTGAACCCGGGAGTTTGAGACCAGCCTGGGCAACATGACAAAACCCCATCTCTACTAAAAATACAAAAAATGAGCCAAGCGTGGTGACACGTGCCTGTGGTCCCAGCTACTCAGGAGGCTGAGGTGGGAGGATCACCTGAGCCCAGGAGGTCAAACCTGCAGTGAGCCATGATTACATTACTGCATTCCAGCCTGGGCAATGGAGTGTGACCCTGTCTCAACAAAGTAAATAGGCCAGGCGCAGTGGCTCACGGCTGTAATCCCAGCACTTTGGGAGGCAAGGTGGTGGATCACCTGAAGTTAGGAGTTCAAGACCAGCCTGGCCAACATGGCGAAACCAACCCCATCTCTACTAAAAATACAAAAATCACCCAGGTGTGGTGGTGGGTGCCTGTAATCCCAGCTACTTGGGAGGCAGAGGCAGAAGAATTGCTCGAACCCGGCAGGCGGAGGTTGCAGTGAGCCGAGATCGCACCATTGAACTCCAGCCTGGGTAACAGAGCAAGACTCTGTCTCAAAAAAAAAAAAAAAAAAAAAAAAAAAAAGAAAGAAAGAAAACAACATACGTCCACAAAAAGACTTGTACAGGAATGTTCCGAACAGCTCTATTCCTAACAGTGTCAGAAGGAGGACAGCCCAGCTATCCACCAGTAGGAGAATAGATCACTGCAGTATAATCACAAAATAGAATGCTACTCAACAATAGAAAGAAAAGAACTATCACTCTATGCAATGGCGTGGATGAATCCCACAACATTAAGCTGAATAAAAGGAGCTTTACCCAAAGAGTGTACAGCATATGACTATGACTACGTGACTTTTTAGAAGAGGCAAAACTATGATGAAGAAGAATCAGCCTGGTGGGTGCTTCAGTTGGGCAGGGGAGCTGGAGGTTGACTAGGAAGGGGCATGAGGGAACTTTCTGGGATGACAGGAATGTTCTGTATTGTGATAAGAGGCTTGGGCTACACAGGTAGATGCATTTGTCAAAATGTAGCACATGTTCACTTAAGATGTATTCATTTCATTGTATATAAATTTTATCTCAAAGGATAAAATTTATAAATGAATTTTAATCATATGCTTGTTGAAGTATTTAGGGGGGAATGCAGTGTTACCTGAAGTTTATCTTGAAATGCATAAAGAAATAAGAGGGCTGGGTGGATAGAGAGATGTATAGATGGATAGGTCTGTGATAAAACGTTATGAGACATCCAGACTGCTCAAAATGGAGAAACAGGAACTGGACTGAGTCTTTCACATTATGCAAATAGAAAACCAGGCAAAATACCCGAAACAAAGGCTTATAGACACTAGGCTATAGGCAATGTGAAAATGAGATTGCTGATTGAAGGTTAAAAAATGAAGTGTGTCCTTTGGTTTCACCAGCTTCCTGTCTAGAAGCAGTTTCCAGGCCATGGCACAGAGTATGGGAACCCAGACAGAACTGGGTAGTCTTACTGAGTTAGCAAAGAGAAATCCGAATTTAGAGAGCCCACAGTGCTATATTTCAGCCAGAGAGCAGTGAGCTGCATGGAGAGAAAGGACCCTAGAAACCTGCAGAGGTTTCCTTCAAGTTTTTACTTTTTTTTTTTTTTTTTTGAGATGGAGTTTCATTCTTGTCGCCCAGGCTCAAGTGCAATGGCACAGTCTCAGCTCACTGCAACCTCTGCCTCTCGGGTTCAAGCGATTCTCCTGCCTCAGCCTCCTGAGTAGCTGGGATTACAGCCACCACGCCTGGCTAATTTTTTTGTATTTGGGTTTCACCATGTTGGCCAGGCTGGTCTCGAACTCCTGAGCTCAAGCAGTTCTTCTGCCTTGGCCTCCCAAAGTGCTGGGATTATAGGCATGAGCCACCATACCTAGCTTCCTTAAAGTTTGGCTGAGTACTGAGATCCTATACAGGTGAGAGGAAACCCCACCTGAGGCCTGAAACAACTACAGGCAGACCTTGTTTCCTTGTGCTTCACTTTATTGCACTCCACAGACCCTGCATCAAGCAAGTCTTATGAATGAGCAAAGAAAGTGGTTTCTTGAGATGGAATCTACTCCTGGTGAAGAAGCTGTGAACACTGTTGAAATTACAGCAAAGAATTTAGAATATTCCATAAACTTAGTTGATAAAGCAGTGGCAGGGTTTGAGAGGACCAATTTCAATTTTGAACATTTTACTTTGGGTAAAATGCTACCAAACAGCATTGAATGCTACAGAGAACTCTTTCATGAAAGGAAGAGTCCAATGATATAGCAAACTTCATTGTTGTCTTAGTTTAAGAAGTTGCCACAGCTACCCTAACCTTCAGCAACTCCCACCGTGATCACCCAGCAGCCATCAACATCAAGGCAAGACCCTCCACCAGCAAAAAGCTTAGGATTCACTGAGGGCTCAGATCAATTATTAAAACACGTTAGCAAAAAGCATTTTTAAATAAGATGTGTCCTTTTTTAGACATAATGACATAATGCTATTGCACACATAATAGACTACAGTATAGTGCAAACATAACTTTTATATGCACAGGGAAACCAAAATGTTTGTGTGGCTCTCTTTATTGTGATATTCACTTTATTGTGATGGTCTGGAACTGAGTCCACAACATCTCCAAGGTGTGTCTGTACTTGAAAGAAGTAGGCAGAACAATGAATAAAATATACACAGGTCTAGGAGGAGTTTGTGTCCCCATAAGCCAGAGTGAAACAACTTCATAAGACAAGGGGCATCGAGAAGAATCCTTAGAAGAGTGTGGACTTAATAATGGGACTAAGTTAGCCCTAGACAAAGTGTATCTATGGATACATCCTAACAATTCTTTTTTTTTTTCCTTTTTTTTCTTTTTTTGAGACGGAGTCTCGCTCTGTCACCCAGGCTGGAGTGTAGTGGTGTGATCTCGGCTCACTGCAACCTCCGCCTCCTGGGTTCAAGTGATTCTCCTGGCTCAGCCTCCCAAGTAGCTGGAATTACAGGCATGTGCCACCACGCCCGGCTTATTTTTGTATTTTTAGTAGAGACAGGGTTTCATCATGTTGGCCAGGCTGGTCTCGAACTCCTGACCTCAGGTAATCCACCTGCCTCGGCCTCCCAAAGTGCTGGGATTACAGGCGTGAGCCACCGTGCCCAGCAGATCCATCCTAACAATTCTTAAAGTCAAGTCTCAAAAAGTTCAAACCACTGTGAACCAGAACCAAATCTAACACTATTTAAAGGAATACAACAAAACCCAGCAACTACCAATGTAAAAGTCTCCATTTCCAGCATCCAATAACAAACTACCAGGCATGCAGAGAAGCAGAAAAAATATAACCGATAGGCAAGAGACAAGCCAGTCAATAGAGACTGAGAAATGGCAAAGGTGATGGAACTATCAACAGGTAAGTTAACATGGCTACTATTAAATATGGTCCATTTCTTCAAGAAGACAGAGGAAAATATAAGCATGATGAGGAGAGTTGCAGAAAAAAATTTAAAATACAGTATTAGAAATTCTAGAGAAGAAAAATATAATATCTGAAATAAAAATCCGTTGGAATGGATTAACATTAGATTAGATACTGCAGGACAAAAGATTGGTGAGCTTGAAGAAATAGCAATAGAAATTATCCAAAATGAAGCACAGAGAGAAAAATGATAGGAAAAACAAAACAAAAGAAGAAAACATTAGCAACCAGTGAGAAAATATCAAGTGATCTAACATATATGCAGTTGGAGCATCAGAAGAAAGGATGGTGAAAAAATAAGGCCTAAAATTTTGTCAAAGCTGAGAACTATAAACCCTCAGATACAAGAAGTCCAAAGAACCATAGCTGGATAAATAGGAAGAAAACAACACCACATCACATCATAATCAAATTGCTAAAAACCAGTGATAAAGAAAATCCCTTAAAAGACAGTGAAAGACAAATTATGTATAGAGAACAAAGGAAAGAATGACAGTATATTTCTCATCGGAAGCTTCACAAACCTGAAGACACTGAAGAGACATCTTTAAAGCCCTGAATAATCTGCCAGTGTAGAATTCCTTACCTACCAAAAATAACTTTCCAGTGTTATTTGGACAACAACTCTTTCAGATAAACAAAAGCTTAGAAAATTCAAAAACTTTATAATTTTTCTCATTTTTGATTATTTGAAAGAAAATTATTGGCCAGGTGCAGTGGCTCACACCTGTAATTCTAGCACTTTGGGAGACCAAGGTGGGTGGATCACGAGGTCAGGGGTTCGAGACCAGCCATGACCAATATGGTGAAACCCTGTCTCTACTAAAAATACAAAAATTAGCCAGGTGTGGTGGCACACACCTGTAATCCCAGCTACTCAGGAGGCTGAGGCAGGGGAATTGCTTGAACCCGGGAAGCAGAGGTTGCAGTGAGCCGAGATCGCGCCACTGCACTCCAGCCTGAGCAACGGAGTGAGACTCCATCTCAAAAAAAAAAAAGAAAAAGAAAATTCTCTGTTCAATCAAATATAATGTAGGTTGTGTAGCATATTTTTAAGTAAAATGTACGACAAAAATGACAAAAGATAGGAAAGAGGAAATGGAGGTATGAGATTCTTACATAATACATGAAGCTGTATAATATTATTTAAAGGTGGAATGTGATAAGACAAAAGTGTATATTGTAAAATTCAGAGCAATTGATTAAAAAATAAAGAGATATGGCTATAATGGCATTTAATGAAGATAAAATTAAATCATACAAATCAATTCAAAAGAAAGCAGAAAAAGGAAAAAATAAAGAGCAGGTACAACAAATGAAAAACAAATAGATTCATAGTGGGCACAAACCCAACCATATCCATGATTAGACCAAATGTAAATGGTCTAAACACTTCTGTAAAAGGCAGAGATTATCACCTGATGCAGTGGCATGTCCTGCAGTCCCAGCTACTCAGAGGCTGAGGCGGGAGGATTGCTTGAGGTTGGCAGTTCAAGGCTACAGTGTGCTATGACTGTGCCAGTGAATAACCGCTGCATTCCAACCTGACTGACATAGCAAGACCCAATCTCTTAAAAAAAGAAAAAGGGCAGAGGTTATCTAGTTAGATAATATAATCATTTATGGAAAGTTCAACTATATATTACCTACAAGAAAACTTCCTTAAAAATAAAGACACAGATAAAGTAAAAGGATAGGAGAAAATGTACCATAAAAAATACTAATCAAAGGAAAGCTAGAGAAGAACAAAATTGAAGGACTCATGCTTACTAATTTCAAAACCTTACAAACAAAGCTAACAGTAATCAAAACAATGTGATACTGATATAAAAATAGGCATATAGGCTGGGCGCGATGGCTCACGCCTGTAATCCCACCACTTTGGGAGGCGAAGGTGGGGGATCACAAGGTCAGGAGTTCGAGACCAGCCTGGCCAACATGGTGAAACCCGTCTCTACTAAAAATAGGAAAATTAGCCAGCCTTTGTGGTGCACACCTGTAGTCCCAGCTACTCAGGAGGCTGAGGCAGAAGAATCACTTGAACCCGGGGGGCAGAGGTTGCAGTAAGCTGAGATCGTGCCGCTGCACTCAAGCCTGGGTGACAGAGCAAGACTCCGTCTCAAAAAAAAAAAAAAAAAAAAAAAGGCATATAGATCAATGGAATAGAATTCAGAGTCCATAAATAAACCCATACATCTATGGTCAATTGATTATCACCCAGGGTGAAAAGGCCATCAAACGGGGAAAGAATACTCTGTTCAATAAATGGTGCTGGGACAACTGGATATACACATGCAGAAGAATGAAGTTGGATTCCTATTCACACCATATACAAAAATTAACTCAAAATGGATCAACTTAAATATAAGAGCTAAAACCATAAAATTCTTACAAAAAAAAACATAGGGGCAAATCTTTATGATCATGGATTTGGCAGTGAAAGATAGGACATCAAAACACATGAAACTAAAGAAAAATAGATAAATTGAGCTTCATCAAAATTAAATACTTTAGTGCAACAAAGGACACCATGAAGAAAGTGAAAAGAGTCTACATAATGAGAGAAAATATTTGCAAATCATATAGCTGATAAGGGGCTAACATCAGAATATATAAATAATGCTTACAACTCACCAAAAAGACAAAACAGCACCATTTAAAAATAGGCAAAACCCAGTTAAAAATTTGAATAGACATCTCTCCAAAGAAGATATTAAATGGCCAACATGCATACATAGGGATGCTCAACATCATTAGTCATTAGGAAAATGCAGATCAAAACCACATTGAGATATCACTTCACACCTACAAGAATGGCTACGGTTGAAGTGGGGAAAGTGTTGGAGGATGTCTTAGTCCGTTTGTGTTGCCATACAGGAATACTTGAGGCTGGGTAATTTATAAAGAAAAGAGGCTTATTTGTCTCATGTTTCTGCAGGCTGTACAAGAAGCATGGTGCCAGTATCTGCTTCTGGTGAGGGCTTCAGATTGCTTCTGCTCATGGTGGAAGGTAAAGCTGAAGTGACATGTGCAGGGATCACATGGAAGAAATAGAGAGGGGGAAATGCCTAGTTTTTTTCATTTATGTTTGTTTTTGAGACAAAGGGCAAGGTCTTGCTCTGTCACTCAGGCTGGAGTGCAGTGGCATGTTCACAGCTCACTGCAGCCTTGACCTCCTGGGGTCAAGTGATCCTCCTGCCTCAGCCTCCTAAGTAGCTGGGACCACAGGCGTACACCACCACGCCCAACTAAGTAAAAAACAATTTTTTTTTGTAGAGATGGGGTCTCCCTATGTTGCTCAGGCTGGTCTCAAACTCCTGGGCTCAAGTGATCTCCCGCCTTGGCCTCCCAAAGTGCTGGGATTACAGGCATGAGTCACCACAACTGGCCCCAAATTTTTTTTAACAACCAGCTCTTGCGGGAACTAATAGAGCAAGAGCTCATTCATTACTGCAAGAAAGGCAGCAAGACATTCATGAGGGATCCGCCCCTATAACCAGAAACACCTCCCATTAGGCCCCACCTCCAGCATTGGGAATGAAATTTCAACCTGAAGCTTGAGGGGACTTAACATCCAAACTGCAGCAGGAGGATGTGGAAAAATTGGAACCCTTGTACATTGCTGATAGGGATGGAAAATTGTGCAGCCACAGCAGAAAACAATGTGATGGTTCTCAATAAGTTAATCGTAGAATTACCATATGACCCAGCAGTTGCAGCCCTGCACACTTACCCAAAATTGTAGAAAACATTTTGGCTATTCACAATAACCAAAAAGTGGAGATAATACAAATTTTCATTTACTGATGAAGGGGTAAACAAAATGCAGCATATATATACAATGGAATATTATTCGTACATAAAAAGGAATAAGGTACCAATATGTACTACAACATGGATAAACCTTGAAAACATTATAAATGAAATAAGTCAGACACAAAAGGCAAAATGCTGTATGATTCCATTTTTACGCAGTGTCCAGAAGAGGCAAATCCATAAAGATAGAAAGCAAATTAGTGCTTGCCAGGGGAAGAGGGGAGTGGGGAAGGGGAGTGGCTGTTTAAAGGGTTGTGGGTTTGTTTTTGGTGTTATGAAAAGATTCTGGAACTAGATAGTGGTGATGGGTACACAACACTGTTAAAGTACTAAATGTTACTAATTGTAAATATTACATATATCACAAGAAAAAATAAAAGAAAGCTAGGTAGCTATATTAATATCAGATGAAGTAGATATTAGGACAATGACTGATACCAGGGAGAAAGAGAGACATATCATAATGATAAAAGGCTCAATTAATTGGCCGGGCACAGTGGCTAACACCTGTAACCCCAGCCCTTTGGGAGGCTGAGGCTGGCAGTTCACATGAGGTCAGGAGTTCAAGACCAGCCTGGCCAACATGGTGAAACCCCATCTCTACTAAAAATACAAAAAGTTAGCTGGGCATGGTGGTGCACACCTGTAGTCCTAGCTACTCAGGAGGCTGAGGCAGGAGAACCGCTTGAACCCAGGAGGCAGAGGCTGCAGTGAAACAAGATTGCACTACCGCACTCCAGCCTGGGTGACAGAGTGAGACTCCATCTCAAAAAAAAAAAAAAAAAAGACTCAACTAATCAAAAGGATTATAAATATAAACATGTGTGTATCTAATAACAGTTTCAAAATACACAAGGCAAAAGCTGATAGAAGTAAGAAGAGAACTGGACAAATTCACCTTTATAGTTGGAGGTCTCAACACTTCTCTGTCAATAATTGATAGAACAAGTAGACAAAAAATGGATAAGGATATAGAAGACTTGGCCGGGCACGGTGGCTCACGCCTGTAATGGGGAGGCCAAGGCAGGTGGATCATGAGGTCAGGAGTTCAAGACCAACCTGGCCAACATGATGAATCCCCGTCTCTACGAAAAATACAAAAATTAGCTGGACGTGGTTGTGGACCTGTAATCCCAGCTATTCGGGAGGCTGAGGCAGGAGAATTGCTTGAATCCAGGAGGCAGAGGTTGCAGTGAGCCAAGATCGTGGCACTGCACTCCAGCCTGGGTAACAGTGAGACTCTGTCTCAGAAAAAAAAACACAACACCACCAATCAACTTGCCTAAAATGACATTTATACAATACTCCACCCAACAACATGAGACTACATATTCTTTTTAAATGCCCACAAAACATCCACAAAGATGGACTATGTTCTGGGCTATACAGGGAGTCTCACTAAATGTAAGGAAGGTTGTAATTATACAAGGCATGTTTCTGGTCATGGGGAGGATCCCTCATGACTGTCTTGTGCCTTTCTTGCAGTAATGAATGAGCTCTTGCTCTATTAGTTCCCACAAGAACTGGTTGTTAAAAAAAACTTGGGGCCAGGCGTGGTGACTCATGCCTGTAATCTCAGCACTTTGGGAGGCCAAGGTGGGAGGATCACTTGAGCCCAGGAGTTTGAGACCAGCCTGAGCAACATAGGGAGACCCCATCTCTACAAAAAAAAAATCGTTTTTTACTTAGTTGGGCGTGGTGGTGTGCACCTGTGGTCCCAGCTACTAAGGAGGCTGAGGCAGGAGGATCACTTGACCCCAGGAGGTCAAGGCTGCAGTGAGCTGTGATCATGCCACAGCGCTCCAGCCTGAGTGACAGAGCAAGACCTTGTCCTTTGTCTCAAAAACAAAAACAAATGAAAAAAACTAGGCATATCCCCCCTCTCTCTTGCTTCTATGTGATCCCTGCACATGTCAGTTCAGCTTTACCTTCCACCATGAGCAGAAGCAGTCTGAAGCCCTCACCAGAAGCAGATACTGGCACCATGCTTCTTGTACAGCCTGCAGAAACATGAGACAAATAAGCCTCTTTTCTTTATAAATTACCCAGCCTCAAGTATTCCTGTATGGCAACACAAACGGACTAAGACATCCTCCAACACTTTCCCTACTTCAAATGTAGCCATTCTTTTAGGTGTGATTTCCATGTTAGAATTAACCTAGTAATAACTGAAGGATAAAAACAACACACTGCTAAATAATTCATGTGCAAAGAATATATTACAAGTGAAATTAGAAAATACCTTGACTAGCATGAAAATGAAAACAATTTATCAAAATCTGTGGGCTGCAGCTAAGGCAGTGTTTACAGGGAAATTTATAACTTGAAACACATATTAGTCCAGTTGTGGTGCCTCACGCCTATAATCCTAACACTTTGCGAGGCCGAGGCAGGCGGAGTACTTGAACTCAGGAGTTAGAGACCAGCCAGGGCAACGTGGCAAAACCCCGTCTCTACTAAAAATACAAAAAATTAGCCGGGCAGGGTGGCACGGGCCTGTAATCCCAGCTACACGGGAGGCTGAGTCATGAGAATAGCTTGAACCTGGGAGGTGGAGATTACAGTGAGCCGAAATCATGCCACTGCACTCCAGCCTGGGTGACAGACTCTGTCTCCAAAAAGAAAAAAGTAAAAGAAAAAACACATATCAGAAAAAATGTAAGATCACAGATTAATGATTTACCAACTTAAGAATTAAGTACAAGTGCAAGAAAGGAAGGAAACAATAAGAGTAGAAATGGATGGCATAGAATATGGAAAATAGAGGAAAATCAAAACCTGGCTCTTTGAAAAATATGAATAGCATTAATAAACCTCTCTAACCAGACCAAATCAGGAAAAAAGAAAGACACACATTATTAATATCAGGAATGAAAGGGAAGATATCACGACAAACCTGACAGACATTTTTTTTCTTGAGACAGGGTCTCACTCTGTTGTCCAGGCTAGAGTGCAGTGGCACCATCATAGCTTCCTGCAGTTTTTTTTTTTTTTCTCTTTTGAAACGGAGTTTCCACTCTTGTTGCACAGGCTGGAGTTCAGTGGCGCAATCTCAGCTCACTGCAACCTCCACCTCCTGGGTTCAAGCTATTCTCCTGCCTCAGCCTCCCGAGTAGTTGGGATTACAGGCACGCACCACCACACCCGGCTAACTTTTTGTATTTTTAGTAGAGATGGGGTTTTACCATGTTGGCCAGGCTGGTCTCAAACTCCTGACTTCAAGTGATCTGCCCTTCTCAGCCTCCCAAAGTGTTGGGATTACAGGTGTGAGCCACTGCACCCAGTATAGCTTCCTGCAGGCTTGACCTCCCAGTCTTGAGTGATCCTCCCACCTCAGCCTCCTGAGTAGCTGGGTCTACAGAAGTGTGCACCCATTTCTAGCTAATTTTTGTATTTTTAATATAAACAGGGTTTCACTGTGTTGCCTAGGCTATCTGGAACTCCTGGGCTCAAGGGATCCTCCTGCCTTGGCCTCTCAAAGTGCTGGGATTACAGGCATGAGCCACCATGCCTGGGCTAGACATTTTTTTAAAGTTAAAGGAATACCATGAAAATGTTTATACTAATAAATTTGACACCTTAAAGGAAATGAACAAATCCCTTGAAAGGCATAAACTACCAAATTTCACTCAAGAAAAAACAGGTAACTTGAATAGCCCTGTGTTTTTTGAAGAAATTGAATTCATAATTGGATAGCCCTATATCTATTACAGAAATAATTGCCTAGATATAATACTAAATATACATAAAGTCTCCCAGAGAATTGAAGAGGAGGGAGTCCCTCCAAAACCATTTTATAAAATTACCGTTACTTTGATATGAAACCAGACAAATCTATTACAAGGAGAAAAAACTACAGACCAATATCTCTAATAAATATTGTTGCAATAATTTTTAACAAAATTTCAGCAAACTGAATCTAGCACAATACAGCAAGAATAACAGCTTATGACCAAGTGGGATGCATCCCAAGAATGCAAGATAAGTTTAACATTTGGAAGTCAATCAATGCAATTCGACATGTGAAGTTGAAAAAAATCAAAAAACAAAACCATTTCATTGCCTCGTTAGATTCAGAAAAAGCATTTGACAAATATGGGACCCAGTCAAGACAGAAATTCTCAGCAAACTACCAATAAAAGAAAAACTGGAAGCATTCCCTTTGAAAACTGGCACAAGACAGGGATGCCCTCTCTCACCACTCCTATTCAACATAGTGTTGGAAGTTCTGGCCAGGGCAATTAGGCAGGAGAAGGAAATAAAGGGTATTCAATTAGGAAAAGAGGAATTCAAATTGTCCCTGTTTGCAGATGACATGATTGTATATCTAGAAAACCCCATTGTCTCAGCCCAAAATCTCCTTAAGCTGATAAGCAACTTCAGCAAAGTCTCAGGATACAAAATCAATGTACAAAAATCACAAGCATTCTTATACACCAATAACAGACAAACAGAGAGCCAAATCATGAGTGAACTCCCATTCACAATTGCTTCAAAGAGAATAAAATACCTAGGAATCCAACTTACAAGGGATCTGAAGGACCTCTTCAAGGAGAACTACAAACCACTGCTCAATGAAATAAAAGAGGATACAAACAAATGGAAGAACATTCCATGCTCATGGGTAGGAAGAATCAATATCGTGAAAATGGCCATACTGCCCAAGGTAATTTAGAGATTCAATGCCATCCCCATCAAGCTACCAATGACTTTCTTCACAGAATTGGAAAAAACTACTTTAAAGTTCATATGGAACCAAAAAAGAGCCCGCATCGCCAAGTCAATCCTAAGCCAAAAGAACAAAGCCAGAGGCATCACGCTACCTGACTTCAAACTACACTACAAGGCTACAGTAACCAAAACAGCATGGTACTGGTACCAAAACAGAGATATAGATCAATGGAACAGAACAGAGCCCTCAGAAATCATGCCGCATATCTAAGACCATCTGATCTTTGACAAACCTGAGAAAAACAAGCAATGGGGAAAGGATTCCCTATTTAATAAATGGTGCTGGGAAAACTGGCTAGCCATATGTAGAAAGCTGAAACTGGATCCCTTCCTTACACCTTATACAAAAATTAATTCAAGATGGATTAAAGACTTACATGTTAGACCTAAAACCATAAAAACCGTAGAAGAAAACCTAGGCAATACCATTCAGGACATAGGCATGGGCAAGGACTTCATGTCTAAAACACAAAAAGCAATGGCAACAAAAGCCAAAATTGACAAATGGGATCTAATTAAACTAAAGAGCTTCTGCACAGCAAAAGAAACTACCATCAGAGTGAACAGGCAACCTACAAAATGGGAGAAAATTATCTCAACCTACTCATCTGACAAAGGGCTAATATCCAGAATCTACAATGAACTCAAACAAATTTACAAGAAAAAAACAAACAACCCCATCAAAAAGTGGGCGAAGGATATGAACAGACACTTCTCAAAAGAAGACATTTATGCAGCCAAAAAACACATGAAAAAATGCTCATCATCACTGGCCATCAGAGAAATGCAAATAAAAACCACAATGAGATACCATCTCACACCAGTTAGAATGGTGATCATTAAAAAGTCAGGAAACAACAGGTGCTGGAGAGGATGTGGAGAAATAGGAACACTTTTACACTGTTGGTGGGACTGTAAACTAGTTCAACCATTGTGGAAGTCAGTGTGGTGATTCCTCAGGGATCTAGAACTAGAAATACCATTTGACCCAGCCATCCCATTACTGGGTATATACCCAAAGGATTGTAAATCATGCTGCTATAAAGACACATGCACACGTATGTTTATTGTGGCACTATTCACAATAGCAAAGACTTGGAACCAACCCAAATGTCCAACAACGATAGACTGGATTAAGAAAAGGTGGCACATATACACCATGGAATACTATGCAGCCATAAAAAATGATGAGTTCATGTCCTTTGTAGGGACATGGATGAAACTGGAAACCATCATTCTTAGCAAACTATCGCAAGGACAAAAAACCAAACACCGCATGTTCTCACTCATAGGTGGGAACTGAACAATGAGAACACATGGACACAGGTAGGGGAACATCACACTCTGGGGACTGTTGTGGGGTGGGGGGAGAGGGGAGGGATAGCATTAGGAGATATACCTAATATTAAATGACAAGTTAATGGGTGCAGCACACCAACATGGCACATGTATACATATGTAACTAACCTGCACATTGTGCACATGTACCCTAAAACTTAAAGTGTAATAATAATAAAATTTAAAAAAAAACACACAGGAAAACAAATAAACAAAAGAAACCGTAGAAGGTATTTAGGTGGGGTGGGGGAAGGGGTTGTCACTTTTTATTTCATACACTTCTGTATCATTTGAATTTCTAAAAAAAGTTTGTATCAGGATTGTTAACAAAAAATGAATAAGAGAAAATAAATAAGTTTAGAAGGGTCAAAAAAAAAGAGAGAAACTGCTCAACTTGATAAAGGATAACTGTGTTACGACTAAACCTAACATCATGCTGGGTGGTGAATCCATAAGGGTCTGCAGCAACCTCAGTTCTTGCCTCCTCAGATGAAATAATTCGACTAAGTGACAGAAGGCAGAGTGTGAGACTGAGGCAAGTTTTAGAGCAGGAGTGAAAGCTTATTAAAAAGCTTTAGAGCAGGAATGCAAGGAAGTAAAGTACACTTGGAAGAGGGTCAAGTGGGTGACTTGAGAGATCAAGTGCAGTTTCACCTTTGACTTGGGATTTTATACATTTGTGTGCTTCTGGGGTCTTGCATCCCTTCTCTGATTCTTCCCTTGAGGTGGGCTGTCCAAGTGCGCAGTGGCCTGTCAGCGCTTCGAAGGGGTCACACGTGCAGTGTGTTTACTGGAGTTGTATGCATGCTCACTTGAGGCATTCTTCCCTTACCAAAGGTTCCTAGGTCATAGGCCAGTTAAATGCCGCCATTTTTGCCTTCAGTGCACATATGTGAGCCCACTCGCCCTACTCCTGAGATTTTATTGGGAAGCTGCTGATCGCATTTCAGGTTTTTTCTGTCTATTGGGAGGCTGCCCCTTCCTGGTGCCAGTTGCAACCAATTATTATTTTAGAGTGACAGTTAACAACCATCTGACCATCACCTGCTGGTTGCCTGATATTCCTGGGGGAGGGCAAGGGGCCCTCTCCTGCCCTGCTCATGCCTGACCAGCTACCTACTGTAACAATACTTAATGGTAAAAGACTGAATGTTCCCTCTAACACAGGGAACAAGGCAAGAATGTCTGTCTGCTCTCGCCACTTGTATTCAGTATTGACTGGAGATCAACTGCCAGTATAGTAAGGCAAAACAAATAAATAAAAGGAAATAAAAGGCATAAATATTGGAAAGAAACAAAATGGTCTTTATTTGCAGATGACATGATTATGTAAATAGAAATTCATAAAGAATCTATAAATAAGGTATTAATAAGCTTAGCAAGGTCACAGGATTCAAGGTCAATGTACCAGTATGCATTTCTATATATTAGGATCAAACAGTTAAAAATTGAAATTAAAAAATCAATACCATTTACGATAGCATTCAAAACTATGAAATACGGCCAGGTGCAGTGGCTCACGCCTGTAATGTCAGCACTTTAGGAGGCCGAGGCAGGTGGATCACCTGAGGTCAGGAGTTCAAGACCAGCCTGGCCAACAAGGCAAAACCCCATCTCTACTAAAAATACAAAAATTAGCTGGGTGTGGTGGCGGTCACCTATAGTCCCAGCTACTCAGGAAGCTGAGGCAAGAGAATCACTTGAACCCGTGAGGCAGAGGTTGCAGTGAACCAAGATCACACCACTGCACTCCAGCCTGGGTGACAGAGCGAGACCCCATCTCAAAAAAACAAAAAACAAAAAAACCTATGAAATATTAAAGATAAATTTAACAAAATATGTGCAAGACCTGAACCTGGGAAACTACAAACCTTTTTGAGAGAAATTAAAGAAGACCTAGATAAACGAAAAGAGATACCATGTTCTTGGATGTAAGATTAATATTGTTAAGATGTCAATTATCCACAAATTGATTTATAGATAAAATAAAATTCTTGACAGAGTCTCACTCTGTCGCCCAGGCTGGAGTGCAAAGGCATGATCTCAGCTCACTGCAAGTTCTGCCTCCTGGGTTCAAGCAATTCTCCTGCCTTAGCCTCCCAAGTAGCTGGGGTTACAGGCACCTGCTATCACCCCCGGCTAATTTGTTGTATTTTTAGTAGAGACAGGGTTTCACCATGATGGCCAGGTTGGTCTTGAACTCCTGACCTCAAGTGATTCGCCTGCCTTGTTCTCCCAAAGTGCTGGGATTATGTGAGCCACTGCGCCTGGCCAATTTATAGATTAAATAAAATCTAATGAAAATTCTACTAGCCATTTTTTTGGGGTAGAGTTTGACAAGCTGATTGTAAAATGTATTTTAAATCTTAAATAATGCAAGTGACCTTGAATAGCCAAAACAACTTTGATAAAGGGATTAAATTGGTGGATTCATATTACTGGATTACAAGAATTCCTATAAAGTTGTGGCAATTAAGATAATGTGGTTTTGGTGTCAGGATCTATATATCAAGGGAACACAATAGAGAATCTTGAAATAGACCTGTACATATATGGTCACTTGAGTTTTAACAAAAATGACATGGGAATTCAATAGCAGAAAGGAAAGTTCTTTATTTTTTAATTTTTGAGACAGAGTCTTGCTCTACTGCCCAGGCTGGAGTGCAGTGATGCGATCTTGGCTCACTGCAGACTGGTCCTCTGGGGTTCAAGTGATCTTCCCACTTTAGTCTCCCAAGTAGCTGGGACTACAGGCATGCACCACCACACTGGCTAACTTTCATATTTTTTGTAGAGATGCATTTTCCCTGTGTTGCCCAGGCTGTTCTCAAACTCCTGGGCTCAAGTGATCTGCCCACCTCAGCCTCCCGGAGTGCTGGGATTACATGTGTGAGCTACCACGCCCAGCTGAAAAGTCTTTTTAACAAATGGTTTTGGAACAAATGTGTAGCCATATGCAACTACAACAGTAACAGCAAAATCAACCTTGACCTTCTTATCTCATGCCACACAAGAATTAACTAGCAATTAATCACAGACTTAATGACAAGAGCTAAAACTAAAATTTCTAGATGATAACAGTGGAGGAAATCTTTGTGACCTTGAGTTAGGCAACACTCAGGTAAGATACAGAAAACATAAGAATAAGTACCATAAAAGAAATTACTGGTGAATTCGATTTAATAAAAATTAGAAACTTCTACTCTTCAAGAGAAACTGTCAAGAAAATTAAAAGTCAAGCCTTAGGCAACACATATCTGATAAATAACTCATACTTATAAGAAACAACTTTTACAACTCAGTAACAAAAAGCAGAAATAGGTAAAATATTGCAAAATTGAATGAGCATTTCACTAAGGAAGATATACAAATGGCAAATAAACGCTAATGTTCAAAGTTATTGGCCTTTAAGGAAGCACAAATTATAATTTTGCTCACTAGAATGCCTAAAGTTACAAAAACTGGCATTGCCTGTTGTCAGCGAGAATGTGGAGCAATGGATCTTTCACACATTGCTCATGGGAATGTAAAAAGGTCCAAACCTTTTAGGAAACACTATGGCAGTTTCTTGTAAAGTTGAACATTACACTATATACTGGTCTTATGATCCAGTAATTCTATTCCTCAGCATTTACCCAAAATAAATAAAAACATAGCCAGGCACGGTGGCTCATGCCCGTAATCCCAGCACTTTTGGAGGCCAAGGCGGGCAGATCATTTGAGGTCAGGAGTTTGAGACCAGCCTGGCCAACATGGTGAAACCCTGTCTCTACTAAAATTACAAAAATTAGCCAGGTGTGGTGGTGGGTGCTTGTAATCCCAGCTACTTGGGAGGCTGAGGCAGAAGATTGGCTTGAACCCGGGAGGCGGAGGTTGTGGTGAGCTGAGACTGTGCCACTGCACTCCAGCCTGGGTGACAGAGTGAGAGACTCTGTCTCAAAAAATAAATAAATAGCTGGGCGCGGTGGCTCACGCCTGTAATTCCAGCACTTTGAGAGGCTGAGGAGGGCAGATCACAAGGTCAGGAGTTCAAGACGAGCCTGACCAACATGGTTGAAACCTGGTCTCTATAAAAATACAAAAACTAGCTGGGTGTGGTGGCATGTCCCTGTAATCCCAGCTACTCCAGAGGCTGAGGCAGGAGAATCGCCTGAACCCGGGAGGTGGAGGTTGCAGCGAGCCAAGATCGCATCACTGCAATGGGTGAGCCTGGGTGACAGAGTGAGACTCTGTCTCAAAAAAAATAAAAAATAAAAATAAATAATAAAAACGTATGTCCACACAAAAACCTATCTGTACATAAATGTTCACGAGACCCATTATTCATAATAGTCCAAAACTGGAAACACCCCAAAACACCTCCCAAGTAGCTGGGATTACAGGAGTGCACTACCATGCCCAGCTAATTTTTTTTATTTTTATTATTTTTTGAGATGGAGTCTCGCTCTGTCTCCCAGGCTGGAGTGCAGTGGCATGAGCTTGGCTCACTGAAACCCCGTCTCTACTAAAAATACAAAAAAATTAGCTGGGCACGGTGATGTGCGCCTGTAGTCCCAGCTACTCGGAAACTGAGGAAGGAGAATTGTTTGAACCTGGAGGCAGAGGTTGCAGTGAGCCAAGATCATGCCACTGCACTCCAGCCTGGGTGACAGAGTGAGACCCTGTCACAAAAAAAAAAAAAAAAAAAAAAAAAAAGGAAAGAAAAAAGAAAGCTACCATTATAAGGATGAATGTACAAATATATGATGCAGACTGGGCTGGATCAGTGTCTCCTGGTCTGAGGGTGGTGGTAGGGGGATGGAGGCTGGAGCTGGGCCTCAAAGACAGGAGGGAGAAACTGTCCAGAATGAGGTGCTCACGGTCTGTAGTGAGGGAACCCTCGGCAGTGCTGATCGGCTGGAGCACAGAGCCTGATTTGGAAATACTAAGATAGCAAAAAGATTGGAAATATATTTTGAGCATAAACTGTAGCTTAGACTTCTATACTAAGATATTGGCATTTGTTCTCTTTATAATGAGAAGCCATTGATAGCTTTAGAGGTGTGAAATGAGTGTTTTGAGGTTAACAGTCTGACAGATTGTGCAGGGTCAGTGGGTTTTATGTTAAAGTGACACATTCAGAATGGTTTTATACACAAGCCTAGATGTGAATAAAGCAAATTCCTTAAGGTATGATACATTTTGTGTCTTTCCCACCTATATTGGCATGCGTTTCTCTGATATGTGTACTCAGAGTCCCTGACCCAGCACCCAAAGTCATGATGAATCTTTCCTGGCTTTTTATCAGGCCTTGCCATGAGAGTGACCATTAAAGGTCAGAGAGCCATACGGCCTCTCCCAGGGATACTGGGCTGGCCTGGGAATTGAGGAATTCACTCTGCATCCAAGAACCACATTTCCCCAGCTGTAAGATGGCAGAGAATAATGTTTGTGTCCCAATGAAGTTCTAACACACAGTGTTCTCAGATGACGGGCAGCATTTTGAAAGTAACATGTGACTGTGTAATTTATGCTCTTTGAATTTGCAGTGAGACTATTTGTGGCAGTACAATGTCTATCCATGCTCCTAATTAGAAGTTTTCCAGAACAGCTCATGTGTCTGAATTAGAAATATTTGTCACGGGGCATTAAATGCGGTATTTAGCTGTTAGGTGATTTTTTCAATAGAACTTTGTTAAAGACCAGATATAATGTGTCATTGTTTCTTTTGTGATTCTGGATTCTTTTTGAGAACTAAATGTTTAAGCAGTAAAGAGCTGAGACACCCTATGGGTAAGATCCTTTATAAATCAGCCCATTACACCGTGAATTCACTTACATTGTTGGTCAATGACGTCATGTAAGGATCAGATTATGCTTTTCTGTTTGGGTGTGTTTTGTGTTGATTTGTCAAGCCTGGAGGGTTGGCCACCAGGAAGAAGTTGAAATGGTCACTGAAATCCCCTGGCTGTGATTGTCACAAACTTGGGTCTGAGATACACAGAAACACTTGCCTGTCATCAGGCTGAAGCTTTCAGCTCAGACTGTACCAGTGCCTGTTGGAAACATAAATGAAAGCATTTTTACAAGTCATCAACAAAATATCCAATAGCCTAATAAAAAGATGGGCAAAAGACTCGAACAGACATTTCTCCAAAGATGATATCCTAATAGCCAATGAGGACACATGAAAAGATGCTCAACTTCCCCAATTTCATTAGAGAAATGCAAATCAAAACCACACTGAGCTATCACCTCACACTCATTGGGATGGCTACCATCAAAATACAAAACAAAACAAAACAAAAAACGGAAAATAACAAGTGTTGATGAGGATGTTGCAAAATTGAAGCCCCCGTGCACTGTTAGTGGGATTGTAAAATGGGGTAACTGCTATAGAAAACAGTATGAACAGTCCTCAAAAAATTAAAAATAGAACTACCATATGGCACAGCAATCTCACTTTTGAATATATATCCAAAAGAATTGAAAGCAGCATCTCAAAGAAATATTTGCACACTCATGTTCATAGCAGTGTTATTCACAATAGCCAAAAGATGGAAGCAAACCAAGTGTTTGACTGATAAACGGATAAACAAAATGTAGTATATACATACAATGGAATATTATCCAGCCTTAAAAAGGAAAGGCCAGACACAGTGGCTCATGCCTATGATTCTAGCACTTTGGGATGCCAAGGCAGGAGGACTGCCTGAGGCCAGGAGTTTGAGACCAGCCTGGGCAACATAGTGACAGCCCCCCATCTCTGCAAAAAACAAAAATTAGCTGGATGTGGTGGTGCATGCCTGTAGTCCCAGCTACTTAGGAGGCTGAGGCAGGAGGATGGCTTGAGCCCAGGAGTTCAAGACTACAGTGAGCTATGATTGTGCCACTGCACTCCAGCCTAGGCAACAGAGCAAGATCTTGTTTTTAAGAAAAAAATAAAAAGGAAAGAAATCCTGTCACATGCTACAACATGTATGAACCTTGAAGACATTGTGCTAAGTGAAATAAGCCAATCACAAAAGACAAATGCTATAGGATTGCACTTATATATCTACAGTCGTCAATTCATAGAAACAAAGTAGAATGTTGGTTACCCTGGGCTGAGGGGAGGCAAGGGGGAGTTGTTTAAAGGATATATACAGTTTCAGATTTGCAAGATGAAAAACTTCTGGAGATTGGTTTCACAGCAATGTGAATATACTTAACACACTGAACCATTTAATTAAAAATGATTAAGATGATAAATTTTATATGTTTCTACTACAATAAAAATTGCACAATAGATAATTGCATTAATAGCCCAATTTGTAGCCTCCTGTATTTATGTCCTTTGCCTTATAACTTCTTAGTCCCTTCACACACTGCCTCTGGGCTTGGCACATAAAGTACAGTCAAAAACAAGCTATGTAACTTCTGAGGCTAGGTCACAAAAAGGGTATTGTTTCTGCCTTGCCTGCTTTCTCAACTGGGACACTAACATTTGGTACCAAGCCAGCATGCTATGAAGACGCCCACAGTAGCCAACATGGAGACTACATTGAAGCAGTACAGGTATTGAGAACAGAGATGCCCCCAGCCCCACTCCCCACCCAGCTGGCTGCCAGCATCAGCTGCACCAAGGAAGATGTATGGATGGCAAATAAGCACATGAAAAGATACTCATCACCATTAGTCTTTACAGAAGTACAAATTAAAACCACAATGAGACACTGCTACTTACCTACTAGAATCACTGAAATTAAACAGACAACAGAGCAAGTGCTGGCAAGAATGTGGAAGAATTCACACTCTCATACACCAATGAAGGCAACCCAAAATGGTACTGTCACCGGTAGAGGGACGTGACTGCAAATTGTCCAGGTTCTTGGCGTTTTGAACAAAGAATTGGACAAAACACGCAGCAAAGAAAGAATGAAGCAACAAAAGAACGAAAGCAGCTCTCTCGGCTTTCGGCTCGGAGGAGGCCAAGGTGCAACTTTCTTCGGTCGTCTCGAATCCGGGTTCATCCGACACCAGCCGCCTCCACCATGCCGCCGAAGTTCCACCCCAATGAGATCAAAGTCGTATACTTCACGTGCACTGGAGTTGAAGTCGGTGCCACTTCTGCTCTGGCCCCCAAGATTGGCCCCGCGGGTCTGTCTCCAAAAGAGGTTGGTGATGACATTGCCAAGGTAACGGGTGACTGGAAGGGCCTGAGGATTACAGTGAAACTGACCATTCAGAACAGACAGGCCCAGATTGAAGTGGTACCTTCTGCCTCCGCCCTGATCATCAAAAGGAACTACCAAGAGACAGAAAGAAACAGAAAAACATTAAACACAGGGGGAATATCACTTTTTATGAGATCGTCAACATTGCTCGACAGATGCAGCACTGATCCTTAGCCAGAGAACTCTCTGGAACCATTAAAGAGATCCTGGGGACTGCCCAGTCTGTGGGCTGTAATGTTGATGGCCGCCACCCTCAGGACATCATAGATGACATCTACAGTGGTGCTGTGGAATGACCAGCCAGTTAAGCACAAAGGAAAATATTTCAATAAAGGATCATTTGACAACTGGTTAAAAAAGAACGAAAGCAGGGATTTATTGAAAATGAAAGTACACTCCACAGTGCGAGAGCGTGCTGAGCAGTGGCTCAAGGGCCCCGGATACAGAATCTTCTTGGGTCCAAATACCCTCTAGAAGTTTCCCATTGGCTACTTCATGCCCACCTCAGGTAAATGAAGTGGTAGCCCACAATCAGTCTGATTGATTGCAGAAAGCAGCCAACCAGAGGATGACGTGGTTACAAAAGTGACACTCCTGTGCAAACGTATGATTGGTTGCAGAAAGCAACCAATCAGAGGCTAGGGTGAAGTTACAAATTTATACTTCTATGCAAACGAAGACTCCGCCCGCAATCAGTCTGATTGGTTGTGGACAGCAACCAACCATTCGGAGGCTGGAGTGAAGTTACAAAGTTGCAAAGGAAGACTCAACCCGCAATCAGTCTGATTGGTTGCCAATTTCCCATGCCTGGCAGAAAAGGTGGGGGGTTTGCAAAGGGAGTAGCCTCTGGTCCTTTTGTGATTTAGGCATGTAAAGTTAGGGTTTTCCTTTCAGTTTAGTTCTAGGAATGCTGCGTGAAACAGCCTTAGGTTCCCTGCCTCCAATCCCTATATTCTCCTGCCTCAATACAACTACTTTCCAAAACAGTTTGGCAGTTTCTTAAACATTAATTATACACTTACCATATTATCCAGCTATTTCACTGCTAGTTGGTTCCTAAGAGAGAAGGAAGCTATATCCTTAGAAAGAGTTGTACATGATTGCTCGTAGCAATTTTATTTATAATAGCCAAAAACAAACGAAAAAAATCCCACATGCCCACTTATAAACTGTGGTGTATATTCTTTTTTTGTTTTGAACCTCACTCTGTCACCTAGGCTGGAGTGCAGTGGGGTGATCACAGCTCACTGCAGTCTTGGCCTCCTGGGCTCAAGCAATCCTGCCTTAGCCTCCTGAGTAGCTGGGATTACAGGCGCACGCCACCCCGCCCAGCTAATTTTGTATTTTTGAGTAGAGACAGGGTTTCCTCATGTTTGTCAGGCTTGTCCTCAACTCCTGACCTCAGGTGATCTGCCCGCCTTGGCCTCCAAAAGTGCTGGGATTACAGGCCTGAGCCACGGCGCCTGGCCAGGAGCAGAGGTTTAATAGGCGGAAGAAGGAGAAAGACAAAGGAAAATAGCTCTCTCTCTAGTGAGAAAGAAGGGACTTCCAAGAGGAAAAGGTCAGCTGGTGGATACGCCAGATTTTATAGTCCAGCTTGAGGAGGCCGTGTCTGATTTAGGTAGGGCTCACAGGTTTTTTGGGTCAGGTGTGACGTTTACATAGCACACAGGGAAGGCTGGTGGCCCCACTCTAATCTTATTATGCAAATGAACTCTCCACTTGGCCGGTGCCATCTTGTCTGCTCCTTACTGTACACGTGGCTGGCAGAGAAGGGGAGGTGCAGCCGCCATTTTGAACATGTCTAGTCCCAGGTAGTTCTTTCCTGTCGCATCCACCTGTGCAAGCTCCCGGCTTGCTTGTCTATGTCTGCAGCTTGACTTTACTGGCTGCTCTTTGTTAGAAAATGATTTGGGGCATGGCATGGTGGCTCACGCCTATAATCCCAGCACTTTGGGAGGCCGAGTCAGGTGGATCACCTGAGGTCAGGAGTCGGAGAGCAGTCTGGCCAACTTAGTGAAACCCTGTCTCTACTGAAAATACAAAAAATTAGCTGGGTGTGTTGGCGGGCACCTGTAATCCCAGCTGCACAGCAGGCTGAGGCAGGAGAATCGGTTGAACCCGGGAGGTGGAGGTTGTGGGTGAGCTGAGATCACGCCATTGCACTCCAGCCTGGGCAATAAGAGTGAAACTCCATCTCAAAAAATAAAAATAAAAAATATTCAATGGGCATAATTAATAATAATGAGAGGTATCACTGGGTGCATTCAATGAGCCAAGTATTGGGATTTACTCAGTTTTAAATGTAATTTGTCCAAGATCAAGTAGCTCATTCCTCCATACCTCTATACTATACAATGCTTCTAAGCCACTCCACAAAGAGACACTAAGATTAGGGCCCCAGATAACTATCATCATTTAAAAGAAAAAAAAGTCTCATTATCAGATCAAACGATTCATAGGACTGTATGTGCTCCTGATGAAAGGGACATCATAAATCATTACATTCCTTTTTGTTGTTGTTGAGACAGAATCTTGCTCTGTCACCCAGGCTGGAGTGCAGTGGCGTGATCTCAGCTCACTGCAACCTCTGTCTCCTCGGCTCATCTCAGCTCACTGCAACCTCTGCCTCCTGGGCTCAAGTGATCCTCCCACATCAGCCTGCCTCCTGAGTAATTGGGACTACATGGGTGCACCACCATGTTCAGCTAATTTTAAATTTCTTTTGTAGAGATGAGGTGTTACTATATTGTCCAGGCTGGTCTCCAACTCCTGGGCTTAAGCTATCTTCCCACTTTCTCTATTTAACCATGTATAAGAAAAATAATTTCCCCCCAAAGTCATTTTTCTTATACCTGGCTAAATAGAGAAAGCTTTAAGCTTTAAAAAAAGTTGTGGTAAAACATCTGTAACATTTCAGTGGCATTACGTATGTTTATACTGTTATGCAACCATCACCACTATCATCTCAGGAATACTTTTCATCATCCCAAACTGAAATTCTCTGCCCAATGAACAATAACTCCCCATTATTCCCTTCCTCCAACCTCCAGTAACCACGTTTCTATTTTCTGTTCCTATGAATCCTACTACTCAAGATACCTCATCTAAGTGAAATCACACTTGCCCTTTTGGGTCTGGCTTATTGCACTTAGCATAATGTCCTCCAGGTTCATCTATGTTGCAGCATGTGTCAGAATTTCAGTCCTTTATTTATGTATTGGAGACAGTCTCACTCCATCACCCAAGCTGGAGTGCAGTGGTGCTATCTCAGCTCATTGCAACTTCTGCCTCCTGGGTTCAAGCGATTCTCCTGCCTCAGCCTCCCAAGTAGCTGGAATTACAGCATATGTCCCCATGCCCAGCTATTTTTTTTTTTTTTTTTTTTGAGATGGAGTTTCACTCTTGTTGCCCAGGCTGGACCGCAATGGCGTGATCTCCATTCACCGCAACCTCCGCCTTCCAGGTTCAACCGATTCTCCTGCCTCAGCCTCCCAAGTAGCTGGGACTACAGGCATGCGCCACCACACCTGGCTAATTTTGTATTTTTAGTAGAGACGGGGTTTCTCCATGTTGGTCAGGCTGGTCTTGAACTCCCAACCTCAGGTGATTCACTGGCCTCGGCCTCCTAAAGTATTGAGATTACAGGCGTGAGCCACCGCGCCTGGCCTAATTTTTGTATTTTTAATAGAGATGGGTTTTGCCATGTTGGCCAGGCTGGTCTCCAATTCCTGACCTCAAGTGATCCACCCGCCTTGTCCTCCCAAAGTGTTGGGATTACAGGCGTGATCCACCATGCCCAGCCTTCATTCCTTTTCAAAGCTGAATAATATTTCACTATATGTATAACCACATTGTTTATCTATCCATCTGATGATAGCTACCTGGGTTGTTTCCAATTTTTAATTTTTTAATTTATTTTTAGTTTCATTTTATTTTTATTTTCTTTCTTATTTATTTATTTTATTTTTTGAGACAGAGTCTCCCTCTGTCACCCAGGGTGGAGTGCCATGGCTCGATGTCAGCTCACTGCAACCTCTGCCTCCTGGGTTCAAGTGATTCTCCTGCCTCAGCCTCCTGAGTAGCTGGGATTACAGGCATGCACCACCACGCCCGGCTAATTTTTGTATTTTTAGTAGAGACGGGGTTTCACCATGTTGGCCAGGCTGGTCTTAAACTCTTGACCTCGGGTGACCTGCCTGCCTCAGCCTCCCAAACTGCTGGGATTACAGGTGTGAGCCAAGATGCCCAGTGGAGATTTTTTTTTTTTTTGTGGGATGGATTCTCGCTCTTGTCGCCCAGGCTGGAGTGCAGTGGTACGATCTCGGCTCACTGCAACGTCTGTCTTCCGGGGTCAAACGATTCTCCTGCCTCAGCCTCCCGAGCAGCTGGGATTACAGGTGCACACCACCACGCCTGGCTAATTTTTATACCTTTAGTAGAGACGGGGTTTGGCCATGTTGGCCAGGCTAGTCTCAAACTCCTGCCCTTGGTGATCTGCCCGCCTCGGCCTCCCAAAGTGCTGGGATTACAGGCATGAACCACCGCGCCAGTCCCGAGATTTTTTTTTTAAACCTCTGTACTTTTACCCTTTCTTCCTTGGCTGGACTTTGTCCAGCTAGGTTTATTTATAAACCACACAAAGTTCATTAACAAGACCAAGCATTCAGCAAGCCACTCTTCCACCTCCCTTACTGCAGGAAGGCACTCCGAAGACATAAGTCGGTGAGACATGGCTGAAGATAAAAGCAAGAGAGACTCCATCGAGATGAGTATGAAGGGATGCCAGACAAACAACGGGTTTGTCCATAATGAAGACATTCTGGAGCAGACCCCGGATCCAGGAAGCTCAACAGACAACCTGAAGCACAGCACCAGGGGCATCCTTGGCTCCCAGGAGCCCGACTTCAAGGGCGTCCAGCCCTATGCGGGGATGCCCAAGGAGGTGCTGTTCCAGTTCTCTGGCCAGGCCCGCTACCGCATACCTCGGGAGATCCTCTTCTGGCTCACAGTGGCTTCTGTGCTGGTGCTCATCGCGGCCACCATAGCCATCATTGCCCTCTCTCCAAAGTGCCTAGACTGGTGGCAGGAGGGGCCCATGTACCAGATCTACCCAAGGTCTTTCAAGGACAGTAACAAGGATGGGAACGGAGATCTGAAAGGTACATGCCCAGAGATCATTTAGGGTGGGTGCCAGGATGAGATTGGTTTATGGTTCTTTTGTTCTTCAGAACCAAATTATGCCTGGGTTGTTCAGTAAGCACATTCCATTATGACTGGTCATGCCAAGTTGCTCCTTGTTTATGATATTCTTAGAAAATCACTCAGCAGAACCCAGCAGTTATTTTACTAGCTGAAGGGCTATTTGCTGAAGGCCTTTGAGCCAAACGAGTTGTTTAATTTATTGCCCACTAAGTACATACAGTTGTTCAGTCATCAATTCTAACTTCTTAGAGCAGCCTTCCTTCTAAAATCTATGTCCTGTTTCTGGGGACTTTATAGTTGAATATGTCAGGGTGGCAGTTGGGAATTGCTTTCCCAGTATACGAAGCAGCTAGTTTGGCTGTGTGGCTGGGAGTGTATTAGTGAATAAAGCATAAATAATATTTTTTTAAAAATCAAGTGATATCTGTAAAAAGTATAGGCTGAGTCTTAAAGTTTAAATTCTAAAAAAGGAAGGGAAGTAGAAAAGGGGTAGCAGTATGCATTCGTCATTACTTGAATTAAGGATTGTTTAAAACCATGTCCGTATTAGTATAAAACAAGTAAAGAATTAACCAGGGGTAGTGGCGCATGACTGTAGTTGCAGCTACTTGGGAGGCTGAGGTGGGAGGATCGCTTGAGCCCAGGAGCTCTCAGCCAGCCAGCTTAGGCAACATAGGGAGACCCCGTCTCCAAAAAGAAAAAAAAAAAAGTGAAAAATTATTTTTTAAAAGCTAAGTTAATTTCTTGGTGGGTTATGTGTAAAACATCCTTACAATATATTGCTCAAACCAGAACATACTTCAGAGTAAAATTATGCCAGATGGCAGGCATACACTGGGAACTTCTGAGCAAATTGGTTGGTATGGTCACTCTACTTCAAGGCAACAATAGGAAACAAATAAGGAAACTAACAAACTAATGTTTTACAATGATAATTGGTTTGAAGAAAACAAAACAGGATGATATGAATGTGGAAAGTAGGAATGGGCTTAATGTATCTTTAAAATGCTACAAATGAATTCTTGAAACCTGCAGCTTTCTTTAATCACTAGTAGAAGGCTTTTCTTTTTCACGCTCCTATCATTCTCTCTCTTCTTTTTTTTTTTTTTTTTTTTTGTGATGGAGTTTCACTCTTGTTGCCCAGGCTGGAGTGCAATGGCATAATCTCAGCTCACTGCAACCTCCGTCACCTGGGTTCAAGCAATTCTCTCGGCTCAGCGTTCCGAGTAGCAGGGATTACAGGCATGCACCATCATGCCTGGCTAATTTTGTATTTTTAATAGAGACGAGGGTTCTCCATGTTGGTCAGGCTAGTCTCGAACTCCTGACCTCAGGTGATTTGCCCCCCCTTGGCCTCCCAAAACTCTGGGATTACAGGCATGAGCCACCGCATCCGGCTGTATCATTCTCGTTTTAAAAATCATCCTGCATTGTCACTCATTGAAGAAGAGTGTATCTGTCCTTCATGGTGCAGCTCAAACCCATTGCCTTCATTACTCTTTCTTTAGCCTCCCTAATCAGACCATGGGCTCCCCACCCCAGATCTTCGGCTTTGGATGTGTTTCTAGCATCCTTTAATCCTGCCTTGAGTGACTCCCTTTCCCCTGACTCATGACCTATGACCTGCTGCCTTTTGCACATTGAGTGCTTAGGAAAAGCAATGCTCTGACTGCATAGACCTAAAGCCCTAAATCCAGAGATATGTTTACCACTTCCTGGCCCTGCCTTCTTAATAATCTCCTTCTGGATAGGTCCAACATTCCTGTAAACATGGTGGTTTCTAATCAGCTCTGATGTTTGTCATTTCCAATACCTGTTCTTGGAGGAATGTTTTACTTCCTGCAATCCATAGGCATTTGTCTTTGAGGTTGAAGGGATTTCATTGTTGTTATTATGAAGATCCCATTCCAGCTTTGAGTCTGGTTTTGGTGATTGCCCTCTCTCCTTCTAAAATGTGGGGTGGGATCCCTTGTTTACTTTCTCCAGCCACTTTGTTTTCATCCTCATGTTCCTTTGTGCCTCATCATAAGATATATTTTGTTGCTGTGCTGGCTTAGATCAAAACCCTCTTGCTGCCTGTTGATACCGTGTGAGATCTTGCAGCTACCCATATGGGGGAACTGGGGTACAGAGACAGAAATAAGCAGCCTGTCAGGCCAGGCGTGGTGGCTCACGCCTGTAATCCCAGCACTTTGGGAGGCCGAGGCAGGTGGATCACGAGGTCAGGAGATTGAGACCATCCTGGCTAACACGGTGAAACCCCGTCTCTACTAAAAAAATACAAAAAAAATCAGCTGGGCGTGGTGGCGGGTGCCTGTATTCCCAGCTATTTGGGTGGCTGAGGCAGGAGAATGGCGTGAACCCAGGAGGCGGAGGTTGCAGTGAGCTAAGATCGCACCACTGCACTCCAGCCTGGGCGACAGAGCGAGACTCCATCTCAAAAATAAATAAATAAATAAATAAATAAAATAAAATAAAATAAATAAGCAGTGTGTTATAGGGGAAAAGCCCAGATCCCAGGTGTCGAATGACTCTGTGCTTTGGAATTAGTGACCTTCAGCCTGCGGTGTGGCCTCTGACAGTCTAATTCTAGGAAGTCACATCAGGATTACACAGAAAGTTACTGGAGATTGAATTCTAGACTCAAGTTGCTGAATATGCATTTGGGACTCTGAACTAGAAGGAGAAAACACATTATCTGCTCATTATCCTACAAAGTTCTAAATACAAAGTTTCATTTCCACATGTCTTCTCAGCCAAGCCTAGAATTCTCTTCTGTATAAATTCCTGGGTTCCTATATAAGTGAACAAGGGAAATAGTCCAAATTTAGCAAGTTCAAAGGCAGTCTGAGAGTGGAAACAAAGACTCCTCAAATATTGGCACAAACTTACCTTCTGTGTTGAGGTTGCACTCCTTCTCAGACCCCGTGCACTGACAACATTTATCACCTTTTTAAATTAATTGATGCATTTACTTATTTATTTATATTTATTATTTTTTTTTTTTTGAGATGGAGTCTCACTCTGTCACCTAGGCTGGAGTGCAGTGGCACAATCTCACCTCACTACAACCTCCGCCTCCCAGGTTCAAGCAATTCTCCTGCCTCAGCCTCCCGAGTAGCTGGGATTACAGGAATGCACCATCGTCCCCAGCTAATTTTTGTATTTTTTAGTAGAAATGGGGTTTCACCATGTTGGCCAGGCTGGTCTTGACCTCCTGACCTCAAGTGATCCACCTGTCTCAGCCTCCCTAAGTGTTGGGATTACAGGCGTAAGCCACTGTGTCCTGCCTTCTCACCCTTTTTTAGACATGCCCTGTCTATTCTTGCTCCCTCCTTTCCTTTGCTGTGCCTGGAAGCCCTTCACTCTGATCCCCTTTGCCCACACCATCCTGGACCTTCTCTGTCCTTACCCTCAGGGGTCATCAGCTTCCTCTGCCCCTGGGGGTCAAGGGCCAATGCCCTGATGCCCTTAAAGCACTTTCTGCAGCTCTTCCTTAGCTCTTCAGTCTGATCATCATCCCACCCCTGCCTGCAGACACTTCCGAGACCAACACCGCCCAAAAGAAATACAATGGGAGCCACATAAGAAATTGTAAATTTTGTAGTAGCCACATTAAAAAAAGGAAAAAAGAAGCAGGTGAAATTAATTTTCATATGTTCTGTTTAATCCAATGTATCATTTCAACACATAATCAGTATAAAAATATATACATATTGTTATTTTTTTTTGTATTTTAAGACGGGGTTTTATCATGTTACCCAGACTGGTCTCGAACACCTGAGCCCAAACAATCTGCCCACCATGGCCTCCCAAAGTGCTGGGATTACAGGCACGTGCCACCATGCCCGGCCCAGTATAAAAATATTAATGAGATTTTTACATTCTTTCTTTTTGTACAGGGTCTTCAAAATCCAATACATGTTGTTCCCTTACAGCACATCTCAATTCCAACCAGCCACCCTGCAAGTGCTCAGTAGCCACATGTGGCTCTTAGACAGAACAGTGCAGTGTAGACCACATGACCGACAGGGGCCATGCGTTACTCTGCTCTGTTCCTTGACACTTAGCCCAGCAGCTGGCATAGATTAGCTGCTCAAAAACCATGTGTAGAATAAATGAACAATACCACAGTCTTGGTTTTAAATATAAAATATGAGTAAGTCACAGAGATTTTTTTTAATGCTATGTTAAATGTCATCGATTACTGATAGATGACTAATTTGATTTTCTCTTTCTTTTTTTTTTGAGAAAGGGTCTTGCTCTGTCGCCCAGGCTAGAGTACAGTGGTGTGATCTTGAGTCATTGTAGCCTCCGATTCCCAGGTTCAAGAGATTCTCCTGCCTCAGCCTCCCAGGTAGCTGGGATCATAGGCATGTGGTACTGTACCCAGCTAATTTTTGTATTTTTAATAGAGACGGGGTTTTGTCATGTTGGCCAGGATGGTCTCGAGCTCTTGACCTTAGGTATCCTCCCACCTTGGCCTCCCAAAGTGCTGGGATTACAGGCGTGAACCACTACACCCGACCTAATTTGATATTTTTTGTAGAGCTAGATCTTCCTATTTGAATTATACTCAAATTCAACAAAATTCTAAGTATTTTTGCCTTCATGTAAATATTTCTATCTTAGGCATATTTGTTATATTTTTTGTCCTTTAACTAAAACAAAGTAGGGTTTATTCATGACTTTGACTTTTTTCTTCAGGTATTCAAGATAAACTGGACTACATCACAGCTTTAAATATAAAAACTGTTTGGATTACTTCATTTTATAAATCGTCCCTTAAAGATTTCAGATATGGTGTTGAAGATTTCCGGGAAGTTGATCCCATTTTTGGAACGATGGAAGATTTTGAGAATCTGGTTGCAGCCATACATGATAAAGGTAAGTTGAATGGAAAGTGGGCAAGATGGGGATGAGGTTTGAGAGAAGCACTTTTTCAAATGTTTACTTAAAGCATTTCTTCTCCTTAACTGTCATATACTATTTCTTTCCCTCCCTCCCTCCCTTCCTTCTTTCTTTCCTTCCCGCTTTCTCTTTCTTCCTTTCCTTCCCTTCCCTTCTGTTTCCTTTTTTCCTTTCTCCTTTCCTTTTTCCTTCCCTATCTCCTTTCTTCCCCTCCCCTCCCCTCCCCTCTCCTTTCCCTGCTTTTTTTTTTTTTTTTCCAGGCAGGGTCTTGCTCTGTCTCCCAGGCTGGAGTGCAGTGGTGCAATCATGGCTCACTTCAGCCTCCACCTCCTGGGCTCAAGCAATCCTCCTACCTTAGCCTCCCAGTGTATTGGGGTTACAGGCGTTAGCCATTACTGTGCCTGGCCTGTCATATGTTATTCTAATACAATCTTTCCCTAGCATTTGAAATGTCTTTTACTCATTAGGTTTAAAATTAATCATCGATTTCATACCAAACCACACGAGTGATAAACATATTTGGTTTCAATTGAGTCGGACACGGACAGGAAAATATACTGATTATTATATCTGGCATGACTGTACCCATGAAAATGGCAAAACCATTCCACCCAACAACTGGGTAAGTATCAACCTGTCTGACTTACAAAGGGGTAAAAGGCAGATATGTAGTGATTGAACTGATTTAGTAAAACCCTTTTGAGGGAAAAATGAATGAATATAGTTTATCGGAAGGGGGCAAGTTTCTGAAAGAAATAGAAATAAGGTTTCCAGTTGTTATTTACTCAGGCTTCCAATTATTATTTAGATTTCTGATTTCATCATAGAGATGATGTGTTCTAGCAAATTCAAACCTATTTTCTCTCCTTCCACCCTTCCTTCACTTCCTACCCGGTCCAACTTGGATTCCATGTCCCATTAGTTTGATAACCATTTTTCTACTATCCATACCCCTTTGCATTTTTTTTTCTTGAGATGTAGTTTTGCTCTTGTCTCCCAGGCTGGAGTGCAATAGCACAATCTCAGCTCACTGCAAACTCCACCTGGGTTCAAGCAATTCTCTTGCCTCAGCCTTACCAGTAGCTATGATTACAGGCGCGCGTCATCATACTCGGCTAATTTTTGTATTTTTAGTAGAGGTAGGGTTTCACCATGTTGGCCACTCTGGTCTTGAACTCCTGACCTCAGGTGATCCACCTGCCTCGGCCTCCCAAAGCGCTGGGATTACAGGTGTAAGCCACCGCTCCTGGCCCCCTTTGCCTTTCTGACTTTTTGTCTCCTCTGTCTGACAAAACCCTAGCCATGAATGAACCCAATTATCTATTTTCTTTTTGCCTAAACCTTAGTAGTTGAGTCTCTGGAGACATCACACCTTCATTGTCCCCACCTGAACTGAGCCATCCACTCTTCTTGGGAATTTTGCTAATTTCAACCGATCAACTTTCCCTCCCTCCCTCATTTCAAACATCGTATCTGCCTCTACCCCATCTTATCACTCTCAGCAGCAAACTCGACTTCACAGAGAAAACAGAAGCCATCAAGCCTGCCTGCCCCATTCCCACCCTCTTCCTACTCACTCCTTTTACAACAGAAGCCAGATCCCTCCTTTCTGGGGTGACCAGATTTAGCAAATAAAAATTCAGAATGCCCAGTTAAATCTGAATTTTGGACAAGCAGTGCATAAAAAATTTTTTAGTGTGGACCATACTTTCTTTTTTATTTTTATTTTTCAGAGACAGGGTCTTGCTCTTTCTCCCAGGCTGGAGTGCAGTGGCTTGATCATGGCTTACTGCAGTGGCTTGATCATGGCTCACCGCAGTCTTTGCCTCCTGGGCTCAAGCAATCCTCCCAGCTATTCCTCCCAAGTAGCTGGGACCACAAATGTGTGCCACCATGCCCAGCTAATATTTTATTTTTTTGTAAAGACAGGGCCTCACTCTGTTGTCCAGGCTGGTCTTGAACTCCTGGGCTCAAGTGATCCTCCCGCTTCGGCCTTGCAAAGTGCTGGGATTACAGGTGTAAGCCACTGTGCCCGGCCACATGAGTAATACTTATACTCAACAATATGCGTGTTGATCTGAATTCAGATGTAACTGGGCATCCTGCACTTCATCTGGCAGTTCTGCTTCTGTCTCAGGCCAGAGCTTCCCCTTGCCCGGGTTTGTGTTCTCTCCTGCCTTTATTCTGGATCATCCCTCCCTCCTCCAGTCCCTCCTTCTCTCTTCTGGACCTTCTCCATAAATATTTAAACATCAACTTTTAGGTGATCCAAGGACACTCAGAATTGATATATTTGCAGGTCAACTTTGTGATGTGTGATTTTCTCCCTATAACCTTCCGTCTCCCAGGTTCAGTGAATGGTACTACCATGCAGCCTGAGGAACAGGCTGTCAGCAAGTCCTGGCAGTTTCACCTCTTTTTTTCCTCCAGTTCACTGACTTGTTAAAATTGCAATGACATTAGCAAACATTTACAAAATACTTACTCTGTGCCAGGCTCTGTGCTAAGTGTTTTATATTCATTAATTTAGTTAATCCACTCTATAATCCTATGAGTCTGGTGTAATTCCTGTTTTGCAGATAGGCAGACTGAGGTTACTCAGCTAATAAATGACAGGGCTAAAGATGGGATCTAGTCATTTCAGCTCCATAGTCTGCTTTTAAAAATTGCTGCCATACTCAAACTATATCATTTCTTGCTTATAGAATGATCACAGCTGCCTTGTGATCCAGTTTTTCCATTGCTTTTTTAGTTCTCCACTATAGTCAAGGTTGCATTTTCTAATGTAATAGTTAATATGTTCAAAAATATGTATATGTATATGATGGATAAACACCTTGTAGTATATCATATATATAACCATATATTGCAAGACTTCGACTCTAAAAAAATTATTTTTTAGTTTCCTCTATTTTGAACTTTATGAAAAGTGTCATGCTAGGTATAGTCTTCTTAACTAACTTTTTCATGATTTATTCATGTAACTTCAGGTAGCTATGGTTCATACATTTTCATTGTTGTATATTTCACAGTGTGAACAATCCATGGTTTACTTATCCACTCTTCAGTTGATGGGAAGTTGGGCTACTTCCGTTTTTTTTATTATGAACAATGTTACTATAAACACTGTCATTAATCTATCTTGGGGTACATGTGCAAGGGCTTCTTTTTTTTATTTTTGAGATGGTCTTGCTCTGTCGCCCAGGCTGGACTGCAGTGGCGTGATCTTGGCTCACTGCAACCTCTGCCTCCTCAGTTCAAGCGATTCTCCTGCCTCAGCCTCTCAAGTAGCTGGAACTACAGGCACCCATCACCATGCCCACCTAATTTTTGTATCTTTAGTAGAGACAGGGTTTCACCATATTGGCCAGGCTGGTCTTGAACTCCTGACCTTGTGATCTGCCCACGTCGGCTTCCCAGAGTGCTAGGATTACAGGCGTGAGCCACCACGCCCAACCAAGGGCTTCTTTTAGGTAAATAACTAGGAGTAAAATTGCTGTGCAGGATATCGCATGCTCAGCTCTACAGGATAGTGTCAAATTCATTATCAAAATGGTTGTACCAATTTATATCCCCCACAGAAGTATAAAAAATACACATTCTCATTAATTCCTGATATTGCCCAACTTTGTAATTTTTATTTAAAAATTATTATTATTTTGTGTCAGGGTCTCATTCTGTCACCCAGGCTGAAGCATAGTGGCTCAATCATAGCTTACTGCAGTCTCGAGCTCCTAGGCTCAAGCAATCCTCGCCACCTCAGCCTCCTTAGTAGCTGGGACCACAGGCACACACCATCATGTGTGGCTGAGTTTTTTTATTTTTTTGTAAATATGGGCTCTCACTATGTTGCCCAAGCTGGTCTTGAACTTCTGGCCTCAAGCAGTCCTCCCGCTTCAGCTCTCAAAGTGCTGTGATTACTGGCATGAGCTACCATGCCCAGCCCAGACTTAAAACAATATTGCCTTGAGATCTTAATTTTATATTTATTTAATTACTAATGATGATGTGTCTAATTCCTAATACAGTAATTATCTAATTCCTAATGATGTTGAACATCTTTTCTTACATTTATTCATTTAAGTGTCCATTTCTGTGAAACACCTCTTTATGGTTTCTTTCCCCTACTTTCTTTTGAATTATTTATCCCTTTGAAATTGCTTTCTTCAGTTCCTTTTGTATTCTGGATACTGATTTTTTATTGTTTATGTACACTAAAAATCTCTTGCCCTGGTTGTGTCCAGGTGGGCTGTGTGTTGAATTGGAAAGGGTGCATGTCCTTGAAAGGCAGCAGCTACTACTCAGCATCTGCCTGTGTTGCCATGGACATGTGGACTCAGTGTAACTACGTCTTCCAACTCAAAAAGATTTATGTAAAATCTCCCAGTTGTTAAATGTTTTCCAGATGTTCTCTTTAACATGAAATGGACAAAAGGCCTAGGACAGAGCCCCATGAAACTCTCACATTCAAGGGCCCACAGCGTTGACTTAAGGAGTGGCCAGAGATGTGGGAGGGCAGCCGGGAGAGTCATACCATGGGGCCATAAATGTGAGCATTTCCAGACAGAGGAGACCAGCGACATCGTCAACTATTGCTGAGTACCAACACTTGAAGTTGCTTTTTATTCTTGGAGACTGGTAGAGATTTTAAGTGAAGGATTCTAATAATTTTCTGGGGATATAATTTAAATATTCAGTCTATCTGGGCTCAAGCTCCAAGATGAGCGGAATGTTTCTTTCTTCCAAATTGACTACCATTTTGCTTCTCTTCACAAACAAGAGTTTGGATCCTGGACAGAAGATTCAAGAAAATACATTAGTAATGTCAGTTCCTTAAGTTGACCTTGTCTTGGGTTTGAGAACATTGGTTTGCTGTTGCAGTTGTTACAAACAGCATCTACTGTAAAAATACGTTGCAACCATGTTTGTGAGGCATTAGGCCAATGGGGTGGGGGGTATTTGGAAGGGGTTTCTTTAACCTGCTGCTCTCTGTAGAAGGAAAACTCTCAGGATTTACATACTCTGCCTGCAAAGGATCAGGGAGGGCAATGATCTTTATTTGTGGGCAATACCATTATAGGTCACTGATGTGCTGTTTTCTTTGTTTGCCAGTTAAGTGTGTATGGAAACTCCAGTTGGCACTTTGACGAAGTGCGAAACCAATGTTATTTTCATCAGTTTATGAAAGAGCAACCTGATTTAAATTTCCGCAATCCTGATGTTCAAGAAGAAATAAAAGTGAGTATAGATACCCACACAGACTTCTCCATTAATGGAGGTTTAGGTATTTATTTAAAACACTTTATATTGCACAGTAATTGTGTAGGCAAAATCAAGTCTTTAATTATTTGAAATACTCTATAGTTATTTGAAACACTTTATATTGCACAATAATTGTGTAGGCAATAATCAAGCCTGAATTAAATCCCAGGATTAAGCTCTCTGGTGCAAATGTAGACTCTCAGACATGTCTGTGACTCCTTCCTTCATCTAACTCAGAGTACCCTAAATGGAAGGAGTCAGAAACACCTGCCACCCTAGCTCCAAGTTGCCCCGCCACCTGTGACAGTGAGCTGTACGGTGCCTGTGACGGTGAGCTGTGCGGTGCCTGTGACGGTGAGCTGTGCGGTGCCTGTGACGGTGAGCTGTGCGGTGCCTGTGACGGTGAGCTGTGCGGTGTCTGTGACGGTGAGCTGTGCGGTGTCTGTGACTGAGCTGTGCACTGTCTGTGACGGTGAGCTGTGCGGTGTCTGTGACGGTGAGCTGTGCGGTGCCTGTGACTGAGCTGTGCGGTGTCTGTGACTGAGCTGTGCAGTGCCTGTGACTGAGCTGTGCGGTGTCTGTGACGGTGAGCTGTGCGGTGCCTGTGACGGTGAGCTGTGCGGTGCCTGTGACGGTGAGCTGTGCGGTGCCTGTGATGGTGAGCTGTGCGGTGTCTGTGACAGTGAGCTGCTGCAGGGAGGTGGGTCATTTGGGGTCTGGCTCCTGCATCTAAAATGGGCTTCTTGATGGTTATTTGGCTTTCATGTCTTAGCTGTCTCATCTATGAAACACAGTTGGTGGCAATATTTGTCTCATAGGGCTGTTTGGAAGATTAGATGAGATAACACATGCACGACACTTCTGTACTCATTGAGTAAATATTAACATATTGCCTACTCCGTGCCAGGCCCTGTTCTAAGCACTGGGAATGCAGCAGTGAATAAAAGAAGCCTTACCCTCAAGGAGTCTCCAATATACTGAGGGGAAAGCAGGCAATTAGCCACTAAATATATATATGTTAGGTGGTGGTGAATGCCAAGGGGAAGGGGCATCGGAGTGTCAGGTAGAAGTGGCTCTTCTATATAAAGTGTGTAGGAGACACCTTCTTATGATGAGATGCTGTTTGGACAAAAACCTGAAGTGAGAAAGGAACCATGTGACTATCTGGGGGAAGAGAATTTCGGGCAGAAAGAAGAACAAATGGAAAGGTCCCGAGGTGAGAGTGTGGTTCATGTGTTTCAGGGATGGCATGGAGGCCAGAGTGTAGGGTTGCCAAACTTAGCAAAGAAAAATACAGGATGTCCAGTTAAATTTTAAATGAATGATGCAACATTTGAGACATACTGCTACCAAAAAATTGTTCATTGATTACCTGAAATTGAAATGTAATTGAGTGTCTTGTATTTTATCTGGCAACCCTACCAGTATGCTGGAGTGAAATGGGTTAGGGCGCTGAAGTAAGAGGTGGGGGCTGATCATTTCTCACAATACAATTCACAAAACATATCAGCTATGTTCTTGTTCTTGTTCTTGCTGCTCCTATGGCTACAGTGGGCAGAAACTTAGGGGAGTAGGGGAGTCCTCTGAGCCAAGTAGGTGGGAAGGAGACCCTAACAGAACGGGGAGCATTGGGTGCCTTTCCACAGCTCACCACGTCAGCCAGATAGAGTGGATGCAAGCTGTCATGCTGGAGTCACTAGGGGCACCTAGAACCCTTGGTTTAGTTTAATTTTGAAATAACAGTTTAATTGACATATAATTCACATACCATAAAATTCACCCCTTTTGAGTGTGTAATTCAGTGGTTTTAGTATCTTCACAGAGTTTCACAATCACTACTAATTTCTGAACTTTTTTTTTTTTTTTGAGACAGTCTTGCTCTGTCGCCCAGGCTGGAGTGTAGTGGCATGATCTTGGCTCACTGCAACTTGTGCCTCCCAGGTTCAAGCGATTCTCCTGCCTCAGCCTCCGAGTAGCTGGGACTACAGGCATGTACCACCATGCCCGGCTAATTTTTGTATTTTTGTAGAGACAGGGTTTTGCCATGTTGGCCAGGCTGGTCTCAAACTCCTGGCCTCAAATGATCCACCCGTCTCAGCTTCCCAAAATGCTGGGATTACAGGTATGAGCCACTGCACCTGGCCTAATTTCAGAACACTTTTATCTTCTCAAAAAGAAACCCCATATCCATCAACAGTCACTCCTTATGGCCCCCTCCCTTTCTTCCCCCACCCCCTGGGAAACCACAAATCTACTTTCTATCTTTTTACCCACCTAAGCCTCAGTTAGATAGGTTTTGCCTATTCTGGACACTTTGTACAACAGAATCATGCTGTATCTGTATATCCCTGGTAGGTGTCTGTATCTGTGTTTATTTGAGAAACTGCCAAGTTGTTTTTCAAAGCAGCTGCATAATTTTACATTTCCATTAACAATGGGTAAGCGTTCTAATTTCTCCACATTCTCACCAACACTTGTTATTGCATATATTTTTTATTACAGTCACCCTAGTGGGTATGAAGTGGCATCTCACTGGTTGTATTTGCCAAATGGCTAAAGACGTTGAACATCTTTTTATGTGCTTATAGTTCATTTGTATATCTGCATTGTAGAAATGTCTATTTAAATCCTTTGCCCATTTTTATTTCATTTTTATTTATTTATTTTTTTTGAGATAGAGTTTCACTCTGTCACCCAGGCTGGAGTGCAGTGGTGCAGTCTCGGCTCACTGCAACCCCAGTCTCCCAGGCTCAAGTGATTCTTGCGCCTCAGCTTCCTGAGTACCTGGGACTATAGGCACGTGCCACCATGCCCAACTAATTTTTGTATTTTTTGTAGAGATGGGGTTTCTCCATGTTGGCCAGGCTGGTCTCGAGCTCCTGGTCTCAAGCAATCCTCCCTCCTTGGCCTCCCACAGTGCTGGGATTACAGGTGTGAGCCACCGCACCTGGCCCTTTGCCCATTGTTAAACAGGGTTGTCTTTTTATTATTGGGTTGTAAAAGTTCTTACATATTCTTTTTCTTTTTCTTTTTTTCTTTTTTTTTTTGAGACAGGGTCTCACTCTGTTACCCAGGCTGGAGTGCAGTGGCGTGATCTCGGCTCACTGCAACCTCCACCTCCTGGGTTCAAGTGACTCTCCTACCTCAGCCACCCAAGTAGCTGAGATTACAGGTGCGCATCACCATACCTGGCAAATTTTTGTATTTTTAGTAGAGACGGGGTTTCACCATGTTGGCCAGGCTGGTCTCGAACTCGTGGTCTCAAGCAATCCTCCTGCCTCAGCCTCCCAAAGTGCTGGGATTATAGGCATGAGCCACCACACCTGGCCTCTTTTCATATTCTTGATACATGATTTACAAATAATTTTTCCTATTCTGTTGGTTGTCTTTTTACTTTCTTGATGGTGCCTTTTGAAGCACAAGCGTTTTTAATTTTGATGATGTCCTATTTATTTATTTGTTTTTTGAGACAGAGTTATGCTCTTGTTACCCAGGCTGGGGTGCAGTGGCGCAATCTCAGCTCACTGCAACCTCCGCCTCCTGGGTTCAAGTGATTTTCCTGCTGCAGCCTCCTGAGTAGCTGGGATTATAGGTGCGCACCACCATGCCCAGCTAATTTTTTGTATTTTTAGTAGAGACGCGTTTTATCATGTTGGCTAGGCTGGTCTCGAACTCCTGACCTCAGGTGATCCACCCGCCTCGGCCTCCCAAAGTGCAGGGATTACAGGCATGAGCCACTGCGCCTGGCCCAATTTATTTATTTTTTTCTTTTGTTGCTTGTGCCTTTAGTGTCGTATCTAAGAACCATTGCTTAATCCAAGGTCATGAAGATTTACTCCTATGTTTTCTTCTCAGTTTCACAGTTTTAGTCTTACATTTTAGATTGTCTGTGATCCATTTTTTGTTAATTTTTATATAGGGTGTGAAGGTAAGCTGTCCGACTTTTTTTTTTTTTTTTTGCATGTGGCTATTCAGTTATTCCAATCACGTATGTTTAAAAATACTATTCTTTCCCTACTGAATTGTCTGGCAACTTTTGTTGAAAATCAATTGACCATAAATGCATGGGTTTATTTCTGGACTCTCAGTTCTGTTCCATTCATCTATATGTCTGTCCTTATGTCAGTACCACACACTGTCTGAATTACTAGCGCTTTGTAGTAAGTTTTGAAATCGGGAAGTGAGAATCCTACAACTTTGTTCTTTTTCAGTATTGTTTCACTATTCCAAGTCCTTTGGATTTCCATGTGAATTTCTGAGTCAGCTTGACAATGTTTGCAAAGAAGCCTGCTGTGGTTTTGATAGGGATTGCATTGAATCTGTGGTTCACTCTGGGGAACATAGCCATCTTATGTTAAGTCTTCCAATTCATGAACATGAGATGTCTTTCCATTTATTTACGTGTTCTTTCATTTCTTTCAACAATGTTTTGCAGTTCTCAGAGTACATGTCTTGTACTTCTTTCGTTAAATGTATTCCTATAGACTACTTATTTTTAAGACTTTTTTTTTTTTTACTGTATATGTTTGGTGTTTCCAGAATTTGTATGAATTGTTTTGGAATTGGTTCTGGAAGTAAGCACCATGAGTGAGGGCACCTTGCCTCCATGGGGTTGTGGGGTTGTGGGGTTGTGGGGTGGGTAGTTGTAGACATGGTCAGCAGACTAACTAGGGGTTAGTTTTAAACTTCTCTGGTAGCCTGTGGACTCTCCTCTTCTTCATCACCAAAACTCCTTATCACCCACGCCTCATGCTCTCCCCACACATTCTATGTGCTAAGTGCTGTTCCTGGATAATTTAATGCTCAGAATAAGCCTAATTTACGAGGTTTTGTGATCATTTTACAGAGAAGGAAATTGAGGCTTAGATAGGTAAAGTCACCATCCTTGGGAGTCATGGAGCAGGACTGAAATCCAGACACTCGGACTTGAGTTCATGCTCTTAACCACAATCCTACACCTGCTTTGAGGCAATGTATGTGTTTCCCTCTCCATGCTTCACTTTTTCTGCACAGATTTGTCAAGGAGGTTTTCAGTTATAAATTGATAAATGTGAGTATAAACCAGCTGGTTTACAGTTGGTTTATCAGGCAGTAGATTTTTCCAGGCTCCTTGTGGCAATAGTGATGAATTGTCTGGGGATGTTTAGACAAGTGTGATAAATTCTGCAAAAATGTGCCAGCCAATACATTAATTATTTTTTTGACTAACCCAGCTGTGCTCTTCCAGATACCCAAGCCGTGGAGTGTGTGGACAGGATCCTTATTTACTGGTCTTCTGGCTGAAATCCCTCATGTGATGAATCATTAATGCCTCCGGTTGAGAGATTAGACTTTATTTGCAAGACTGGTTTAGAAGATTTACTATTAGAAGTAAATAAGAAATGCTGAGAAGCTGAGAGGAAAGCCTCTTTGCTCCTGGAAAGGGACCTTTGGCATGAAGGAGACTTCTGTCACCCTCCTCCCCACCTTACCCCCAGCAGCGCTTGTTTCTGCAATAGAGTTAAGCAGGTTAATAATTTGCAGCTCAGAGGGTTTGTGTGGAGGCGGCGTTTGGAATGACTTGCTTGCATACCAACTTGTACTCCTGGAGCCTGAGCCCACTTCCTCCCCGCTCCTATCAGATTTTGCTTTATCTGCACAGTGGGAAGCTGGCATGCTGGGGAAATCCAGCAGAGAGCACCCTCTGCTGTCCTTCTCTTTCTCCTCCTCTTTGTACTGGCCATCAGGGGACTTGGCTCTGCTCTGAACCTCTTGGGGCTTGAGTGCTTTCAGCTGAAGAAGTCAGAAAACCTTCTCTGAGGTATCAGGGGTATATATTTGTATAATACTTTATACTTTCCCAATCACTTTGGTTTTTACTGGTCCTCCACATTTCTTATTTGACAAATGAGGAAACTGAGACACAGAGAGGTGAAGTAACCCAGCGGGTTAGCAGCATGGCAAGGAAGAGACTCCAGATGGCCTGGCCTCGTATCTGGGGTTTGGAGTGATCCTACACCTGCCATATGGGAATGCTGAGCCCCAGGGTAGGGACTGCTGGGGAGACCCAGCTGAGAGGGAACCCAGAGCACAGGCGTAGGCTCCGTTCTGTCCCTACTAAGCATGATACTGCTGGAGGCAGCAGCTCAATTCAAAACACAATTCGCTCACTACCTGCTTGATTAGCCATCTCTATGCTTGATAATAATAATTGTGCCATTTATTGCACCTCCTCTATGCCAGGCACTTTATTATAATCATTCACTCATTTAATGATAGGTATTGTGTGTCTTGACCATGTGCTAAGGGTGTGGGGGCTGGTAAGATAGATACCTCTTGTGGCCATCCTGGGGCTTATATTCTGGGGTGGGAGGTGGACAATTAAACAGGCGATTACAATAAAATGTGCCAAGCGGTCATGACAGTAGGAGGTAGGAATACACAGGGCAAGCGCCTAACCTGGACACATTTGCAGAGGAGGTGAGATACCTGAGGAACAGGCATGAGCTAAGTGAAGAGGCATGGGTGGGAGTGTTTCCAGCAGAGGAAAGCGTGGATCGTGACACATTAGAGGTGCTGGGAGTTGTCCAGTATCACTGGGATGTGATATATAGAGCAGGGAGTGACCCGATGAGACTAGAGAGGTCACTGGGGGTGAGGTCAGGAGCACCACTGAAGGCCCTGGTAAGGATTTGGGCTTAAAAGGTCTTAGGTATTTATTTTTTATTTTTATTTTTTTTCAATTTGAGAAATCAGTCTGGTTTTGGAGAAGGGGTTTGAGTAGGGCAGGTTTGGAGGCTTTGGGGCCAGGGAGGAGGATGGTGCAGTAATCGGGAAAGAAATTCTGGTGGCTTTAGGCCAGTGATGGAGGCATAGAGGTGCAGAGAAATCATCAGGGCTCTGAGAGGAGTCCCCTGTGAATCCCAGGTTTCAGATTTGAATATGGGGTGGGTGGCAGAACCATTGTCTGAGATGGGAGACACAGGAAGAGAGAGGGAAATATCTTAGGTATGTAGAGTTGGAGCTGCCTGTGACACATCCAAGTGTTCAGTGGACAGTTAGATATAAGGACACTGGGCTGGGCACAGTGGCTTATGCCTGTAATCCCAGCACTTTGGGAGGCTGAGGCAGGTGGATCACATGGTCAGGAGTTCAAGACCAGCCTGGCCAACATGGTGAAACCCCATCTCTCCTAAAAATACAAAAATTAGCCAGGCATGGTGGTGGGCACCTGTAATCCCAACTACTTGGGACGCTGAGGCAGGAGAATTGCTTGAGCCCATGAGGCAGAGGTTGCAGTGAGCCGAGATCATGCCACTGCACTCCAGCCTGGGCAACAGAGCAAGACACCGTTTTAGGGGGGAAAAAAAAAAGATATAAGGACACGGAGCTCAGGGAAAAGTCTAGTCTAGAGATAAAACTTTGGGACTTGTTGATGTGGCTGATGTCTACAGAGCTCAGGCAGGTGTTTGGTGAGAGAAGCAGGCTGGGTAAGGTGAGCAAGAGGGCCAACTGCAACGTAGCTGGAGCGAATTGCTCACATGTGAATGAGGGCCTGGTGTTGGTAGACCTTCCAATTAAAAGAAAAATCCAAGGGAGCCAGGCTAGCAAATAAGTCAGGGCGCCGTACAGTTGCAATTCTGCTGCCACCACTTACCAACCATGACCTTGTCAAAGGCACATCATCTTCCTGAGCCACAGTTTCCTCACTGGTAAAGGGGGAACAATAATGGTACGTACCTAATGGGGTTACTTGAAGATTAAATGGTTTAACCTTTGTAAAGCACTTAGGATGCTATTTTTTTTACTGTATACAGTACTTGTTAAATAGTCAGTAAATTGGTAAGTAAATAAATACTATTGTGAAGTGCAATGTCGAGAGGGTGTAAGATGGAGCCCCAAGGAGCACTGACATCAAAGAGCTGCAGAAGAGACAGAGAAGGGAGACAAACCAAGGGGCAGGGTATAACGGAGCTAAGGTATCTGAGTGTTTCCAGAAGACGAGATTGGTCAACAGTGTCAAATGATGCAGAGAGATTGGGTAATATAAAGACTGAAAGGGGTCTGGGCGTGGTGGCTCATGCCTGTAATCTCAGCACTTTGGGAGGCTGAGGTGGGTGGATCACTTGAGGTCAGGAGTTCGAGATGAGCCTGGTCAACATGGTGAAACTCCATCTCTACTAAAAATACAAAAATTAGCCAGATGTGGTGACGGGCACCTGTAATCCCAGCTACTCAGGAGGCTGAGGCAGGAGAATTGCTTGAACCCGGGAGGCAAAGGTTGCAGAGCTGAGATCACACCACTGTACGCCAGCCTGGGTGACAGAGTGAGACTCCATCTCAAAAAAAAAAAAAAAAAATTGAAAAGTCAATTGACTCTGGCAGCAATACCTTATTTACTCCATACAGAAACCCTCCATACTATGTTATTGATGGAGACACTGAGGCTTAGCTGGTCTTGCAGATGCCCTATGTCATGCAGCTGGACAGCGAGAGAGCTGGGTTGTACCCAGAGGGTCAAATTCTGAAGTCCTTGATCTTTCCTCTACTTCCTGCTTCTGGAGGAGTTAGCAAAGAATTTTTCCAAGATTTCTGAACATGAGTAGGGTCAGTTTTCTTTCTCTTGCCTCTAAGTAGAGAACCAGTTTCCTCTGTACTCTGAAACATCCTTTCTCATTCCTTCTTGAGATGGACAACCTGTGATTTATGACATTTTCAAGATGATGTCTTCTGTTTGTTTTTTTGGTTTGTTTTTGTTTTCTTAATAGAGACAGGGTCTCACTTTGTTGCCCAGGCTGGTCTTGAACTCCTGAGCTTAAGTGATCCTCCCACCTCGGTCTCTGAAAGTGCTAGGATTACAGGCATGAGCCACCACACCTGGCTTAAGAGGATGTCTTCTCTATCATCCCATGTAAGAGTAGACAGAGCTTTTCCCAAACATGGGTTTTTAGGTAAACGGGCCCCCAAATGTCAGCCATCTGAAAAGGAAAGGCTTGGCTCAAGGTTCCATGTATTTGGATATGTTAACTTGCTTCCTTAATGTTGACTTGCTTTCTTTTCACTCAGAGCAGCGAGCTATTTAAAGAGAAAGGAGTTAAAAGGTGCCCAGTGGAAAAACCAGGAGTGCGTGATGTCATGGGAGTCAGACAGGAGTCAAGGACGTAGTGTATAGTCCAGTTCCCAGAGTCCACGGCACCTACATGGGTCACTAGACCTAGCTGACCCAGGCTCTGTGCCCATTTTTGCATCTGGAACCCTGAGAGACCTTCATGGGAGTAAAGAGGGTTAACAATTAAAATCTGAAGCTCTCTTTTCCCTCCTGGTTGAGAGAATAAATAGCATGAAGCAAATATTTTTCAAGAGCAAACTTTGGATTATCTTGGTGATAATCTGAATTATCAGCATTTAAAATGACTTTCAGAAAATGTCCATCAAGCTTTTACTGTTTTGTCTCATTAAACAATGATATTATTTCTGATTATGCTAGGGCCATAAACCTTCTGTGCGGTACAAGTTTCTCATGTTTAATGTCAGGTCAACATTTCACAATGCTGAGATCCGGACTCCGTAAAGAAAAGGACTGGCTTTATTTTAGGAAATCAGTGCCCAAAAGCTTGATGTTTACACAGAATGGTGCTTAATGTTTTCCCACATTTTTGTCAGAGGCCGCTTGGATGCCTTCAGTTATTCGTGCTCTGCCCCAACCAATGTTCACACTTTTAAAGAACAGCACCACCTGGGTGTGGACCCAGGTTGCGCGGGGTCTGAAGCTGATAGTAAATTAGGGCCTTCTTAAAATAGAGCACAAAATTAAGTACAGAAAAGTTGGTATTTACTTAAAATGAGCAAAGAAGGGGAGTTAGATGAGTGCAAGTGAGAGGTCTTGAAGCTTAAGTTTGGTTAGCTTCATAGTAAGGTCACTCCTGAAGCCACTGAAAACCTGTTCTAGAAATGAGGTGCCTTTCTTTGCCCCACCAGACTTCTCTAGCCCATTCTCTGATGAATGGCTGTCACTTCCTGTTTGCCAGCTGCAAACCCTCCCCAGGGTGAATTGCTGTTTTACCCTCTTGTATTACCATGTTTCTCTCCTTTGTCTCAGCTGTGATTTAAATATTTTTGTGTTGCTATTTGTCTAGCTGGAGATTCTAAAATAATCCGGGAGACCTAGGACTGTGTCTGTTGTATTTTTCTTGTGGTTGTAGTTCCAGGGCTTGCCTAAGTGCCTGGTATACACTAGGAGTTCAAATACTTATTGAATGAATGAATTTGGTAAAAGATAAAGGCACTAGTAAGAACAAATTTGTTTTTTATGCCCCAGAGAAAAATTCCACTGGGTAGAGATTACTGGAGGTTATTTGGGTCACCTGTGCCCATGATAAGAGTTATTCACCCCAGAACTTGCTCTTAGGCATAAAAAATTGATTCAAGCTTCACCATTCAAAATCTCAGCTTAAAGTGAATTGACAGGAGCAGTATTAACCCTTGCATTTAGCTGTTGAGACCCTTGACTTGACTTGAAACCTCCATATTCACGTGCAGATAGAAACGCACTTCAAGTCAAACAAGTTGATATGGTTTGGCTGTGTCCTCACCCCAGTCTCATCTTGAATTGTAATTCTCATAATCCCCATGTGTTGTGGGGTGGAGCAGGTGGAGATAATTGAATCATGGGTGTGGTTTCCTCCATCCTGTTCTCGTGATAGTGAGTTCTGATGGTTTTATAAGTGGGAGTTCTTCTGCACAAACTCTCTCGCCTGCTGTCATGTAAGATGTGACTTTGCTCCTCATTCGCCTTCTGCCATGATTGTGAGGCCTCCCCAGCCCTGTGAAACTGTGAGTCAATTAAACAGCTTTACAAATTACCCAGTCTTAGATATGTCTCTATTAGCAGCATGAGAACAAACTCTAATACACAAGTGAACTGTGGGATAGTTGTCATTTGGGATCTGTGGCTCTGTTTCCCTCCATAGGTGAAAATTGGCTGTTTAGTACTTTACAGATGGTTCTGCTCTAAAATGATATATACATTCCTGTGAAACCTTCCATACAGCAAGGGATGAGAAAAGTAGGGAGAGCCACTGTTCCTTTGCAGAGCTTGTGAGCAGGTGCCGGAGCCGGAGCAGGCCTTGCTGGGAGAGGCTGGCTGTGGGGTTGAGGCAGGTAGCTGAGGCTCAGGACCTCTGCTTTTCACGGTCACCTGGTCCTCCCACCTGTCCCAGTACAGGCCAGCCTCTGCCTCCACACTTGGCTCATGTTGTCCCATTCCCACCCTCCATTGAAATCCCACCAGGTCATCTAGGTCAAGTTCAAGCTCTAGCTCTTCCTTCTCCTGCTGTGCCCACCCACATATTTTGAAATGTCTTGAAGCTCTTGCAGCCCTGTAGGCAGAGGTGTCTCCTCTCATGAGGACCTGCATTATTAGGTAACCATCCCTTGTCCCACATGTCCCCAACTGTTCTGTAGACCTGAAGCCAGGGAACATGCTGTACTTCTGTAATGTTTGGTCATTCAGGCTCAATATGTCATTCTTTCATGCTACAATTTGTTCACTAAGTACCAGGTGCTGTTTCAGAGGCCTACAGACATGTACCACCACACGCAGCTAATTTTTCATTTTTTGTAGAGACAGGGTTTTGTCATGTTGCCCGGCTGGTCTAGAACTCCTGGGCTCAAGCGATCCTCCCACCTCAGCCTCCTAAATTGCTGAGATTACAGGTGTGAGCCGTCACACCTGGCTAGAAAAATCTTTTCAAGGTTCATCCATGTCGTAGCATGTGTCAGCACATTGTTCCTTTCCATGGCCAAATATTCATCGTATGGATAGACCATTGGGTTGTTTCCACTTTCTGGCTATTATGAATAATGCTGCTATGAATATTTGTGAACAAGTTTTTGCGTGGACATAAGTTTTCATTTCTCTCGGGTATATACCTATGCGTGAAATTGCTGGGTCTTATGGTAACTTGATGTTTAACCTTTTGAGGAAATGCCATACTATACAGTTGATTCTTCATACATCAGATCTTTAAAAAAAATGTTAAGTCAGCCCACAGCCTTTTCTGATTAAAAATCCCTCCAGGGGTTTCCCATCACCCTCACAAAAATCCCAGATCTTTCCTGTTAACTACAAAGCTGAGCATGATGAGTTAGTTTTCTTTACCTCCTCCTACTCTTACTTATGCTCCTCTGGCCACACTGGCCACCCCCCTATCCCTGCCACTGCCTTTTTTTTTCTTGAAACAGGATCTCCTTCTGCCACCCAGGCTGGAGTGCAGTGGCATGATCTTGGCTCACTGCAACCTCCGATTTTTAGGTTCAAGCAATTCTCATGCTCAGCCTCCCAAGTAGCTGGGACTACAGGTGCATGGCTCCATGCCCAACTAATTTTTGTATGTTTAGTAGAGGCGGGGTTTTACCATGTTGGCCAGGCTGGTCACAAACTCCTGGCCTCAAGTGATCCACTTGCCTCGGCCTCCCAAAGTGCTGGGATTATAGGCGTGAGCCGCTGCGCCCGGACTAACCACTTATTTGCACCAGTCTTCATCTCTCTAATCTTTGGCTTCAGCATTAAAAATGCCTGGGAACAAGGCAGCCCACGATGATGCTCTCAGGAGCAGGTGAGGCAGGGGAGAGGCTGAGCAGGCAATGACTACCTTCTCTCTAGCAAGGTGTGTTGGAAGAGTAGGGCAGGAGAGGAGAGTGAGCCAGGGGCAGTCATACAATAATTGGGTTTCTAGCACACACCTTTGGAAGAAAGTCTGTCACCAAAGAATAAAATTAAATGTATGAGAACCTGGATTTTTAGCTTAACCATTTGTGTTTGGGATCAATTTATTTGTGAAATTAAAGCCAGTGGAATAATGTAGATTCCTTTTTTTTTTTTTTTTTTTTTTAAAAGACAGAGTTTTGCTCTTGTTGCCCAGGCTGGAGTGCAATGGCCCAATCTCGGCTCACCACAACTTCCACCTCCCGGGTTCAAGTGATTCTCCTGCCTCGGCCTCCCGAGTAGCTGGGATTATGGGCACCCGCCACCATGCCTGGCTACTTTTTGTATTTTTAGTAGAGACAGGGTTTCATCATGTTGGCCAGGCTGGTGTCAAACTCCTGACCTCAGGTGATCCGCCTGCCTCGGCCTCCCAGAGTGCTGGGATTACAGGCATGAGCCACTGTGCCCAGCCCATTTCATCTTTTATTATCTGAGTGTATTCAAGACAACACTAGTATCTGAGTTTTACCACAGGATCGTCACTATTCTTAGTTATTTACTTGGTTGATGGTTGATTCTATTTTTTTTCTGTGTGTTCCTTCCATATTACTCCTAGCAGGAGATCCTTTAATATCTAAGCACTTCACCTCTCATCTGCCTTCCTAGTAAGGAGTGAAATATTTAACTATTGAACAATGTGTTATTTTCTTTGAGTTTGCAGTGACAGTTAAGGAGTTGGGCATGAGGGAGATGAGAAACTTTCCTAGTTTATTCTGAGTCCTATCTTTTCTTATGGTTTCATTCTTTCATTTTTAGTAGACTCTCTAAACTTTGAAAACATCCTTATAACATCCATTACAAATGTAACTAATTGTAATTCTGAATTCACATATGAAGGAGGTGTGGGAGTCGCTAAATGCAGTTAGAGTGCATTTTAGTAAGACAGTTATGCTAAATAGATAAAAATAGACTGTGAATACTGTGCTTGTTCTGTATGTAGATATCTGTTTTATGATGCCAAGTTGTTAACAGTCAAAACTTTGATTAAACGTTGTGATAATAACGTAGTTAATGTAACCAAGCATTTTGCTTCTTCATCTTTAGGAAATTTTACGGTTCTGGCTCACAAAGGGTGTTGATGGTTTTAGTTTGGATGCTGTTAAATTCCTCCTAGAAGCAAAGCACCTGAGAGATGAGATCCAAGTAAATAAGACCCAAATCCCGGTAAAGTTTTATTTTAAACGTTTTTCTTTTGCCTTTTCTGAAAATGTCATCAGAGTGTTTTCTTTCTCAGCCTGAGATACCAGTTACAAAGATGAGTTTTGTCCTGTGTCTAGCAAGTACCCTGATTTATTTCTTTAGGAAATGTGCAAGAGTTTGAAATGCATATGCACTCGATGTTTTTTTCCACTGGTTCCCTCCAGAGCGAGGGATCCCTTGAGGAGTCCTTCAGTGACAAGGGTTCTGAAGACATGGACAGTGTGGGCTCTACCAAGGGCCACAAAATAGAGGACATTTACTCCTGCAATTTTATCATCTGACATAGGCTCAAGTGAGGAGGCCTTGGCTTGGATGAGATGTAATTTTTTGTTTTGATTCTAGGAGATTATTGTCATCCTAGAAAGACATAGAAATGAGACACTGACATAGAAATCCTACAAAGATACAGAAACTAGGAAAAATTTACTGAAACCCCGAGAAAGTATAACAGTTAGGAGAAAGGATAGTGATGGTAAAGAAACAAATTTAAGTGCATGATGTTAATAGTTTTGTGAGCAGATAAAGTATACATGTAATAATGAGCTCTATAACCACTAAGATCTTTTTTTTTGTTTTTAAAAGGGTCTGAAACATTTTGACAATTACGTGTTGAGAACTTTGTAATCAGTGTTTTGCTTGGTAAAATTTATTTGCTAAAATGGGTGACAGTTTATTAGAGAAATATTGCTTAGTAGATTTATAAAGTTAACAACTTGAGCATCAAATGAAGCATTCTTCTCCATCCACAAAACCATGTTTGAGTGTGCGTCTCGCTTGGCTTGAGCCCTTTGAAGAGGTTGTCTACATTCATATAGAGCGAGCTGTGGGCATGCAATGTATGAAATGAGGGTAACCATGTCGTCCTGGTTTTCAAAGGACACGGTCACACAATACTCGGAGCTGTACCATGACTTCACCACCACGCAGGTGGGAATGCACGACATTGTCCGCAGCTTCCGGCAGACCATGGACCAATACAGCACGGAGCCCGGCAGATACAGGTTGACCACGGCATATGCTCTCATTTCTTCCCAGGCTTAGTGTGTGATCTGCAGTGTATCCCTCACAACCAAGTGTATTTGGAGGTTCAAGTAATAATGTAACAAGCCTGCATAACTCTAATTGATTACAGTTTGGTTGTACCAGGGCCTGCCATATTCCTTTCCTGTTTGCTTATTTTGCTGACTTTCAGTTTCCTCTTTTGTAAAATGATGCAGATCACACTACGTACTTCACAGGAGTTTTGTGAAAATTAGGTTAATGAAAAAGAGATTATATTAGCTAAATGTTAGCCATGAGCTATTATTTTTTCTTTTTCAAAAACCAGTTCCAGGCCGGGCACAGTGGCTCACGCCTGTAAACCCAGCACTGTAGGAGGCCAAGGCAGGCGGATCACGAGGTCAGGAGTTTGAGACCAGCCTGGCCAACATGGTGAAACCCCATCTCTACTAAAAATACAAAAATTAGCTGGGTGTGGTGGTGGGTGCCTGTAATCCCAGCTACTTGGGAGGCTGAGGCAGGAGAATCACTTGAACCCGGGAAGCAGAGGTTGCAGCGAGTCAAGATTGCACCACTGCACTCCAGCCTGGGCGACAGAGCGAGACTCCATCACAAAAAAAAAAAAAAAAAAGAACCAAAAAAACAAAACCAGCTCCACCTGGGTGCGGTAGCTCATGCCTGTAATCCCAGCACTGTGTGAGGTCGAGGCTGGTGGATCACCTGACGGTGTTCGAGACCAGCCTGGGCAACATGGCGAAACCCCTCCTCTACTAGAACTACAAAAATGGGCAAGGTGGCACATGCCTGTAATACCAGCTACTCGGGAGGCTGAGGCAGGAGAATTGCTTGAACCGGGGAGGTGGAGGTTGCAGTGAGCTGAGATCATGCCACTGTGCTCCAGTCTGGGCAACAGAGCAATACTCCATCTCAAGAAAAAAATAAAAATACCAGCTCCTTCTCTGCAGTATTATTTTTATCATTGTTATTGGATCTATAGTTTCCTAGTACAGTATATAAATCCATATGTTTCAGCTAAAGTATCAGGAACACAGCTTTGGAATCAGGTAGGTCTGAAGGAGTCCTGCTCTGTAGCTGTGTGACCTAGGGCCAGTTAATTAACATAAGTCTCAGTTGTCTCATCAATAAAAAAGTGATAGCAATAACCTCTATAAGGCTGTTGTGAGATTAAATTAGATAATGTATATAAAGTAGTGCCTGGATCATAGTAAACACTCAATAAAATTACCCATCATTAAGTTTACATAGATCACTCAACAGAATCAATAGGAAGGAATTAAAGAAATTTCATCTCCTTAAAGTAGGTACTCCGATTACTCTGTCTCCATTTTATAGACAAGGAAACTGAGGCTCTGAGCATGTAAGTAATGTCCACAGGTAGGAGTGGCAGCTATGGGATTTGAACTGAAGCAGTTGGGCTCCAGAGACCATGCACTTATCCATAAATATGCTGCCTCAAATAGCTAAAGCCAGCATTGATCGGAGTCATTTCAGGTGAATGTGTCTTCCCCCAGGGTTTTGCTTTCAGCAATTGAGAGTGCACACCAATAATAAGGCAAGATGTTATAGGGACTCCAATACAAGGGGGAAGTTCTTTTGAAGAAAATACCCCACCTAATTTGCAGACATAAACTTTAGATTCTAAATGGAGTGATGAGAATTGCTAAAGAAAGTCTTCATGGATGTCAACGAGTTTTAGTGTCAGGATGTTACTGAATTTTGATTCTAGGAGATTATTTCTCCTAGGATTCTAGGTTTAGAAAGAAAAGAACAGGCTTGGTGCGGTGGCTCATGCCTGTAATCCCAATAGTTTGGGAGGCCAAGGCAGGCACATCATCAGAGGTCAGGAGTTTGAGACCAGCCTGGCCAACATGGTGAAACCCTGTGTCTACTAAAAACACAAAAAAATTAGCTGGGCGTGGTGGCGGGTGCCTGTAATCCTAGCTACTCGGGAGGCTGAGGCAGGAGAATCACTTGCACCTGGGAGGTGGAGGTTGCAGTAAGCCAAGATCATGCCATTGCACTCCAGCCTGGGCAATAAGAGTAAAACTCTGTCTCAAGAAACAATAACAAAAAAACAACCAATATAGACTGAGATCCAATTTTTTTTTTTTTTTTTAAAGACATTCTCACTTTGTTGCCCAGGCTGGAGTGTGGTGGCATGATCTCATCTCACTGCAACCTTCACCTCCCAAATTCAAGTGATTCTCCTGCCTTGGCCTTCCGAGTAGCTGGGATTACAGGCGCATATCACCACACCTAATTTTTGTATATTTGGTAGAGATGTTTCTCCACGTTGGCCAGGCTGGTCTCAAACTCCTGACCTCAAGTTATCCACCTGCCTCGGCCTCCCAAAGTGTTGGGATTACAGGTGTGAGCCACTGCACCTGGCACCCAAATGTGTTTCATTTTTTTTGGGGGGGGTGGATTTTTCTGCCTTATTTTTTATTATTATACTTTTAGTTCTGGGGTACATGTGTACAACATGCAGGTTTGTTACATAGGTATACATGTGCCATGTTGGTTTGCTGCACCCATCAACTTGTCATTTACATTAGGTATTTCTCCTAATGCTATCCTTCCCTTAGCCCCCCACCCACTGACAGGCCCCGGTGTGTGATGTTCCCTGCCCTGTGTCCATGTGTTCTCGTTATTCAACTCCCACCTATGAGTGAGAACATGCGGTGTTTGGTTTTCTGTCCTTGTGATAGTTTGCTTAGAATGATGGTTTCCAGCTTCATCCATGTCCCTGCAAAGGACATGGACTCATCCTTTTTTATGGCTGCATAGTATTCCATGGTGTGTATGTGCCACATTTTCTTAATCCAGTCTAACATTTGGTGACAGCTTGATTATGCTTTCTAGAAGGTGCTAGTCCTATATGGTTAATAGTGTGCATTCAGCCCCTACATCTTGTACATGCAAGATAAGCAGCTGTGGAGTGCCTTCCCAGTCTTCTGACAGGCCCCGATGACACTGAACCTTGTCAACTCTTATAGGTTCATGGGGACTGAAGCCTATGCAGAGAGTATTGACAGGACCGTGATGTACTATGGATTGCCATTTATCCAAGAAGCTGATTTTCCCTTCAACAATTACCTCAGCATGCTAGACACTGTTTCTGGGAACAGCGTGTATGAGGTTATCACATCCTGGATGGAAAACATGCCAGAAGGAAAATGGCCTAACTGGATGGTAAGTCCTCATGACAGCAGAGTACATAATGTGCTGCTGTTGCCTTTGCTGTCCAGTTATCTCTAAAATGCAATGGACCTTTGTCTCTAAGTGACCATCACCTCTGCCTTATTTGGTGATTGTTCAGTGGTCAGGCCTGTCACAGCCTCTGCCAGGTTCTTTTCATTAAGGGAGGGAGACTGCCCACTGAATGGAATGAATATTGAATGAGTGCTTGTCTATGCTCAGAACACTGCTAGGCTTTTTGGGGATGGATATCAAACCATAATTTCTCCCCACATATCTCAGAGTTTATGATGTCAATGGGAAGAAAGAGGATTTCGGGTGTAGAAGAGGTACACAGCAATTCAGGGCAACATAAAACTGTGACAAAACACCAATTTGTGGGGCAGGATGCACTGCAAAAAGCATTTAAACTACAGAGATTGTCGGAGAAAGAATTTCTCCCCCTTCTGTACTACACTCTTGAAAACAATTTTTTTTTTTTTTTTTTTTTTTTTTTGAGACAGGGGCTCACTCTGCACCCAGCCTGGAGTGCAATGGTGCAGTCATGGCTCACTGCAGCCTCGACCTCTGAGGCTCAAGCAATCCTCCCACCTCAGCCTCCTGAGTAGCTGGGACTACAGGTGCATGCCACCATGGCTGGCTAATTATTTTTGTTTTTGTATTTTTAGTAGGGAGGGAGTTTCACCATGTTGGCCAGGCTTGTCTTAAACTCCTGACCTCAGGTGATCTGCCTGCCCACCTTGGTCTCCCAAAGTGCTGGGAATACAGGCATGAGCTACCACGCCCAGCACTAACATTTTTCAAGACTGGCAATACATTACTTCAGTGAAGAACAGAAGATACAGCAATACATACCTGTGGTAACAGACCAGTATTCTCACTTCCACACCCATCAGGGTTGCTTTCCCTGATCTGATTTTTCTGTCTTTGGGTTTGAGTTAGAGGTCAATATTAGGCTCCTTCGTAAGATGTCTGTAGTATTATAGATGTAAGCCCTGCTGCTTCAAAGTCCCACGGTAATAGTGGTTTAAACAAAATGCAAGTTTCTTTCTCTCATATAAAAGACAACCTTTCTTTTCTTACTTTTTTTTTTTTTTTTTTTGAGACGGAGCCTCCCTCTGTTGCCCAGGCTGGAGTGCATGGCGTGATCTTGGCTTACTGCAACCTCCACCTCCTGGGTTCAAGCAATTTTTCTGCCTCAGCCTCCTGAGTAGCTGGGATTACAGGTGCACGCCACCATGCCTGGCTAATTTTTTTATTTTTAGTACAGACGGGGTTTTACCATGTTTGTCAGGCTGTTCTTGAACTCCTGACCTCGTGATCCACCCCCACCTCAGCCTCCCAAAAGTGCTGGGATTATGGGCATGAGCCACCACTCCTGGCCCTTCCTTTCTTTAATATATTATAAATGTAAACTCTAAAATGCCTCTTTAGTCTCGATAATCCTCCATCTCTCTGTATCTCTACCACCTTAGACTGTTTCTGTGGTCTCATCGTTTAGGTCTCAGGTAGGTGTCACCACAGGAAGCCTTCTGGAGCCCCCAAATGAGGTGTCAGGTCTACCTATTGTATACTATAGCACCCGTTCATTCTCTTTCCTTAAAGTCCACACAATTCCACGATGTCTGCTTTCCCCACTAGACAGTTCACTGGTTAAGGGCAGAGGCAGGTTCCCAGCATCCTTGCACGGTGCCCACCTCACACGGAGGTGCTCAGGCTCAGGGTTTGTTTGTTACTGGTGCTGTTGTTATTCGTATGCAGTTCAGCGACTTACCAAAGGTGTGCCTTATATATAGAGAGAGAGTTGCCTTACACTAGTCAATATCTTCTGTTGTACCCCCACAATACCTGTAGGTTTGATCTGGGCCCTGAAAAGTGGTATGATTTTGATACTTTTCGCACAGATCCTGCCAGCTATCTTACACAGCCTGATGAAAACCTGAAAGGATAAAGGAGAAAATGCAGCCTAGGCAGAAAAACACTGGCAGAATCTGTGAACCACAATTAAGCTTATTTCAATCTTTTCTGATGCTTTAATAGGCAGGAATGTGTGTTTCCATTGCCAGAGCCTTTCTCCGTCTGGTGAGGGGAAAGAGGCTCAAATTTTTAGGCATGGTAAAAGCTTTAATTTGTTAAATGTAAGTATTAAAACTATACAATTTTTAAATAACAGCTTTGTCGAGATATAATTCACATACCATAAAACTTTTTTTTTTTTTTTTTTTTTTGAGACGGAGTTTTGCTCGTTACCCAGGCTGGGGTGCAGTGGTGTGATCCCGGCTCACTTCAACCTCTGCCTCCTGGGTTCAAGTAATTCTCCTGCCTCAGCCTTTAGAGTAGCTGGGATTACAGGTGCCCACCACCACACCCAGCTAATTTTTTGTATTTTTAGTAGGGACACGGGGTTTCATCATGTTGGCCAGGCTGGTCTCGAACTCCTGACCTCAGGTGATCCACCCATCTTGGCCTCCCAAAGTGCTGGGATTACAGGTGTGAGCCACTGAGCCCAGCCAAAATTTACCGTTATTAAAGTATATAATTAAGTGGATTTTCGGTATATTCACAGAATTATGCAACCATCACCAATGTCTCATTCCAGAGCATTTTCATCACCCCCAAAATAAACCACATCTCCACTAGCAATAACTGCGCATGGCCCCTCCCTCTCTGTCCTCAGTCTCTGGCAACCACTCACCTACTTTCCGTGTCTATGGATTTGCCTATTCAGGGCATTTCATATAAATGGAGCTATACGATATGGGACTTTTGTGTCTAGCTTCTTTCACTTAACATAGTGTTTTCAAGGTTTATCCATGTTGTAGTATGTCTCAGTACATCGTTCCTTTTTATGGCTGAATAGTAACTTCCATAAAGCCCATTTTGTTTATCTGATCATGAATTGACAGAGATTTGTTTTCACTTTTGGACTATTACGAATAGTGATGCTATGGACATTTGTGTACAAGTTTTTATAAAAACATGTTTTCAATTCTCTCTGATATATATCCAGGAGTGGAATTGCTCCACTGGGCATATGGTAAGTCTACATTTAACTATTTGAGGAACTGCCAAACTGTTTTCCAAAGTAGTTACTCCATTTTACATTCCCACCAGCAATGTTACGAGGGTTCCAATTTTTCCACATCTCATCAAGCCTTGTGATGGTCTGCCTTTCTGATGATGGCCTTCCTACTGAGTGTCAAGTTGTTATCTCATTGCATTTTTTTTTTTTTTTTTGCATTTCCCTGATGGCTAATTTTGTTGAGGGTATTTTCATGTGCTTATTGGACATCTGCATGTCTTATTTGGAGTAATGTCTGTTCAGATTCTTTGCCTATAATTAAATTTGGTTGTCTTTTTATTGTTTAGTTGTAAGAATTCCTGATATATACTGGATAGGTGATTTGCAAGTATTTTCTCCCATTCTGTGGGCTTTCATGTCACTTTCTTGATAGTGTCCCTTGAAAAGCACAGAAGTTTTTAATTTTTATGAAGTCCAGTTGTTTTGTTGTTGTTGTTACTTGTACTTTTAGTGTTATATTAGAAACCATTGCCTGGTCTATTTATTCCAGCACCACATGCTAAAAAGACTATTCTTTGCTTCATTGGATTATCATGGAATCTTTGTTGAAAAATCAACTGATTGTAGGCTGGGCGTGGTGGCTCACATCTGAAATCCCAGCACTTTGGGAGGCTGAGGTGGGAGTTGAGCCCAGGAGTTCAAGTTTGCCTTGAGCCATGATTACACTCCAGGGTGAACTCCAGCCTGGGTGACAGAGTGAGACCCCGTCTCTAAATGTAAAACAAAACAAAAAAAAGAAAATCAGTTGATTAGATTTCCAGACTCTCAGTTCTGTTCATCTATATGTCTGTCTCTATGCCTGAACACCCTGAGTTGATTAGTGTAGCTTAGTAAGTTTTGACATAGAGAAGTATGGGTCCTCCAACTTTGTTATTTTTCAAGATTGTTTTAGCTGTTCTGGGTACCTTATATTTCCATGTGAATTTTAGGATTTCCATATAAATTTTAGAATAGCCAACTGGGATTTTGATAGGGATTGCATTGAATCTGTTTATCATTTTTGGCAATCATGCCATCTTGTCTTCTAATCCATGAAGACAGATGTATCTTATTTAGGTCTTTAATTTCTTTTGATGATGTTTTGTATTTTTCATTGTACAAGTCTTAGACTTTTTGTTCAGTTTATTCCTAAGTATTTTGTTCTTTTGATATTATTGTAAACTGAAGTGTTTGCTTAATTTCATTATTGGATTCTTCATTATTAGTGTATAGAAATACAATAGATTTGTGTATATTGATCTTGTATCCTAAAACATTGCTGAACTTGTTTTTCGTTTCTAATAGTTTATTGTGAATTCCTGAAGAATTTTTTTTTTTTTAATTTGAGGCAGAGTCTTGCTCTGTTGCCCAGGCTGGAGTGCAGTGGTGTGATCTCAGCTCATTGCAAGCTCCGCCTCCCGGGTTCATGCCATTCTCCTGTATCAGCCTCCCAAATAGCTGGGACTACAGGTGCCTGCCACCATGCCTGGCTAACTTCTTGTATTTTTAGTAGAGACGGGGTTTCACCGTGTTAGCCAAGATGGCCTCGGTCTCCTGACCTCATGATCTGCCTGCCTCAGCCTCCCAAAGTGCTGGGATTACAGGCGTGAGCTACTGTGCCTGGCCTTCTGAGGAATTTTTTGTTTTAAAATTATTGCAAAATATACATAAAACAATTTTAAACATTCAAAAGTGTGTAATTCAATGCATTAAATACATTCAAAATGTTGTACAACCATCACCATTATCAGTTTCTAGAACTTTTATCATCCCAAACAGAAAATCTGTACCCACTAAACAATAATTCCTCACTTCCACCACTAACCCCTGATATCCTCCATTCTATTTTCAGCCTCTATAAATTTGCCTATTCTAGGTACCTCATATAAGTGGAATCATAACAATATTTGTCCTTTTGTGTCTGCCTCATTTCACTTAGCTTAATGTTTTCAACTTTCCTTCATACATACAATAGCATGTATGAGATCTTACTCCTTCTTATGACTGAATAACATTCCATGGTACCTATGTAACACGTTATCTATTCATCTGTTGGTGACGTTTGTGGTTTTGCCTCCTTTTGGCTGTTGGAATAATGTTACAAACCAATGGTGTACAAGTATCTGTTTAAGCCCCAGATTTCAATTCTTTTGGATCTATACCATGGAGTGGAATTGCTGGATCACATAATACTTCTTTTGTTTTGTTTTTTGAGATGGAGTCTCACTGTATCACCCAGGCTAGAGTGCAGTGGTATGATCTCGGCTCACTGCAACCTCTGCCTCTGGGTTCAAGCAATTCTTATGCCTTAGCCTCCTGTGTAGCTTGGATTACAGGCATGTGCCAACATGACTGGCTAATTTTTGTATTTTTAGTAGAAATGGGGTTTTACCATGTTGGCCAGGCTGGTCTGGAACTCCTGGCCTCAAGTGATTTGCTGCCTTGGCCTCCCAAAGTGCTGGGATTACAGGCATAAGCCACTGTGCCCAGGCTTTTTTTTTGAGACAGGGTCTCACTTTGTCATCACCTAGGCTGGAGCACTGTGGTGTGAACATGGCTCACTGCAGCCTTGACCTCCTGGGCTCAAGCAATCCTCCTGCATTAGCTCCCACAAAGTAGCTGGGACTATAGGTGCATACCACCATACCTGGATAATTTTTGTATTTTTTGTGGAGATGGGGTTTTGCCATGTTGTCCAAGCTGGTCTTGAACTCCTGAGCTCAAGTGATCTTCCCACCTTGGCCCTTAAAGTGTTAGGATTACAGGTGTGAGCCACTGTGCCCAGCCTTGGATCATATAGTACTTCTGTGATTTTGAGGAACTACCAAACTGTTTTCCATAGTGACTTCTCCGTTTTACATTCCCATCAGCCATGTACGAAGGTTCCAATTTCTTTTCATCCTCACCAACACTTTTCTGTCTTGATTTAAAAAATTATACTCATCATAGTACAAATGAAGTGGTATCTCATTTTTTCATTATTGAATAACAGTTTTGCTGGATATAGAAATCTTGGTTTACAGTTCTTTCTTTCATCACTTTGAATATGTCATCCCATTGCCCTCTGGCCTTCATGGTTTCTGATAAGAAGTCAGTTGCTAATCTTATTGAGACTCCTTACATGTGATGTACCAATTTTCTTTGCTCCTTTAAAGATTCTGTGTCTTTTAACGGTTTGACTGATATGTCTAAGTGTGGGTTTTTAAAAATTTTGTCCTACTTGGAGTTCATTGAGGTTCTTAGATACACAATTTTTAAAAAAATCAAATTTGGGAAGTTGTTGGCTATTTTTTTTTTAAATATTGTTTCTGACCATTTCTCTTCCTTCTCTCCTTTTGAGACTCCCATTATGCATATGTTGGTATGCATGATAGTATCCCACAGGTCTCTGAGAGTCTGGTTTTTTTTTTTGAGACAGGGTTTTGCTCTGTTGCCCAGGCTGGAGTGCAGTGGTGTAAACATGGCTCACTGCAACCTTGATGTCCTGTGCTCAATTTTCCCATCTCAGCTTCTTGAGTAGCTGAGACTACAGGTGCATGCCACCATGCCTGGCTAAATTTTTAATTTTTTTGTAGACATGGGGTCTCACCATGTTGCCCAGGCTGGTTTAGAACTCCTGAGCTCAAGCATCTTCCTGCCTTGGCATCCCAAAGCACTGGGATTACAGGTGGGAGCCACAGTGCCTGGCCTCATTCTTCTTTTTCTTTCTGGTTCTCAGGCCAGATACTCTCAATTGAGTCTTCAAGTTTTCTGATTCCTTTGCTAGTTCAAATTTGTCAAGTCCCTCTAGTAAACGTCTCACTTTAGCTATTGTACTTTTTAACTCTAACAGTTTTATTTTTTCATAATTTCTCTTATCTATTTGATAACTGTTCATATACTTTAAATTCTTCAGGCACAGGTTTTTTCTTTGAATATCAAAATATTAGCTGGTTTAAAATCTTTGTCTAGTAAGTCCAATGTTTGGTCTTCCTAAGCAATATTTGCTATTGACTCCCCCCACCATTATATGAGCCATATTTTCCTGTTTTCTTTGACTGTTTTGTATATTTGTTGTTGTTGTTAAAAACCGGACATTTTAAGTAGTATGACAATTCTGGAAATCACATTCTTCCTTTCCCAGTGTTTGTTGTGCTCTATGTCCAGAAGTCTTGAGAAATCAAAGGGTTTCTTGTCAGAAGATCTCATGACAGTGAAAAGAATAAAAGGATGGAGGCAAAAATTGACCTAATTTTCTGGCCATAAACATAGAAAAATACTTCACAATGGTCTATAAAAACGTAATTATAAAGATCATTTTCATACAGCTAAGGAAGTTAAAAAAAAAAAAACCCAACCTCCTATTTCTTGAATTGTAGCAATTAAGTCTTGTCCTAAGACTCAAGTTCGAACGCTAGTTCTGTCTTAGACTACTACTTGAATAAATGATGTAATTTCTCAGAGCTTGTTTCCTCATTTGTAAAACGGAGATAGTACTTGCTAGCACTGTTGTGTGAAGGAGGGAAATATAGGTGTGAAAGTACTTTTTAAAAAGTAAAGTGCCATGCTCAGCGTATGCACATGAGGGTTTGAGTTGTGGGTTATGGAGAGAGTTGTCAGGTGATTTAAATAAATTCTTATTTAAACAAACTTATTTAAATAAGGGCTAGAATATACCTAGAACGTTTAACATGGAAATATATTTACAAATAGAAAACACTTTATAAAATTTCATCTTGGAGTATGTAAATTCTTTCTAAAAGTTGATTTACTTTAAAAATTTTGTCTGAATAATTCATAAGTCAAAACAATTTTTTAAAAGAGGACACATCAGAAGTCTCTCATGCCTGTCCCTTTCACCTGGGTTCCCTTGTCTTGCTCTCTGCCACAGTTTTGCTTCCTTTCCTGTCAATATTCTCTTATCCAAATATGAGAAAATATGACTATGTACCCTCTGAGTTTTATTTGCAATATCATTGTACAATAAATTCTTATCACCCTTTTCTTGCTCATCAGTGGCCAAGATAATAAATTGGTCAGTTACACAGCAAATAGCAGGCCTAGGACTCAAGTCCAGGCTTGCTAGTACCAAGGTACCACATCTACTTTGTTTTGCTACGTTGTGAACTTTCTGTGAAATAGGGTAAATCTTTCAGAAAACTGTGTATACAGCTGTGTTCTTAAAAATATCTGCCTTTCAGATTGGTGGACCAGACAGTTCACGGCTGACTTCGCGTTTGGGGAATCAGTATGTCAACGTGATGAACATGCTTCTTTTCACACTCCCTGGAACTCCTATAACTTACTATGGAGAAGAAATTGGAATGGGAAATATTGTAGCCGCAAATCTCAATGAAAGCTATGATATTGTAAGTTGAATACAACTTGACTATTCATCACAGCTATAAAACCAAGTATTCATTTTTTATTTTTTGCCAAATCAGAGAACTTACTATCTCTCTATTGCATTGCTGAAAATCATGGTTACTTTGCTTTTCTTTCTTACTGTTAGTAAGAATTCTCAGCTTTCTTGGTGGTCTGAGAGCTTATTTTAAAAATGCTTTGGAGCCATACAACTAAAAGTTTCTTGGGTAGGGCATTTTAAAGATGTTTTCTACCTGATAGGCACATTAAAATTTATTTATTTATTTTGCCAGGAATACTGTGTTGAGAGGCACACTAAAATTGGAGAACCGGTGGTTTAGTTTAGAATATGACTCATTTCCCTCTACTTGAAATGTGGAGTTAGGAACACTTATTTCTTTAGTTCTCATTTGTCCTGTTTGGTCTTGGGTGACCACAGCACAAGGACCCTTTTCTTTTCTGTTATCAGGTGCAGTGCACAGCCTCAGAGTTAAGCAGTTTTTATTTTGTAGCTACAGATTTCAGAATTGTGTTGCTGGGTAGACGACTATCTTGCAACTTTAATTGCCTAGTTAGCTTTCAACTATATGAGATCCAATTTCCCTAATATTTGATTAAGGTGAAGCTTTTTTCCCTCTATCAGCTCCTACATTTGTGTGTGTGCACTCATGAGCAATAATCAGGCTGAATAAACGAGTAGGACAGAATTCATACTCACTTGTACATGGCAGTGTTCTTAAATTCACCAACACTGTACCATAGTAGAAGTCGTGTAAACTGGCAATAGCACATTTTGAAATCCTGTATTATTGATTTTTAGGAAAAAGCAGCAGAGATTTCAAGCATGTATTAAAGTTCGATTAGTATTGTCTATTCAAACTCAAAATGTTATTAGGTACTTTCTAGTTAAAAGGGTGAAACTGGTTTATGTACCGAAAGTTGAGGCCTTTTCATCACAAATGCTAATGAGTACAAACACTAGCTAAGAACTATGGGGAATTAAATAATTATGAAGTAAATCAGGACCAAAGCACATTTCTTCTAATAACCAAACCACTGTTTTCCCTTTCTGGTCTTTTGACATAGAATACCCTTCGCTCAAAGTCACCAATGCAGTGGGACAATAGTTCAAATGCTGGTTTTTCTGAAGCTAGTAACACCTGGTTACCTACCAATTCAGATTACCACACTGTGAATGTTGATGTAAGTATCAGTGAAAATTTTATGTTGATTCTAGAAACAAAGAAATGGGTTTCTACTGAAAGTACACACTCACCCTGAATGTGTCTAAACCTTAACGGATACTCTTTAAATCAATCACAGACTTCCTTGCAGTTTTCCATTTGTAAGGAGTTTGTAAATCATGCCTTTGTGAAAATACAAACTGGTACAAATCTACCAAGTGAAGTGAAGTATCATATAGAATATACAAGTCTTCATTGCAATGACCTTTACTAAGGCCTTTGAGCTATGAAGGAAATTTTATGAAGTTTTTTAGCTAGCCCAGCTGCCTTTCCTCCTCTCTTCCCCTCAAAAGGCAGGGAGAGAGGCGAGTGGATAGGCAGCCATGCAGGCAGTAAGGAGATCAATCAATCAACCCAGAGCAAGGCTCAAATCCACACTACTGTTCTGAAGAAACAGAAGCCATACATGATCCTTAAAGTGGTTGCTCTGGCATACTAATACAACTTTGGCTTTTACCCTTTTTTCTGTTCCCATAGTGATCAAGCACTAATGTCATTCACTAGTGAAAACTTCACTGGAAAACAAACTAAACCAATTTAGGGGAAATGAAATTATAGATGCCACATGGAGATAGTTAAGAAATGCATAGCACCCTCTGCCACACACACACACACACCATGCCCATCCCACTCTACTGAGTAATCTGAGGAAACTCCCCAGGATATTCAGATATAGAAAGCCACACAAACCCTCCTGCTCCCACAGCTCCCTGCTACAAGCACCACTGAGAATTCTTGGATAGTATAAGCTTTGTTTTATATAGTTGTAAGTCTTGAAGACACAAAATATATATGGGTTGAATGCCTCTTGATTCTCATTATGTCTAAAATATTCCCATAGGCCAAGGCCAATCTGAATACAGTATGTAGGAAGTCCTACATAAAAATGCATACCAGCAAAGATGGAGAAAATGCAAATTAAAACAGTGATTTTTTTTTTTTTTTTTTTTTTTTTTGAGATGGAGTTTTGCTTTTGTTGCCCGGGCTAGAGTGCAATGGTGTGGTCTTGGCTCACCGCAACCTCCATCTCCTGGGTTCAAGCGATTCTCCTACCTTGGCCTCCCAAGTATCTGGGATTACAGGTGCCCGCCAGGCGCCTGCCACCATGTATGGCTAATTTTTGTATTTTTAGTGGAGACGGGGTTTCACCATGTTGGGCAGGCTGGTTTCAAACTCCTGATCTCAAGTGATCCGCCCACCTCGGCCTCCCAAAGTGTTGGGATTACAGGCGTGAGCCACTACGCCCAGCCAACAATGACACTTTTTTCTAAGTCATAAATCCCAGACAATGCCATTTTAATAAAATACATCCAAATGACCCTGGAAAGGAACAGAAAATTTAAGTAATTTCTAAAATACATAAAGTAAAATTAGGGCTGGGCACCATGGCTCACAGCTGTAATCCCAGCATTTTGGGAGGCAAAAGCCAGAGGAATGCTTGAGCACAGGAGTTTGAGACCAGCCTAGGCAATATAGTGAGACCTTGTTTCTACCTTCCCCCTACCCCCGCCAAAAAAAAAAAAAAAGGGAAATTAGCTGGGCCTGGTGACATGTGCCTGTCATCCCAGCTACTCAGGAGGCTGAGCCCAAGAGATCAAGGTTGCAGTGAGTTGTGATTACCCCAATGCACTCCAGCCTGGGTGCCAGAGTAAGACCGCCTCAAAAAAAAAAAAAAAAAAAAAAGCAGAGAATAGAAGTGGGAGTCTAAAACATACAGGAGAAAAACAGTTCTAACAGAGACAGCACTGTAGGAATTTCCTGAACTCCTGCAATTTGCCATGGCATAATTTCCCTAAGGAAAAAAAAATCTAGAACTGTTTGGTGATCACATGCATGGCAGAATTAGTAGAACAAAGCCTGAAGCTTCTACAAGTGCATCAAAGAAAGAAAAGAAGGAAAACAAGACCTAACTCTAGCACTGTCCCCTGGCGAGAATTCACTGTGGAATGCTCTCAGAAAGGAGAGCTTTTACTACTCAGCTCAGAGTCACAGACACCAGGAGAAAAAAGGTGGGAATCTAGAAAGCTTATCACCTTCAAGTAGGAAAAGAACCCTACATCCCAATGTCCCAAAGACAAGTCAGACCCACATCCAACTTGGCTTCCCATTATGAGAGGCAGGCAACCAAAGACAGGCAAACAAGGAAGGTCAAAACACAAAAGCAAACAGATCAAGAATCACACAGCATCTGAGAAAAACCAAGGCCATAAAAGGGAGACACCATTCCTAACAGAACACTGTAGAAAGCAGAGAAAATTATAGCAAACATAAGACTTAAATATAAGTATAAATACCCCCAGTAGATTGCTGTTTAATGGAGCTCCTTGACATTCTTTCAAGAAGTGATTAGATCTCTCAGAAGTATAAAAGACTGTCAAACAATGAAATAAAATAGAACATAAGTGCTAATTAGTGTGCTGAAAAATTGATCCAGGGGCTTGTCCAGAACGTACTGAAAAAGACAAAGAATTAAGAGCATAAGAAAAAATCGGGATACATGGAAGATAGATACAGAATTCCGTACATGCAGTAACAACAATTGCACAGGAGAACAGACTGGAGGAAACATACAAAGAAATAAAATACATAACCCAGAGATAAAGGAAGACTTTGTCTTCTTTCAGAACAGGTAGGATAAAGAGAACTCCAAAACTACTCAGAAAGAAACCAAACCTGAAAATAGATTGCCTGAGAAAAGGGTTGAGAATTGGACTAGCATCAGACTTCTCAATTGGATACTACACCACATTAGAACTCTATCTTCAAAGTTGTAATGGAAACGGAATTCTGTATCCATTCAAAGAGCAAAACAGAGATGGAAAAGCAAGGACCCACATTTTACCATGTGTGGCCACTTTCTGAAAGAATAGTCAAGGGACTATCCAACAAAACATAACAATTCTAAGAGATACAATGTATTAAAGAAGGAAAAGGAAATAACTTGATTTAAATAATTTTTGATACACAATGTAAAACAAGGTATTCTGGAACAAAAATCTTAGTGATTTGATTCTATATGGGAAATGTTAGCAGGGAGGGTGTGTGGGTGGGAGGGGGCACACAGGAGCAAGCAAATGAGAGAGCAGTGTTTGTTTTGCACAGGAAAAAGAGTAACTCTAGATTTGAGCTGTTCAGTAGCCATTAACCACTGTGACTATTACATTAAATAGAATTAAACATTTAGTTCCTGCTGGGTATGGTGGCTCACGCCTATAATCCCAGCACTTTGGGAGGCCAAGACTGGAGGATCACTTGATCCTAGGAGTTTGAGACCAGCCTAGGCAACATAGTAAGACCCTATCTATCTCTTAAGAAAAAAATTAGCTGGGCATAGTGGCACACACCTGTAGTCCCAACTACTCAGGAGGCTGAGGTGGGAGGATCACTTGAGCCCAGGATGTTGAGGCTGCAGTGAGCCATGATCATGCCACTGCACTCCAGCTTGGGCAACAGAGGGAGATTGTGTCAAAAAAAAAAAAAAAATTCAGTTCCCATGTCATAGCAACACTTCAAGTGCTCATTAGCTGCCATATTGGATGGCTCTGATATAGAACATTTCCAGCATTACAGAAAGTTCTATTGGCCAGCATTGTTCTAGACATTGAGAAACATTATTTTCAAGTGGTCATAATTTTAATGGTAAAATTAGGACATAAAAATAATTTTCAAAGAATTATTTTCAAAGAACACTAGACATAAAATATAACAATTTTCAAATTTTCAAAGAATACTAGAAGAAAAAAATTATACAGTCAATCCAACAAAAAGCTTAATAGAAAAAAACCCTAAACAATAGTATAACTACAAATAAAATAGGGCTTCCGAATTATGTCTAAATAATACAATAATTACAAATATGAATGGGTTAAATTAGCCTATTAAAAGATAAAACCACTCAGATAACAAAAACAGACATAAGAAACACTAACATAAAACACAAAGAATTAAAATGAAGATATAGCAAGCAAATAATAGAAAGCTTGCAACCCAGCTATAGCTATAAACACAAAAAATGAAGTTATCTTTTGACCTAATAATTCCATTCCTAATACTTAGAAATATTTGCACATGTGCACAATAATACTTAAAGGATCTCAACACTGTTTTTTTTTTTTTTTGAGACAGTCTTGCTCCGTCACCCATGCTCGAGTGCAGTGGCGTGATCTCGGCACACTGCAGCCTCTGCTTCCTGGGTTCAAGTGATTCTCCTGCTGCAGCCTCCCAAGTAGCTGGGATTACAGGTGCACGTCATTATGCCCGGGTAATTTCTGTATTTTTTAGTAGAGATGGTGTTTCACCATGTTGGCCAGGCTGGTCTTGAACTCCTGACCTCTGGTGATCTGTCTGCCTTGCCTCCCAAAGTGCTAGGATTACGGGCCTGAGCCACCTTGCCTGGCCTGCAAAATTTGTTTTTAATAGAAGACACAAGAAATGATTTAAATATTTTATCAACAGAAAACCAGTTCTATCAACTATGGGCCCAGTATGCAGCTTTTAAAAATGACAGTTCTATATACATTGATATGAGACCATTTCAAACAGGTATTCAATAAAGTATAGAATGGTAACATATCACCAACTGTGTAAAGAAAAATATATAAACATATGAAATGATACATTCTGTGCCTATGCAAACATATGATACATTAAAAACAAAAGAACATATAGTGCCTGTCTCTGAGGGGAACTGTGAAGCTATGGAAAGGTGTTGAAGAAAACCTTTTTATAGTATGTATTCTTGTAATTGAATAAAAAATAAAATTACAAAAATCAGGCTTGGAAGTATTTAATAGCAGACAAAATATAGTTCAATATGAAAAGCATTATATGAGACAAAGGCAATTTTCAAAAATTGATAAAACATTCCACCAAAAATCATGACTACGCATCTAACAGCTTCAAAATATAGAAAATACTCAAATGCAAAATCAACAAATCTGCAATTACAGAAAAAGACTTCAACATACTTTTAGAAAGTAGTAACTCAAGTAGACAATAATAGCTAACACTTACCGGGCACTTCTTATGTGAGTGGCACTGAAACATGTGCTTTCATGCATTACCTAAGGCTAGAGAAAATGTTAATAACTTAGACAAGTCATACATGTATCATAAATATCTTTGTACCTGACAAACAGAATAAACATCTTTTTAAACACCATTAGATAATTATTTAAAGACCACATATTGGGAACCTACCCCTAAAGAACAATAACAACCACAATAACAACTATCACCCCAGTAAACATGGCTGGCAAGAATACAATTAAATGAACATTATCACTGATTTGGCAACAGCTCTTATGAAGAATAATTTGGCATTATGTATCAAGTGCCCATACTCTTTGACAAAGTAACTGTCTTTCTGATAATCTATCTTAAGTAATACAAAAATGGGGGGAGGGGAATAAAAATACAAAATATTAGAAACACTATCGTCAAAATGAAAGGGCATGGCTGAGTATGGTACAACCGTTCAACAGAATATTGTCATTAAAAACATTTATGGAGGCTATATTATATAGTCAATAACAGAAAATGCTTGAAAGGTTAGAAGTACATCATCAAATTATGTTTTATATAGCTGTAAAATAAACCCAAATCATCTTTAATGAACACATACTATTATGGTAAAAAAAAGTCTACAATTTCTAACTTTCACCTTAGGCAGCTTTTTATTTTGCATCCTTTTTTTCAACTTTGTCTTCTATTAGCTGTGCAAGAAATACATGTCTGCTAAAGTTACACGATCTTCGCACAACAGCAACCTACACATTAGTCTACAAAGGGGAACAAACCCAAATTCCTCAGAAGTCTGAGTCCACTGTTGCCTTCTTTCTGGCCATCTGGCAGTTACAATATAGCACAGAATGACTATGCAAGTTAAATATTCATCTTAGACATGGACATTTGCTTTGGGACTCCTAAAGTGGAGTCAAATTTGATCTCTACAGAAACTCTACAATGTAGCAGAGCACTGTGCGTACTTATTGACTCCCAGACAAGCCGAAACCCCGAATTTGTCATTTCTATCAGTTTTTATATAAATTGTTCTTACCTACTTATTGATGCTTACAATTTGGCAATTATAAGGGGCAAAATTGGAGCAAGTGTTTTGGGTAAATAACTCCTTACAATATATTAAAAATACTTACAAACAATTCTTAGAATCAAACACTTACGTAAATACTTTTTTAAAAAAATAGGTCCAAAAGACTCAGCCCAGATCGGCTTTGAAGTTATATCAAGATTTAAGTCTACTTCATGCCAATGAGCTACTCCTCAACAGGGGCTGGTTTTGCCATTTGAGGAATGACAGCCACTATGTTGTGTACACAAGAGAGCTGGATGGCATCGACAGAATCTTTATCGTGGTTCTGAATTTTGGAGAATCAACACTGTTAAATCTACATAATATGATTTCGGGCCTTCCCGCTAAAATGAGAATAAGGTTAAGTACCAATTCTGCCGACAAAGGCAGTAAAGTTGATACAAGTGGCATTTTTCTGGACAAGGGAGAGGGACTCATCTTTGAACACAACACGAAGAATCTCCTTCATCGCCAAACAGCTTTCAGAGATAGATGCTTTGTTTCCAATCGAGCATGCTATTCCAGTGTACTGAACATACTGTATACCTCGTGTTAGGCACCTTTATGAAGAGATGAAGACACTGGCATTTCAGTGGGATTGTAAGCATTTGTAATAGCTTCATGTACAGCATGCTGCTTGGTGAACAATCATTAATTCTTCGATATTTCTGTAGCTTGAATGTAACTGCTTTAAGAAAGGTTCTCAAATGTTTTGAAAAAAATAAAATGTTTAAAAGTAAATTATGGCTTATAGGAGCTTATAACTTTATTCAGATAGCATCAATCAGGGATGACCAGAACACATTAGGACCCCAGATTATTCAAAAACTTTAACGAATTTTAAGGGGAAGAATTTTATCTTTTCCCTTAAAATGCAGTCATAGAAATTAGAGGATGACTCACTGCCACAGTGTCTAAAAGCATTTGCTAGCAAAGAGGCAGGACACTAATTTGTAAACTGCTCAACTGTTCTGACTGGAAGGGAGGCCTGGAGCTCTGCTATCACCAATCCTTCCCTTCCCTCTACTCCACATCCTTCTAAGGAGCATGATTTGAAAATTACTTTCCTAGGTTAATGGGCATGTGCATCAATGGAGAGAATAGTATAAGCAAGTGAGATGTAGACTAAGCAAAATTTAGATGGAGAAGCACATTTTAAAAAATTAATAACTTAAAAGTCTCAAGTTATTAATTTTTTTTTTGCTAACTCAATTGGAAGTAAGACTATGAAATATTTCAGTGTGTTTCCAATTCCCAGTTGAATGCAGTGTTTCAGAATTTCAGGTATTTCTTAAGATCCTCGAAAACACTGGTGCTGTCAAGTCCAAGTTCCTCGTACAGGAATTTAATTTGGGCTGTAATCTAAAAGAAACACATTAAAAAAATTAAATAGAAGGCCTTTGTAGTAAAATGCCACTGTTTAAGCTTCTCTTTATCTATCCATCTTTACCTAACCGTGAAGTCAGCAATTTATGGCAAGAATACTTTCATTCGAGAGAGAGGCAGAAGGCTTCCAACAATTAAGATTAAATTATTTTCTTTAACAGAGCTCACGTATCAAGTACAAGAGAGAGACATTTCTCTTGATTGACACAGTGTCCCTCCCTCCCCTCCTGGGTCTCACCCATAGATAGGACATTTGTGAAGTGGCTTTGTCATAAACCTGCTGCAACCACTGAAAATGTGAAAACAACATGTATCTAGTTCGGGAATCTGTCCACTGAGAGGGCCTTGATAACATACCTTTTTGTGAGAATCCTCAATTACATGATTGCCTCCAGGCTGAATATCTAGAATAATATTAGGGGTCTGATAGCCTGGAAGAGTTAACATGTAGAACAATTAGAAGATTGTATGGGATCTTCTTTGGAAGATCGAGACCCATTCCTCCCCTCTTCTTTGAGTACTCAGTTCAAATAATAGTAAAGGAATAAAAAGCAAAAACCACCATCATCAACAAAAAGATGGGAGGGGACAAGCAACAGAAGACAAACTTCTGACACAGCGAAAGCAGGAAGAGGCCGTATGGAAAAGACTATATGGTGCCACACGGACAAGGTTGAAACCCAGGAGATCATCAACCTGCCCTGTGGAATCTGAGAGTCTTATGCCCTGGAAACACCAACTACAGCAATGGATGGGGGTGACAAATGGAGATGAATACAGGGAGACTGATATGGCATGTAGTTTCAAGGCAAAAGGGAGGGATTCTTATCTCATAAAGCTGAAACAGCTAGCTAGAGGAAATTCATGCAGCTAAACAGTTTGGGCACTGATGGCCCAAAACAAAAATCTCAGAATCTGTCTTTTAGAGATTCCCAAGAATAACGGCTCAATAAATATTGTTAAATGAATTAATAATTGTATGGCAGTGCATCTCCAAGTTATATCTGATTCTTAAATTTCCTGTTTCCTTTGTGTCCTGCCTATCTATTTTAATACTGTCCTTTGAAAAAGAGGTGAGGCAGTGTATGTATAGACATGTAGTTACGTACACTTTAACTGGGGAGTCAACATAGCAAAATAATTGTTTGCCCTAAATCCTGGGCAGATGATTTGGCTACAGCCTGAAATATATTCCTCTGAGCAGTGTGCTGTGGGTAGTAGTCTGTTTGGCCATGTTCCCTGCTTCTAGGGGGTCTCCTACCTTCACCTGTGTCCTTAGCATGCTCCGCGATGGCTTCCTTGAGTTTCTCAGTATAACTTACAATTCCTTTCAGAGGTACCCGTTCATCGTTTTCATATGCCGTTATGTGAATTGAAGGATAATGCTGAAAGAAAATACATGCACGAAGAGTTTACATTATTTCTTATGGTCCCTTGCCACTATAGAGACTATGAAAAATAATTACCTCCAATTTTTCCCTGTAAGTGCTCTATGCTTTTTCTCACTTGCTATCTTGAGAGCGCCTCAGTATTACAGTAGTAGACTACTTGTTATCTGGAATAGCCTTTTCTTGACTAAAGGACCTTAGCTAATTTAGTAATTAAGGCATGATAAGTCTATTCCCCTGAGGTATTAAACATGGAGCATGAGCAGAGATGGTGCTGAAGATATTTGGGCATCATAAGTAGAAACATCTCTAAAGCTCCTATTTTTGCTTCAGCTTGGATAAGTTTTTTTTTTATTATCTTCTGTGTAAATTCAGGATAATCTAACACAATTGTCTTTCACTACCTGAGGTTTAATATTTTGATAGGGACAGTAACGTTTTATGTAGTTCTTGTGTTTTTCATCAGATGAAGGATTCCCCCATTCTTCTAATTCTTCTAATGTCAGAGGAAGTGTAGTGTCCATCATGGTGTTGAGAACATCCAAGAAAGGTGCCTAAAAAAAAGGCAAAGAAACTTATACTTCAAGTAAGAGGTTGGTAAGTGAGTTTCAGAAAAACATTCTATTTTATGAATATACATACTAATATGAGAGAAAATAACTCAAGCCATGTAGATTCCTAGGAGCTAGAATACTCAGTCCTTAACCAGGGCCTGTAATTTATAACCTACTTTTAAAGTCTTCAGATTCCTTAAATGACATATAACAAGAAATGGTTTATCTTCTAATTTCACAATATTTATTTTTAGCTTAGTACCTTTTATTCATTTATATTTTTTCTTATATAAAAGCAATAAATGCTACTGTCTCATACCAATTAGGACAGTTAGTTATTATATTAAAACAACAACAACAACAACAAGTATTGGCAGTAATGTGGAGAAACCGGAATCCTGATACACTGGTGGTTGGAATGTAAAATGGGGGAGCTGCTTTGGAAAACAGTATGGTGGTTCATCAAAGAGTTAAGCTTAAGATTACCATATGATCCAGCAATTCCACTCCTGGCATATAATCCCCAAAACTGAAAGCAGGGTCTTAAAGAGATCTGCATACCTATGTTCACAGCAGCATATTCACAACAGCCAAAAGGTGGAAGCAACTCAAGTGTCCATTAACCAAAGAACGAATAAGCAAAATGTGGTATACACATGCAATATTACATGGAATATTATTCAGCCTTAAAAATGAATAAAATTCTGATCCACGCTACAATATGGATGAACCTCAAGGATATAATCTAAGTGAAATAAGCCAGTCACAAAAAATTTTGTATGACTCCACCTATGTGAGGTGTTTGAGTAGTCAAATTCACAGAGACAGAGGCTGTGGGAAGAAGCAAATGGAGAGCTGTTTAATCGGTACAGGGTTTCAGTTTTGTTAAGATGAAAAACGAGTTCTGGAGATTGACTGCATAAGCCTATGAGTGCACTTACCACTACTGAACTATTCACTTAAAAATGGTTGAGATGGTAAATTTTATGGTATTTTACCATAATTAAAAATTTTTAAATGAAAAAAATACACAAGGAATAAAGTCTTTTTGACCAGTTGGACATTTTATATTAAAAGCAAAAAACGCTAAGTAAAGAAACTCTGCAAAATACCCAAGGTGAAAGAAGAGAAAACAACCCATTGGCTTATAATTAGTGTTACAAAATTTAATAAAACGAAGGCTGGGTCGCACATGGTGGCTCATGCCTGTAATCCCAGCACATTGGGAGGCTGAGGTGGGCAAATCACTTGAGCCCAGGAGTTTGAAACTAGCCTGGGTAGCATGGTAAAACCACATCTCTACAAAACAACAACAAACCACAAAAATTAGCAGGGCATGGTGGCACATGCCTGTAGTCCCAGATACTCAGGAGGCTGAGGTGGGAGGATCACCTGAGCCCCAGAGGTCGAGGCTGTAGTGAGCTGTGTTCGTGTGCCATTGCATTCCAGCCTGGGTGAAAGAGCAAAACTCTGACTCAAAAAACAAAACAAAACAAAACAAAAAAACAAAAACCCCACAAAAACAACAAAACAAAAATGAAGGCTGTATTTTTCACTTAGCTTTATTTTCTTCTGTTAACATACTTTTTAGCTTTCCCTCATATTAACATTAACCAAGTATAGTGAGTCATCTGTAATTCTTTTTGGCTGCCTACCATATGAACTTTTTTGCATTTGAAAAACCTCCAACCTTATCAGCTAGAGCCTGCCTCTCACTGTGGAGATACTAAGTGCTAGACTTCTCTTTCCCATTTTTCCCTGCAGCTTGGGAGTAGCTGTGTGACCCATGTGTGACTTGGGTCTATCAACCAGACACATGTGCTTTACACTCTGCATGGAAAGTTAGTGATTCAAAGAAGCAGTGATCACAGATAATTTATTCTGGCAAAAGTGCCACAGCTATATCCAGCTCTAGAAGTTGCACTGGCAGTGTGAGGTGATTTGTGCTTGGCAGTGGCGGCAGTAATAGTTTCATTGGGCCAATTCTATGCCTTTGGCTCTGAAGCCTCTAACACTGGTCTGAAGACACCTACATTTTCCTAATGCCCTTTAATCCCTTTTCTGCTTAAATTAGGGTTGATTTTTGGTGCTTATAAGAAGAATTTGACTTATACATGTATAAAAGGTTGTCTCCTAGTCTTCACTATAATAAGCAACCTAGCATAAATATCCTTCTCATCATTTCCTTTTAAATTTCTAAAAGTCAAAATCTAGTTGCTTTGTCTTTAAACTGTAAATAATTCTGCCATTATCTTTGTGCATAGGCTATTCTCCACATTTTTCTGTTTTTAAAAAATAGACTTACAGGTGACTACTATTTAACACTTATTTACAAGCCCACAGTATAAACTCCCCAACCTCAAAATAAAAAATCCTGAAAATAATTTACTCTCTCCCATCTCAGTCATTATTTTTCAGAGTAACCTAGAAGTAGGAGAATGATAGCAGTGAAACCAACTGCTACAATGTAACTTCGTAATTTCTGACACTGGGAAAAGATAATCATTTTCAGAACAGGGTAAGATATTTCAATTAAAATACGGAAAAACTATGCCCAAACGACCATTAAGAATGGACTATCTAAAAATAAAGAGCCTATAAATCTAGGACTGAAATGTTGATGGGCAGTAGCCTGTCAAGGTGACCAGGAGCCAAAGGACTCAGTGCATTCCAGAGTCACAGCGTGCTTTGCCTGGCTTTCTCAACTGGGACTCATATATGCTTCAGTGCTTTTTCACCAATTCTAAATGTCCTTACAAATACAAATGAGCAATGGAAATAGCCATTAATATCTTTCAGTGGAAAGCCTTAAAGATAATAAAGAACACTGTATCAGAGAAGAATAACGGTTAATAGTTGGATTAAAATAACTTTAGAAGTTCTCCTCAAGCTATAATTCTGAGTTTAAAACTTAAAAGCTTTGTTATACTCCTATGCTATGGTAAAACTGTAACAGAAATGTTTTTCTTTCCTTTTTTTTTTTTTTTTTTGACAATGTCTCACTCTGTTGCCCAGGCTGGAGCACAGTGGTCCACTGCAGCCTCAACCTCTTAAGAGATCCTCTTACCAACAAGCCTGGGTAGGTTTTTTTTTTTTTTTAATTTCTTGCAGAGACAGGGTCTCGCCATGTTGCCCAGGCTGGTCTCGAGCTCCTGGTAAGCAATCTGCCCACCTCAGTTTCCCGAAGTGCTGGGATTACAGGCATGAGCCGCTGTGCCAGCCCAAAAACATTTTTCTTAGAGTAGCCTATGGCTTCACACCTCCCCCATTCTATAAACAGTAGAGACAGAGCGTACTCACCTCCAAAGTCACCGCTCTCACCAGCTCTGGATTAGAATTACACAATGCTCCTGCAAGCACCCCTCCAGCACTGAAAGCAGTCAGGGTTGTTAGACTTGGCTGAGAAAAGCCTTGGCCATGAAGCGTCTTAATGCAAGCCTCTAAATCAGCAAGGCCATTGAGTTTTTTAGTTAGGCGGCCATCAGCGTGCCACTGGAGGCCTAACTCACCACCACCTCTGAAATTGAAGGGCAAAAAAGTTTTAGTGGAAAAAAAAAGTTAATACTGTAGGCTGGGGTCAGCGAACTACACCTGGAGGCCTGTTTTTTGTGTGGCCCTGGAGCTAAGACTGGTTTTTGCTTTTTAAAGGTTGAGTGAAAACAAGGAATGTGCAACAGAAACTGTACGCGGCCTGCAAAGCTTAAAATGTGACTATGTAGCTCTTTAGAGAAAAAGGTTTGCCAACTCCTGATATAGACAATCCAGAATTGATTCAACGAATATATTTTGAGTGCCTGCCCATTTATCAGGGATTAAGTACAGACCTTAAAAGTAGAAACAAACGAAAATCCCCTACCGTGGAGAAGACAGTAATTTTGTGGGGTAAGAAAACAACGACTTACCCAGCAATGTGGTGTCATTGCTACAATACAAGTGTATTTAAGGTATTACAGGAGCAGAGGAAAGAACATCCATCTGCCAGGTGAGGGGTATATACACGAGTCAGGAACACAAATGCTTTTAAGGAGATGATGCCTAAACTGAGTTGTGAAGGAAAAATTTGAGTTTCCAGAGGGCAAAGAAAAGGCATTAAGACACAGATACGACACAGCATGTATAAGGGCAAGGAGGTGACAGAGCATGTCATTTAAAAGACATGACTTTGGGGGCTGGACACAGTGCCTCAAGCCTGTCATCTCAGCATTTTGGTAGGCTGAGGTGAGCAGGTCACTTGAGGTCAGGAGTTTGAGACCAGACTGGCCAACATGGTGAAACCCCCGTCTCTCCTAAAAATAGAAAAAATTAGCCAGGTGTGGTGGTGCGTGCCTATAAGCCCAACTACTCGGGAGGCTGAGGCAAGAGAATTACTTGAACCTGGGAGGCGGAGGTTGCAGTGAGCGGAGATTGCGCCACTGCACTCTAGCCTGGGAGACAGAGTGAGACTCCATCTCAAAAAAATACAAAACAAAATAAAAAAAATAAAAGGACATGATTTTGGAAGGCTGAGGCGGGCGGACTGCTTGAGCTCAGGAGTTCGAGACCAGCCTGGGCAACATTGGAAAACCCTGTCTCTACTAAAATACAAAAAAATCGGGCTGGTACGGTGGCTCATGCCTGTAATCCCAGCACTTTGGGAGGCTGAGGCGGGCGGATCACTTGAGGTCAGGAGTTCGAGACCAGCCTGGCCAACATGGTGAAACCCCATCGCTACAAAAATTTCAAAAATTAGTCAGGAGTTATGGCAGGCACCTGTAATCCCAGCTACTCAGGAGGCTGAGGCAGGAGAATCGCTTGAACCCTGGCCAAGATCATGCCACTGCACACTCCAGCCTGGGCGACAGAGCAAGATTCTATCTCAAAAAAAAAAAAAAAAAAATTCAGACAGTGTGGTGGTGTGCGCCTGTAGTCCCAGCTACTCAGGAGCCTGAAGCATGAGAATCACTTGAACCTGGGAGGCAGAGGTTGCAGTGAGCCGAGATTGTGCCACTGCACTCCAGCCTGGGCGACAAAGCAAAACTGTCTCAAACAAAAAAAAAAAAAAAAAAAAAAAAAGGGTCTGATGCTAAATGCCGCTACAGAGATCCATCAGACCATTAGGAGTATTATACTGGGGAATCTGGACTGTGTTCTAGAGATGGGGAGGTGGAGAAGAATTTTAAGCAGAAATACAAAATAATATTTGTGTCTTGAAAACAGCTGAAATAAAATGGAAGTTAAATGGAAAACAGTTCAGATTCAGAGGCTACTTAAACCTGAATTCAGGAGAACTGAAAGGAAATAATAATATTACTAAATAAGTACAGAGTCTGGTACCTCTATGCAAAAATCCTAAAAACCTATCCTTTTGCTTTTTGGATCAACTAATCTGTTAAAGAATCAAGTTTCACCAGTGCTGGTTTAGGAATACAAAAATTGAATAATAAGAATGAAAAAAATAAGCTTTTGTTCCCTGATATATATTGTTATTCTTGACATCTCTCACAATGGTCTAGCACTTACATGCCAGGTAAAATATACTGACTCACCGAACATGGCAGTATGCTAATATCCATCCATCATCCACCAGGACCCGCCTCTCAGGCCTGAAATTCATTTTCAAATCCATTCCATAAGCTCCATATACATGTACCAAGAGAGGTTTCTTCTGCAAGTCCTCAGAGTCAGTTTTGTGGAAAACAGTCATTGGCACTAATTTTCCATCCTAGAAATGAAGAATTACTATGTATGTAAAGAAGAGTCTTTTATAATAACTGTTTTATCCCAATTTAAAATACATTGAGGTGCACTGTCCCCACTTGTGTGCTACCTACTGATGTTGAGCACAAATTTGTTTAAGAAAAAGAATTATGGTCTCTAAAAATAAATCATGGCTTTTGGTTTCAGCTACCTTGCTGTCCTACAGTATTAACCAGAAAAGAGCAGCAAGACTGGCCTGAAAACATTTTATTAAATGCAGCTTTTCATGACAATAATGTAATTTTAAAGAGTTCTTCACTACCTACTATAATTTTAAATTTTCAGATGAAACCAAAATACTTACCAAGGTTAGAAGTCCTAGTATAGCACTCTTCCTATGCCTAAGAGCTAGATATTGGCATTTTTCACTTTTGAGTATCTACAAATATGCTGACTAAAGTCTTACCAGCTCAATTTTCTATATCCTCTGTAGTCGGAATTCTCAACCATTAAGACCTGAAATCTTACTGATGTTACTGATAACTACCACAATCCTCTTCAAAGGCCCATTTAACTTTATTAAAAAAAATTTAAAGTGGTCTTAAAATTTTTCGGTAAAATTCTTTGTAGGGTTAAAGTAAGTTAAATTATTTGTAAGGTTACTAAGTTACTTGTAGGTTATGTAACCATCCCCCAATGTAGCTCAAACTCATCAGTTCCAGTTGATTGAAACTAGGCAGTCTCTGAACAGACAAAAGAACTAATTCTGATCTACCTTTCACACAAAAAAGATAAAGAAATTGGTTTTCACCCTGCTTAAACTAATGAAATAGCACCGTTTACATAAAGAAAATAAATAATACATCCAAGTCACTCTTCATATTTTCATTCTCATTTTGAAAACTTCACTTTGGGGCAATAACTGGAGACAGCAAAATGTAATCAAATAAGGAGGAAATTCTCCTCTCATTCTTCTTTAAAATACCCAAGTTGTTATGACATTGTTAACTTTCACTTTTAGTAAGATTCACTTTTATAAAACTTGATGTAGATTAATTTCTATAAAACACTCTTGGTCTTTTCACTTCCCAACTCTTCCCCAACTTCAATTATACAATCAGAAAAAGTTGCTTGTTGAAAAGTTTTGAAAGGAAGAGGTAAAACAGTAGCTACTCCTGTGATGGGCTGGATCTGGGTTTGCCAGCAGTACTAAAATGCCTGTGGAAAGGTATAGCGCTTCCATTCAGCAGCTGCTTCCCTTCTCCCCTCTTGGCTCTCCAAGAACATGGTGCTTAACTGTTCTTTCCATCTCGGGTCCAATAATTGCAACATTTTGATAGACTAGTCTAATTCCATGTTTGTAAAACCAAATAAAACCTATCTAAAAGATAATACACTAAGTGGGTAACAATGATTATTTCTAAGAGGTGCAGCAAGCAAATGGTACTGAGAAGTAGTCATTTAAGATTTGTTCTGTATTTTTGCATCTGTTCAACAAGCATGTATTGCTTTTGTAATATAAAAATATTAATATTTACTTAAAGATTGTCAGAGAAAAATAAATGAATTAAAGAAAAAAATTCCTAAGAATAAAAGGCTTGTGTTGTAATTCATTGTGTCAGCACATGTGAAATTATCTGATATATGATATGCTAAAGTCTGAGGTTTCCTTAAATTCAAGGCTATAGTTTACATATTAATTTGTTCCCTACTTGCATAAATTTGTATATTCTGTATATTGAGTATACCTGGAATATGGATATTTGTTATTTCCTTTTCTGTGTCTCATCTCTCTCTACTCCTCACCCTGCCAATCTTCCCTCTTTTACTTGATTTTGGCCATAATGGCCTCCTTTATATTTGTTCTTTTTCTGAGACAGGATCTTACTCTGTCACACAGGCTGGAATGCAATGGCGCAATCACAACTCACTGCAGCCTCAACCTCCTGGGCTCAAGCAATCCTCCCACATCAGGTTCCCAAGAAGCAGGGACTACAAGCATATGCCACCATGCCTGGCTAATATTTTTGGTTTTTGTAGAGATGAGGTCTCACTATATTGCCCAGGTTGGTTTCTAACTTCTGGGCTCAAGTGATCCTCCCAGCTTGGCCTCCCAAAGTGTTGGGATTACAAGTTTGAGCCACTGTGCCTAGCCCTACACTTCTTCTGTAGGCTGGAGAGCAGTGGTGAGGTCTTGGCTCACTGCAACCTCTGCCTCCTGGGTTCAAAGGATTCTCCTGCCTCAGCCTCCTGAGTAGCTGACATTACAGGCACCTGCCACCACACCCGGCTAATTTTTTGTATTTTTAGTAGAGATGGGGTTTCACCATATTGGCCAGGCTGGTCTCGACCTCGTGATCTGCCCGCCTCAGCCTCCCAAAGTGCTGGGATTATAGGTGTGAGCCACTGTGCCCGGCCAGCCCTACACTTCTTGAATTGTATAATTTCTCCCCAAATTCAGGGCCTCTATACAAAATGGAATCCCCTATCTCCTTTCTAGTTTACTCTTAATCATCCTAGTGGTCTTACCTGAGACATAACTTCCTTGGAGAAAACTTCCCTGATCTCTCTAGACTAGGTAAAATCCCTTTGCTCTATGCTCCCACTGTACTCAGTATGTCCTCCTTTGCAGCAGTCAGTACATTATTAATGACTTTTTAAACATGTCATCTTTCCTGCTAGATGTATGCTCCATGAGGGCAGGGACTGTATCAGTCTAGTTTACTCTAGTCAACTACCACCTTCACTATTTTTGCCATAACTACATACCAACTCTATTAATTTTTTCTTAAAATCAACTTTAAAAAATCAGACATAAACAACATGTAAAATAAAAAGTTTGACATGCTATAAATTTTCTTTTTTTTTTTTTTTTTTGAGACGGAGTCTTGCTCTGTAGCCCAGGCTGGAGTGCAGTGGCACGATCTAGGCTCACTGCATGCTCCGCCTCCTGGGTTCACGCCATTCTCCTGCCTCAGCCTCCCAAGTAGCTGGGACTACAGGCGCCCGCCACCATGCCCAGCTAATTTTGTGTATTTTTAGTAGAGATGGGGTTTCACCGTGTTAGCCAGGATGGTCTCGATCTCCTGACCTCGTGATCCACCCGCCTCGGCCTCCCAAAGTGCTGGGATTACAGGCGTGAGCCACCGTGCCCGGCCGACATGCTATAAATTTTCTAATCCATGTTAAAACAAACATGAATATTAAGGTTAAAAAAAATTCACCTATCCCTAAAGTCACTTGGGTATTACTGTGGTCTAAGAAATCTACATTAGGAAACCGTGCTAATGTAACTCCAACAACTGCATGGCATCTGGCAAACGGTATGCTTTCAGTAAATGGGAGCTGAAAGTGAAGATTATAAGACCTACCTTGCTTTTGGCTTCTAGACGTAAAACGCGACTAGTCTTTGTGATTGGGTCTTCATGCCCAGTTTCCTCAAACAGTTTGCCTTCTGCAAACTTGTATGTGTAATATTTTGGGGGACGTATTGGAGAGCAAAGTTGAAAGGGGCAGTTCTTTGGGTCAGAATTTGTATCCATTATGAATCCACAGGCCCAAGGAGGGAGCTAAAGAAATACAACAGCTATTTTTATTCTTTATTTAGGCCACCAAGTATCATTAATTAAATTTCTAAGTCTTCTCCAAACAAGATGATGTGGATATCTCGTTTACTTTTTGTTACCACGTCATGCCTCATTCAAGGATTACTTTATCACAACAACATACATTTCAAATAAAAAACAAAACTGTACATTAATGACCAATAAAATAAGACAAACTATAGGAAAATGATTTATCATGATTCTAGCTTTACATGAAATTGCCTTTAACATAAAAGTTTATTTTGGGGTATAATCTTGGATAATAAAATAGTAAAATGGAAGAATAAGAGCAAATCAAATAGTAATTCCAGAACCCACCGACACTGCCAAGATCTCTGTTCTCAAAGAACGTGAAATTCCTCACATGCGTGTGTTTTTCATAATTTACCCACTAGTCCTTACCCTGCTGCCTGGACAGCCACAGTGATGACAGTTATTATTTCAGGGCTATAAACGGGCTCAGCAGCATTAAGGCATTTGCAATTTGTTTCTAACTTTTAGCTCCTAGGCTAACCATTGTGCAGAACAAAACCTCTTCTGGCACATCTACTCTGAGAGACTCACAGCTATTATACTCAAGGTTCTTAACTTTAAGAAAAAAGGAAAGGAATCAAAATTTATTCTCTCAGAGCAGCAGGGTCCAGCTTCAAGCCTTGCACTAACATCCCTCTTACACCTTTTAAAGAACTCTGGTAAGCAGGTTGACAGAGCGTTAGAAATGGTACCGAGAGGCAGAACATTAAAAGAAAATTGCCTTTCTTTTCCTGAGTAATTGTAGAAAGAGCAAATTCCTTAGAAAATCAGAGGCACAGAAACATCACTGGTGGGCACTATTGAAAAAGGGCAGCCGGGGATTTGTGCGTAAAGGGGATACCATTCCACCTGCAGCAACTACAGCCAGAGTTTACGTTCTCTGAGCAAATCTCTTATTAATAAAAAAAAAAAATCTATTTTCATGAAACACTAGTAAGGACACACATCTGCAATCTCTAAAAGCTCCTAATGTATGCTTCTCACATTGAGGGTTGTTTTAAAGGATAACTTGTCTATTTAAATTTAAGCCATAACTGGAGAGTAAAATGTAAACAAAAATTGAGAAATCTGGTAGCATAGTTATAAGCAAGCAAACTGAGACTTGAGAGGGGAAAAAAAGGAAGCACTGCTACAAACCTCATAACCAGGCCTCAGAGCGAGGGTACAAGGTTCCTTAGCCCATGGAAGCTCAAGTTTTTCTGCCCTTTGATGAGACTTCAGGACAGTCTCTATGTGACCCACGCAGTAAGCTGTCTTAGCTTTAGACCAAGTGGTTCCAATAAATCAAAAAGTATTTTTGGTGTTTTTCTAAAACTAATGGGACCAACATTAATGTTTTAATCATAATAAAAACTGTTTCAAGGCTATGGACTTTTAGAAGTTCATCCAGCTAATGCAGATATAAGTATTAACTAACTCAAGGATATCTTAAGCCACATTTCCTATTCAGATAAGCCTGCAGTGTATCTGTGTATATTAATGGACAGCACCAGAGAGTAAGTAGGCCAGGAGATAGGGAGACATTCCTTAGATACCTGAGAGAAACAGGTTCAGTTTTAGCACTCTACCAGCAAACTATAGTTATTTCATCAAAAGAATAAGACATACATGCCGAAAGAAAATTGGCCTGAATATGCAGACTCCTCCTCTAAATAAAACTGATGTTAGCATACAGCAAAAAACGTCCCAACTGGCCTAAATTAAATATCATAACTTCTTTTTGTGACAAAAAAAAATACTTCCAGAAAATACTGATGGCATGGTGACCAAGGATACGAGGCAAATATGTGAAGGGTTTTACATTTCTGTTGCTAAGATAGAATTTATTTATTTATTTAGAGACGGAGTCTTGCTCTTGCACCCAGGCTGGAATGCAGTGGCGTGATCTCGGCTCACTGCAGCCTCCAGCTCTCGGCTTCAAGTGACTCTCCTGCCTCAGCCTCCAGAATAGCTCGGACTATAGGCACCTGCCACCACGCCTGGCTAGTTTTTGTATTTTTAGTATTCTTTGTATTTTATATTTTTTGTATTTTTAGTAGAGACAGGGTTTTGCCATGTTGGCCAGGGTGGTCTTGAACTCCTGACCTCAGGTGATCCGCCTGCCTTGGTCTCCCAAAGTGCTGGGATTACAGGCTGAGATTGAATTTAAAAAGATCTTTTAATCAAGTGCCCACCAGGCAGAGATACTGCATAAAGAAATATTTTATAATGCACTCACGCTATGGTTAAAGATTTTGTCTTTCGTGTATGGATGGCACTGTCTATGTATATTAATTAATATTATTCAGGCTCATAAAAAGGGTCTGATCTATAAAATTCTCTTTATTATATACCAGGTACTAACCAGAAAGATCAAGAAGTATTTAATTCCACTTGATGATGACTAGAACATTATAAAAGTCGTAATAGGTACTATCATTTGGGAAGGGTCAGAAAATGAAGAGATAGAAGATACAGAATAAATTAAAGACATAATGTTTGTTCCAGTGGAATTTAAAACCATGGAAACTGGGGCATATCTTTAAAATAAGAATACTTACAAAAAATATAAAAGGTCATATTTACTTAGAAGTCAAATCATATAGCAGAGTAAACTCCACATGACATTTCTAACTTTCCTGACATAGAATTTTGTTCTAACAAGTGCATTGCTAGAAATTACATATTCTCTCCCATTCTTATTCATACAGACTGAAATAATAATAGATGCTCCACCAGTTTCCCAACTGAAGATGTCTAAATTTGGCACCAGTTAACATGTAAATGGTTAGCCATAGGCAGAAGATTGAAAACTGGACCCCTTCCTTACACCATATATACAAATCAACTCAAGATGAATTAAAGACTTAAATGTAAAACCTAAGACTATAAAAACCCTTGAAGAAAACCTAGGAAATATAATTCTACAGAAAGGCAAAGATTTTATGACAAAGATGCCAAAAGCAATTGCAACAAAAACAAAAATCAGCAACTGGAAACTAAAGAGTTCCTGCACAGCAAAATAAACTATCAACAGAGTAAATAGACAACCTACAGAATGGGAGAAAATATTTACAAACTATGCATCTGACAAAGATCTAGTATCCAGAATTTATAAGGAACTTATATTAACAAGCAAAACAAACAAAAACAGAAAAAAACCCCAACACCATAAAAAAGTGGGCAAAGGACATGAACAGATATTTTTAAAAGAAGACATACATGCAGCCAACAAGCATATGAAAAAAATGCTCAACATCACTAACCATTAGAGGAATGCAAATCTAAACCACAACGAGATACCATCTCACATCAGTTAGAATGACTGTAGTTAAAAAGTCAAAATATAACAGATGCTGGTGAGGCTGTAGAAAAAAGGGAAAGCTTATACACTGCTAGTGGAAATGTAAGTTCAGCCACTGTGGAAAGCAGTTTGGGAATTTCTCAAAGAATGTAAAACAGAACTACTATTTGACTCAGCAATCCCATTATTGGATATATAACCAAAGGAATACAAATCGCTCTACCATAAAGACACATGCACACATTATGTTCATCACAATAGCAAAGACATGGAATCAACCTAAATGTCCATCAATGATAGACTGGATACAGAAAATGTGGTACATATATACCATAGAATACTACACAGCCATAAAAAAGAGATAATGTTCTTTGCAGCAACATGGATGAAGCTGGAGGCCATTATCCTAAGCAAGCCAACAGAGGAACAGAAAATCAAACACCCCATGTTCTCACTTATAAGTGGGAGCTAAACATTGTGTCCACATGGACACAAGGAAGAGAATAACAGACACTGGGGCCTACCTGAGGGTTGAAGGAGGGTGAGGATTGAAAAACTACCTATTGGGTACTATACTTATTACCTGGGTGACAAAATAATACGTATATCAAACCCCTGTGGCAGACAATTTATCTATTAAACCAACCTGCACATGTACCCCTGAAAGTAAAAGTTAAAAAAAAAGAAATGCTATCTAAAATAATAATATTAAAATTTTTAAAATTAGCAAGTGAAAAGAAATACTTTGCACTCCAGCAGATGAAGACAATAAGGACATCCCTCCAAGTCAGTCACCATTTTGGTTTTAGGACACTTACATAGTGTTCTAAGAGACTGGACATTACATTTGATCTTTTGATTTTAGGGAGTAGCTGGAGATTTCAGTTATTTCAGGCCCTTGTTATTTCTTATTTATACCAATAAAACAATCTCAAAACTAGCTTCCTGCCCCTTACTTCTTTTTGGTTTAGTGTATCCTAATATGGCTGCCACTCCTCAAACCATTCCCCTGCTCAAAAACTTCAAATGTTACCTTTCATAATTAATAAATTCCTCATATTGACACTCACAAAAAGTCAAATCATGACTTCATCCCCCAGAAATGTATAGCGCTTTAATAAAACAGAATAATTAACAGTTTCCTGAACATTTTCTGAATGTCAGAGCATACAGCTTCATTTGATGGCTTTCTCATCTTGGAATACCATCCCCTCTCCACCTGTCAAAATCCTATCTCTCTTCTCTGGTTTATTTCACATTCAACCAACTTTACCAAAAGCTTTCCTGGGCCTTCTTCTCTAGTTTGAGCCCCACAGCACATTTTATGTTTTTGATACTACTTATTCAAATCCATGATACACTTAACCTTTATGTACTAGTTTAATCTTGTGATTAACTATATCTTCCTTAAGGCTAGGATATTCTGCTTTAACAGCTTTCGATTCTATAATGCCCGATACAGTATTGTGCACATGAAAGTTCAATAAAAAGCCACTGAATTGACTGAAATTGCATTTTTACAGGAGTTTTAAGAATATTGGAGTTAGGGAGGTATAAATGGTCTATGCTGTTTGCTCATCAACTGGCTCAGTAACTCTTTTCATATCAAACAAAATGGAAGCCATCCTCTTCCCTTCAGTGCCTACTACCTCAACTCACATGTTAATGCTGCTTTAAAACTAGGCAATAAGGTTGTCATTCACCAATTTTAGGAAGTTCACTTGTGAAGGCAGGTTATCTTTCCTGGTAGCCACAAGCAGTATCAACTAGTCAGCTTGCCAAGCAGTCTTGCCACTATTAGCCTTCTGTGCTGCTGTGGAGACCACTGCTACTCCTACACTGAAAGAAACCAAAGTTTGTTCCCTGCATCCCCTGCGGATAAGAAAACTGGCAGACAGAAGATGATGCAGACAAAAGCATGTAGTGGCTAAAAACACAGTGGATACCACTACTGTCCCTGTTGGGGATGTGGGATGGGGGAACAGCAGTCAGTGTTTAGGCACTAGCTACCAACTTTGGCCTGAGTTTTTACTATATCTCAAGTTGCAGAGATATGTGAGGTAGAGAGATATACAGAAAGAGAAATATTAGCACTCAACTCTACTTGTGAAGTCCATGCCATAAGACACTATCTTAAGTAAAACTGCATAAAAAGCAAGATCCTCTAAGTAATTCTAAGATAACCCTCCTAAACCCAAGAGTGACTTTGCTAAATTCCATTTAAGTTACATTCCTTTCAAGAAAAAGAACACTGCTGCCACTATTCAAAATGTGATGTTCTGTTAAGCTAAACTGCATAAATATTTTGATTAACAGTATTAACTTCTGAAAATTAAACATACCTTTAGAGACCGAACTGAATCATCAGCCAGACCAATCACATTAACATAAAGGAGATTGCTGTGCTTCAGAAATAGAACACAGTGATCCTTAAACATGTCCAAGTCTATCACTTTTGTATTTCTCTTCATTGTAAAAAATAAATCCCAATTCATAATTGCAGGGGTATCAGCCGCTGTTCTCATTAGCTACGTGGAACAAAGTTAGAAGACATATAGGTAAGAAAACACGAAGGCTGCAGCATCCAGAGATGCAATCACTGAGAACTAGACCATACTAGTCCTCACTGTTTTATGAAGAGCTGAAGGAACTAACGCTGCATCAGGGATAAAGTGTGACCATCAACCATATGAATGAGTCCTGACTAGCCTGCTGGGTGGTGAGACAGTATATCCAGTGCTTAGCCAACCACTGGACATTTGAGTGAGGGCACTGACAGCTAGCTGACTACAGATACATCAGTGAGCTTAGCTGATATCAGCAGAAGAACTGCCTAGCTGAGATCAATCCAAATTGCCAACTCATAAAATCACGAGTTTGTAAGTTTGCTCTTTTAAGCTACTAAGTTTGATTTTGTTAACATAAACTCAGGACAGAATATGTTTTATTTACTAACTTTTTAGGCACAATTAAAATATGTAGAGGCATTAGCTCTAAGGGAAAAGAAATGGGATTGGTTATACATAGGAAGGTGGCATCAATTTATAAAACAATGAGCTCTTGGAGCAAGAAATGTTGTTGATCGAAGTGTGACACTTCTTAACAGCCCAAATAGGAACAACGAGCATCCAGGATTACCTTAAATTCTGTAGGTTCTCCAACATTAGTGAGAATGTATAATTCATCATCTCTGTGTTCAACATAGTAAAGGACCCCATGTATTCGCTTCTGGATAAGTACTGGTGGGTCCCAAGGGCTCAGGCCATCTATCAACCACACTTCAGAAGTAGTCTTGTTCATAATATTTATGGTGAGGAAACGACTGTCTTTTGTAAGATAAAGGAAAACAAAGTAGCTAGAGAGAGAGAGAGAGACATGAGATCACAGTTTATTTCAGATGCATGCTACCTTGTTAAGGACAGTATCTCAGAGGTGGTCAGTATACATGTTGATTTATAATGCAGATAGGAAATTAAAATAATTCCTTAGTGAATATCACTTGTAACTTTAACAATTAGCTATTATTTTTCTCATTTTCTCCTAAAGGGCATTCAAAATAATTTACTTCTAACATTTTATCATAAATGTTTTTCAAAAATACAGAAAAGTTGAAAAAACCATCTTGATTCCATCATTGCTAACATTTTGCTACATTTACTTTATTACATATCTATGCACCTATTAATCCATCTTTATTTGGATGCATTTCAAGGTAAACTACAAACGTCATTTCTCAATCACATGAGTAGATAACATAGCTTTTTGCTGAGAAGAGGAAATAAACTTTCTATAGGAGACACAAATAGGGAATAAAAGGGACACGGAGTTATTTTTATTTTCTTCTTTCTCTGCATGCATTTTGGATTTTTTTTTCCTTTCTCCCAGTTTTTACAACAAAATAGAATAGGAAGAAAACCCCTCACAATCTTACTAACGTAACACATTTAAAACATTAACATAGCTATTTTACTTTTTAAATTTTTCCTTCTAAGTTATATTTATATTTCATGTGTGTCTTTAAATAGATGTAATTATAGATACAATTTTTGATTCTGTATTTCTTACTTCATATATCAATTTTCTCCCTACATGAGTTGAAAGTCTTTGTGATTATTATTTTTAAAGGCTACCTAATATTATAACAGGTTTAATGGCTACCTAATATATCATAATTCTTAAAAATTTAGATTTTAATGTTTCATTATAATAAACAATATAACAAGAAACATATTCATGAAGATATTTTCCCCTTCCATGATCTTCACAATTATTTTCCCAAGACAAATTTTTAGAAATGGAAATACTAATTTAATAAGTGTATTTTTATGACTTGATGAATATAATCAAATAATATCCTAGAAGCACTATACTAACATAATGAGTGGCTTTAAATGTTATATTTATATTTTTCCTTATTATAAAAGTAATTTATACTGAAACTACTGAAAAACGTAAAGAATCCCAATGCCCCCAAATAACAACTGCTTATAGTTTGGTAAAATTTCTTCTGTATTGGATCACATTACCATGTTTATTTGTCAATCGTTATTTCTTTTGTGAAATGTGTGTCTATTTTAAACTTTGAATGTAGCTTAAATTATTAGTATGTAAATAGCTCTTTAAAAATTAAGAATATTGGCTGGGCACAGTGGCTCACAACTGTAATCCCAGCACTCTGGGAGGCCAAAGCTGGCAGATCACCTGAGATCAGGAGTTCAAGACCACCCTGGCCAACATGGTGAAACCCCGTCTCCACAAAAAATACAAAAATTAGCCAGGCATGGTGGCAGGTGCCTGTAATCCCAGCTACTTGGGAGGCTGAGGTAGAAGAATCACTTGAACCTGGGACGCAGAGGTTGCAGTGAGCTGAGATTGCGCCACTGCACTCCAGTCTGGGTGACAGAGTGAGACTCTGTTTCAAAAAAAAAAAAAAAAAATTAAGAACATTAACTTGTCTTTTTGTTGAAAACACTTTCCTCCATTTTGTTACCTAGATTTTAACTATTTACAATAGTTTTTGTGGTTTTTGACTTGAGTTTAATATTTTACGTAATCGAGACTGCTACTACCCTTTGTAATTTCTTATATTGATTTTATGTTTCAAAAATATTCCAACCAAGCTGACTAAAAAGCTTATATTTTCATCTTATTAAAAAATTATTTTTCTCAATGGGTTCTTTAAATCTCTTAGGAATGTATGCTGACATATACAATGATGAAAATTATTTTTTCCCAAATAGTATTTCCCATTGCATTATAAAATAACACCGATTCATTTTTCATTAGTTTGTGATGCCTTTTATCATATAAATTTTCACATAGACTAGGATCTATGTTTTAGAGTTATTCTAAGCTCTATTATTTGTCTATCAATTTGTATTATTTTTACTGTTATTGCTTTATATGCTTTAATATATAATTGTAGGGCAAGTCCCCTACCCTACTTTGCTCTTTATTTTCAACACTTTCTTCGCTGTTTTTATATATTTTTGTTTGCTTAGTTTGGTGATGACAAATTAAAAATAAACTACTTGACCAAATAGTTGTTAGATATGTGGTTACAGGAAGTGAGAACACAAGTGGCTCTAGGGTAAAATGTGTCTAAGAGAATATACGAAATATAAAGAACTAGACATTAATCTTTTTTTCCAATTATTTCTATCGACAATTATTTTTAAATTTAAAATGTATTATAAAAATAATAATGCTTATTACAAAAAGAAAAAAAGAAAAGTAAAAAAAAAACCATTGTTAGTACTTTGGGTGTATTTCCTTTCAATCTTTTAAAAATGCATCTTTTTTCCTTGATACCCAATTGAAACCATAGCATATATTTAATTTTTTCACCTAGCACAATAATACATTTTTGAGTTAGTTTTAATTTATAATTTAGTAGCAACACATACTTTAAATTCTTCTATATATTACTAAGAATTTAATGGTTAAAAGGTACTCAACAATCATCAGGAACAAGGGGTTTTAGTTTGAAAGAGAGATACCTATCTAAGTATATACCATTTATTTAAGCAATAGATACTGACTAAATAGCACTATACAAACCTGGCACCCTGCTTATCAATTAAGATGCAAAGGTGAAACAGACTCAGTCTGTTCACAATCTAGCAGTTCTAGGTCATCTTTATGAATTTACATGAATGAACTATGTTGTAATTCACAAAATCAATTTCAGTTTTTAATAAAATATTAGTGATATATCTGTATTTACTCTGATTTTGAATATTACCAGACTCCAATTTTGAATACAAACAACTAATAAAAGAATGATCGTTTTAGCCTTATTATTCCTGGTTCCAACCAAAATAAACGTTTTAAGTCAACCAAAGTCAGTACTTTAAATAACTGGAGGAAGGTTCTGGAGAGAAAGATTTAATTATATTATTCTAGTACCTTGGGTCTTTTTCTGTGTAAAAGCGTTCATTACGTTTGTTATCACCAAAAGTGGCTCGATATACGTCATGACAGCGAAGGTTCCTCTGGAAGGTGTAGAATAAAACATCTTCATCTTCCTCGTCCTTTACCCATTCTGAAAGAAAATAATGAGATAATTATACATAATCACCTACACTCCATTAAAAAAAAAAAAAAAGCACAGCACATTCTAATTTTGAATGCCAGTGAGAACATGTGCAAGTTTATCCCTGGAAATCTAAATATTTGACTGTATCTAATCTGTGCTGTATATAAGCCAGAGAGCTTTCCTGAGAATAAACCACTACTACACCATTCCAAGGTTTCAAGTAGTTATCAGTCTCAGGGTACTCAGGTTTCTAAATAAGAGCTAAATGCTCAATATTTAGGAAAGACATTGGTAAAGTCACATTTGCTTTTAGGAGGTGAATTCCGTCTCAATCTACAACTTGAAACTGTAAGTCTGAAGGAATATTGCATCTTTCTCTCATGTGTAAACCTTCTCTGTCTGCTTTCAAGCCACAGGATATCTCCAACTACCAAACACAATTTAATGCTGATTCTTGATCCCACCAGAAGCTGTCAACAGAAGTTTGCACACAATTACACCATGACTGCCACCTGGCTGACAGTGATTGTAAGTCATCATTGTATAATATGCACCATGATTTTAAAGGTTATAAAATGTACAAAATATATGTCTTAGAATTCAATAGTTAGGGTATAATTTCAATTCACTGCAACAACATTTAGTTAAACAATGGAGAAAATGATGGCTGAAAATGAAAAGGGAGGACAAAATGTAACATATGTACCACTCAATGATAAATTTAAAGTTAGTTCTATTACTAAAAATGTCACAGCTTCCATTGATAAACAGGTTAGTTCAACACATACCAAGTTCTTTGGTAGTGACTTTATGCTGTAACAGCTCTATAAGATAACATGAAATTAAAAAAATACATTCAAGCTTAAAGTTGAATAAAATATTAAGATGCAACTTACGTGTAAAAATTTATTCTAGATAATAATTTGGCAAATAATTCTGATAAATCAAAACATATTGTATGACATGGACTCTAATTATAACACTTTTAAAAACATGAGTATTTTAAAATTACCCATCTAGATATATAATTAAATAAGGGAAGGTCTCCTGAATAAGAGGTACATAGGAAGATGTATAGTCCATAGGGATACATGAATCAGGCATTCACCTTCTCCCTCCCTCACATGCGACAAAAAAATGTTTCAAAAGTGTTACCGTTGCCTTTCAACACAGAGGACTATTTTGGTTGGTGGCTTACCAAAACTGGACACATTCGGGAAAGAAGCTTCCATTACGGGCTGATCGCTGAGCTTTATAATTACACAGGTAGATGCTTCAGAATCTTCAGTTCTTATCTTGGCAGCCACATATTTTTCATCTGGAGCAACTCTGATACAATCAATGAAGGGCTGGTCTAACTTAAGTTCCTCCAAATTGAATAAAACTTCATAATTATCATTGTCTGCTGTATAAAGAAAAATACGAAAGTGATAACTTCAAAGGATGTACTTTAAAAAATTAAAACTGTATTTTAATGTTTTAAATTAGAATTCCCATTCTGTAAGAGGCCATATCCTAGCTTCTTTCAACAATGATGGCAGCTTAACTTGCACATCAACTGACAATAAGTTATTTAATATTACCTTATACTATTCAATACTATTCTGTGCATCAACCTATGAGACATTATTTGATATTGTTATAGTCTAGTTTAGTATTTACAGACCATACAGAACCTAGAAAGTAAGTGAATATAAATGACAATCAACAATATATGCCAAGTGCCTAGCATAGTACCCAAGACACAGCAGATGCTCAAAAAATGCTGGATGCCGTCTCCATTCTCCCTGCCAAAGCTTCTGAGTCTAACTATATCTTACACAAACCCAGATATTAAAAACTAGTCATTAAAAAAAAATTCAGAAATAATCTTTAAAAAAATCTTTTCTCTATCTTTGAGAAATTAATAAATTTCCTATAAAAAATATGAAATCTGAAAATTAGAGCACGTAAAAAGAAAAATTGTGGTGTACCTTCTTCATCTTTGGAACGAACCAAGCAACAACCTTCTTGGTAATAAACAAAACCACCATGTTTAACCTGACAAAAGAAACATGCAGTTTACTTAATAATAATTTAATTAACCTTTTCATAGTCTGACTATTCAAGATGAAGATGAAATGAAGACTCTTATAAAAAACAGACCTGTTGAAGTATATGAATGAACACATATGAAATATAAAATTGACCATTTTTACAATGTAGTTGATAAGATATGGTTTTCGTATGTTCATAACCACTAGAGGGGTTTTTAATACATAAATACAAGAGGCAATAAAGAAAAGGTATAACAAAATCTGTCAGTTCTCACAACTGTACAAACCACTTCTGCTACATTTTAGAAACATCTGATACCTGTACAGTGGGAGTCAATTAACAGAAATCAAGTGGCATCTTTAAGACAATCCAAAATGATGCAGATGAGGAAACTGTGGCTCAGACTAGCCTGAAAACCCAGTCTATAACTTTCTGAGACTCCTTCCTTTAAAATATGCTGTCACCAACAACTATACACAGTCTTGACTTAACACAAACTATTTCACCTGCTGTAGGGTGACAAATACAATTTGAAATTGAGAGAATTAATATTACCCAAATATAAATAGTGTTCTTGTCTAATGCCTACATATTAAATGTAATTGATTGGTTGATATGATTTCAGTGGCTTACGTTTATTATCTGTTAGTTGGTGGCGTAATTTGAATCTGGAGATCCTTATTCTTAACCTACTATTTCCACTCTACTATGTATGTGATTTTCACCTATTGCGGTTCAATTTTCCAATCTTATTGAAAAATTCAATTCATTTTTTCTTTTTTTTTTGAGACAGAGTCTTGCTCTGTCACCCAGGCTGGAGTGCAGTGGTGCAATCTTGGCTCAGGGCAACCTCTGCATCCTGAGTTCAAGTGATTCTCCTGCCTCGGCCTCCTGAGTGGCTGGGACTACAGGCGCCTGCCACCATGCCTAATTTTTGTATTTTTAGTAGAGATGGGGTTTCACCATGTTGGCTAGGCTGGTCTTGAACTCTTGACCTCAGGTGATCTGCCCACCTTGACCTCCCAAAGTGCTGGGATTACAGGCGTGAGCCACTGCACGCACAGCCCTCAATTCATTTCGACTGACTATTTATGACTGTGATAACCATAAAATGGTTAAACAGATACTTGGCTTTCATGGTATTATACTACTTAAAGTGAATTCCTTTTATTAAAAAATTTAGACAAAACAATCAAGTAATTTTCAAATAATAACAAAGTATGAACTACTTTCATTTGAACTTCTCCTTAGAATGATTAAAAAATTTTTAAATCAGTGCTGGGCATGGTGGCTCACACCTATAATCTCAGCACTTTGGGAGGCTGAGGTGGGAGGGTTGCTTGAGCCCAGGAGTTCAAGATCAGCCAGGGCAACACAGTGAGACCCTGTCTCTTGAAATTTTTTTTTTTTAAATCGGAACTGATTGTTTGCAAAAACCAGAATTAATATATTACAGTTGAAAATTCATCTTACTTTCGATCTTTACATTTATTAAAAGATGTAAAGGATCACATTCTGTGATCACAATCTCTGAAATCTTTGCTTTTTAAGTTTTTCAGCATATTTTAAAGGCCAAAAGCAGTATAATCTTGATGTGGACTATGTCTCTAAATCACCAAGTATCTCATTTGCATCTTGATTGGTAATATCAAAAATTTTTTTTTAAAGACATGAGATATCTTACTTCCACATTGATGATTTCATATTCTTCTTGTGGCTGTGTTTCTAATTTTGTTCTCACTTTTTCAAATGCATCCATGTTTTCTGGAAGGGGTTTTTCGTTTTCTTGTTTAACAGGCTGAAGATCCTGGAAAAAGTTTTGTTATGATCAAAATATTTCAAACTAGGGAAAAAAAACTTTTGCTTTTTAAAGATAAGTAGGTCTATACCGTAGACTTAACGTTGTACAAAAAAGAAATAAGATTAAATAGTAGGTATTTCACAGATTGTAAATGTTCTTTCCTAGGCTCATCAATAAAATGATCTTTTTCGTTAAAAAAAGTAAACAAAGTAAGATAGACATTTGATGGTTATACTATTATTTTAGATGAATAAGTCCTTAAGAAGCAGGAATACTAAGAAGCTCAGAAGAATGTTCAGAAATACTATGGGGAAAATTTATACACAATTAAGGAGAAAATAAAATTCCATGAACTTTTACATATTTAATAGGAAAATCAGGTAGAGAAAAAAATCTTTCGCGTTTAGGAAGTACTGAAGTACTTCCTAAAAGAAGGGAAATATCAAAGAAGTGGAAGACATTATCACTACTAATAAATGTTCACTATTATTTTATTCACAGCCAGAGTGATAAGAAATATTTCCCTACTTCATTAACTATAATTTTTTACTTTTTAAATTTTTTAAATTTAAATGGGTCTGAGAACCAAGGGATATAATTTTCTTTTCTTGTGGGAATAACTAAGCCCCAAAACAGAACTGTTTATCACATCAAAAAGTAAACTGGCGAGGCGCAGTGGCTCATGCCTGTAACCCCAGCATTTTGGGAGGCCAAGGAGAATGGATCACTTGAGCCCAGGAGCTCAAGACCAGCCTGGGCAACATAGCGAGACCCCGTCTCTATAAAAAAATACAAAAAAATTTAGCCAGGTGTGGTGGCACACACCTGTAGTCCCAGCTACTTGGGAAGCTGAGGTGGGAGGGATCACCTGAGCCCAGGAGGTTGAGGCTGCAGTGAAGCATGATCATGCCATTGCACTCCAGCATGCAGAGTGAGACCCTGTCTCAACAACAACAAAAAAAAGGGAATTAATGCCTAATGAAACAGAGCTTCTTTTTCAGTTTCTTTGAGGAAAAATAACATGTTCACTTTATGAAAGGAAGAACCAGGAAAAATAATAGAAAATAATGAACATGAGTGGAGATATAGATGAAAGCTAAATAAGCATTCACTGTGTCTTATCAAGAGTGACTAATAAGCTGACAGCTTTATTTGAGTTCTGGTAAGCAAATTAATATCATATAAATCATTACAATTTGGATAAAGCAAAACCTGTTATCAAATTTAAAAACTGTTTAATAATTCAACACTCCAGTGGTTTGCCTTGTTTAAGCAAAAGGATTCTGGCCAAGATATTTTACTTCAGCTCTCTGCCAAAGATGACAATTGTACAGTGATTTGTACCAGAGGGGGGACTTAAGTCTTTGGTAAGGATCGCCAACAGCTGGAAAGTATTTATTGCATAAAATATGTCCATGATACTTTACCAACATTGTAGAGAATGTAAGCTATAAATACAGTTTATATTACAAAGAGTTTACAATCTAAAATTAAACACAAGAATATAACGGAAAAATCACCAAAACAAATTAAATGGAAAATAATCATTTTCACAAAGGTTTTCCTTTTAGATTTTTTTGGGACACATTATTATTTGAATTAGATTAAAATTAGCAATAATGGTTGTTATGATAGTCTCAATCATTTAGCCTCTACTTACTATCATATAATTTTCTGAATTTTTTTTAAGAGACAGGGTCTCACTATGTTGCCCAGGCTGGACTCAAACTCCTGGGCTCAAGCAATCTTCCTGCCTCAGCCTCCCAAGTAGATGGGACTATAGATAGGTGTGTGCCTCCTCATTCCATACAGTTAATTTTTTGAGTAATTATTTGAAGATCAAATACTGGAGGCTTATATATTTATTTTTCATTCATTTTTAAAGCATTTCTACAAAATCTACAGTTGATCTTTAAAGTGGTGAGACATGATATCTGTATCAATAATCCCCTCATATCACCATCATAAGTCAGAAGATGACTAAAAATCTATTCTGAAACTGTAAAATAGCAATAGGAGCTGCCTTTGCATTTCTAGATTCAGGATTGTCTGTTCTGTAATTTCCATTAAAACTTTTGAAGTAGAGTCAGGATTATCTCTCTACTACCCTGTAGCTTCTAGCACATTCTAGGTCATGGAGCTGGGTTCTGTCACTTTTAAATACTCATTCTTACTGAGAGTCATAGCCAACACAGAGCCAAAAGCAACAGAGCGGGCTCCAAAACTCATCTTCTTAACTTTACATTCCTTCCTGATTAACATTTTTTCTGTCATATATCCAAATAAACTGAGCTTATCTGAACCAAAATAACTCTGAAAGCAATAGGATTTTTGACTCCCTTAACGAAATTCAAGCAGAACTCAACAGCTTTCTAAGTAACTCTTCTAAAGGAATTACTCCCATGGAAACTGAGGTTTTATATAATATTCATTAAGTACTCCAGGTTACTTTTGGTTTTTGTTGCGTCCCAGGGATACCTGCTCAGTGTTTTAAGCTTTCATTTCAATTTCAGCTAGCAATATCATTAGCGTACACAGCTAAAGCCATCCATTTTAGCCAGGTATCTTAGTCCAGTTGTTTCAAAGGCATATACTACCCAATGGAGCTGAGGTAAGGATGGCTTTACCTTCAGATTTTGAGAAGGTTACTGGTACAGTATCACTCCATTAGTGGTAAAAAGAAGCACTCCTTCCCACTCCCCAAGTGACCCACCACTAAATCATTTTAACAATGAAAGCTGTTATAAAATAGAAGGAGAATGATATGTGTTAACTTTATCATGGCAAAGATGCTGAACTCTAAAGATAGAAAAAATGGTGAAGTAGAAAGACACCGGACAGCCCTTCAGTCAAGACTAATTAGCCATTAGTAAATGGCTAATTCTAAGGCTAGAGCAGGGAGAAAATACATGGTAGGTTTGGGAAATCTTATGCCAGAAAATAAGGAAGTGCTCAAAGTTTAATGGAGACATGTCAAAAGAATACAAGTGTCAACTGAAGGGGTTTCTACAGGCCACATTTTGGACAACTGGAGCCTCAAAAAGAATAATAAATAATAAATAATACATTGAAAAAACATAAATCCACAGCAATTGAAAAACAGAATGCAATATGAAGCATTTCAATTTAGGAAAACAGAAAAAGAGTAAGTCTTAAGGAAGTAGAAGAAAGGTAAGAAAATTAATTTTTGAAATTAAATTGATAACAAAGAAACTAAAGAGAATCAAATTAAAAGTTGGTTCTTTTAGAAACCTATTAAAAAACAAACATCACAAAACTGATAGAAAAAAGAATACGAGGCCGGGCGCGGTGGCTCACGCCTGTAATCTCGGCACTTCGGGAGGCCAAGGCGGGTGGATCACGAGGTCAAGAAAAAAGAATACGAGGAGAGAAAAAGGCATAATTACAGATACAACAGAGATTTTTAAAAATTACAATAAGCTTTATGTGAATCTATTTGAAAATAAATGAAATGGGTAATTTTCCAGGAAGAAAAATTACCAAAATTGACCCAAGAAATAGAAAAGCTATATAAGTCACTAACTCTTAAAGAAATTAAATTGCTAACTAAATGTCCCCTTCTTGAAAGAAACACCAAGCCCAGATGCTTTCAAATGTAGCTTTCTTGGATCTTCAAGAAACAGCTAATCTTTTCATACGTCAACTATTTAAAAAAATAGTAAAAGAGGTAAAACTACTCATTTTATTAGGCTAATATAACCTTGACATCAAAATTAGACAATGATGATATGAGACAATTAAAAAAATCAATCTTATTCTAAAATAAAACTTGATAAAATCAAATTTTTAATTTTAAAAAGCACAAAATAAGAACAGTAATAGTAATACCAATTAAACTTAATGTGACCAAGAAGGATTTTTTCCTAAGAATGAAAGGATGGTCCAACATCAGAAAAAAATCTATCAATGTAATCTAACACAAATAAAGGAGATAAATCTTAGAGCCATTTTTGATAAATGCAGGGAAAAAATAAAAAATAATCACACTTTAAAAAAATGATAAAACCTTAAATTAGGAATAGAGAGGAACTTCCTTAATAGTTTCTGTCAGTTATCTTACACAGAAATATACTAAATCTGTAATCAAAATACCTGAAATTAATTCATATTAGCATATACATGGTATTTAGCAACCATGAAACACCAATGAGATTTCCAAAATTTTAATAATGTTCATGTAAAACAACTAATTGTATTTGCTGTTAACTCATTTTATTTTTTAAAAGCAACTGTTAAATGAAGGAAACTTGTTCCTTTCATCTTCTGCCTCCAATTCTTCTCCTTACCCCTTCTCTAGAGCCCAGACTTTTGCTCTTCTTATGCCACTGACTGCTCCTGTCAAGGTCACTCAATGGCTACCACATTGCAAAGTGCAAAAGTTAATGTTCAGTATTCATATTACTTGACCTGTCAGGATCATGATACAATTGATCACTTCCTCCTCCTAAAAACACTTTTCTTTACTTGGCTTCCAGGACACCTCATTCTCCTTGTTTTCCTCTTACTTCACTGGCCCTTCCTTCTCAGTATCTTTAGCTAGTTCCTTCTCAACTCCCTGGCTTTTTTTTTGTTTGAGATGGGATTTCGGCTCCCTGCAACCTCTGCCTCCTGGGTTCAAGCGATTCTCCTGCCTCCGCCTCCTGAGTAGCTGGGATTACAGGCACTTGCTCACCACGCTGGCTAATTTTTTTTTTTTTTTTTGTATTTTTAGTAGAGATGGGGTTTCACCATATTGGCTAGGCTGGTCTGAAACTCCTGACCTCAGGTGAACCACCCGCCTCAGCCTCCCGAAGTGCTGGGATTACAGGCGTGAGCCACTGGGCCTGGCATCTCCCTGGCTTTTTAACACTGGCAGAGCTCAATTCCTGCACTAAGTACTTCTCTTCTTTGCAGTCTGCACTAATTCCCTTGGTGATCTCATCCAGTCATGACCTTAAATACCATTTATATGCTAAGGACTCCCAAATTTACAGCTGTAGCCTGAACAATCCTGACCAAGATGAACTTGTATATCCAACTGACTACCCAACATTTTTACTTAGATGTCTAATATGCCAAAAAATGTCCGAATCTGAACTTTAAATCTCCCCATATATCCCTCGCCCTATTAAAAAAAAAAAAAACAAAACCCTGTTCTCCAGGCAATCTTTCCAATTTACATAAATGACAAATCTGTCCTCCCAGCTACTCAGGCTTAAAAACATTACAGTTGGATTTGTCTTTTTCTCTTGCCACAAACAACTGGTCTGCTAAATCCTCTCAATTCTACTTTCAACATATATTTAGAATCTGACCACTTCTCACACTTGGACTGGACTACTTGGCTAGTATCATCATCATTTCTCCCTTGGATTACTGCAAAAGCCCAAAAGCTTTCTCTGCTTCTGCGCTTGCCTCCTGGTCTATTTTCAACAAAGGAGCTTGTGTGAGTCTGAAGTCAGATTATGTTACTCCACTCAAAACCCTCCAGTGGTTTCCCATCTTGCTCAAGAGGAAAAGCAAAAATTCTTACAATGGTCTACAAAGTCCTAAAGAATCTTGTCCCATTACATTGCTGACCTAATCTACTGCTACACGCCAAGCCCACTTATTCCAGTTAATCCATACTTGATGTTTCTTGAACATATCAAGCTTGCTCCCATATCAGTTTCTTAGAACTTGGGCCCTATGCCCAAATACCTCCTTAAAGCTATTGCTCAAATGTCATCTTCTAAGTTAGGCCTTTCCTAACCATTTTACTAAAATAACACCCCTCCCTATCCCCACACTGCCTATTCACATCTTCCCCGTCTTTTTTTTCTTTTCTTCTTCGCCATAACTATCGCTTTTGACCCACTTTGTATTTCATTCATGTAATTCTTTTTATTTTTTTGAGAGATGAGGACTTGCTTGTGTCCACCTCAGCTGGAGTGCAGTGGCATGATCTCGGCTCATTGCAACCTCTGCCTCCTGGGCTCAAGCAATTGATCCTTGATCTCAGCTCTCAAGTAGCTGAGACTACAGGCGCCACCATGCCCAGCTAATTTTTGCATTGTTTGTAGAGACAGGGTTTTGCCATGTTGCCCAGGCTGTTCTTGAACTTCTGGGCTCAAGCAATGAGCCCACCTCAGCCTCCCAAAGTATATTACAGGCATGACCCATTGCACCTAGCCTTGTTCATGTAATTCTTTATTCTTTCTCTTTTCCTTTCTCAAGTAGGATGGTAAGCTTCACAAAGGCAGGGATTTTTGTTTATTTTGTTCAGTGTTATATCTCCAGTGCCTAGAATGGTGCATAGCAGGTGTTCAACAAATATTTGCTGAGTTGAATAAAATTCAGACAGCATAAAACATAAAATGAAAAAAACATATTTAACAAAAGATATCACAAAGTGAAAAAAATAATAATAGAACAAATATGGAGAAGATATCTACAGCACATATAAAAGACAAAGGACACGTAAAGAAATCTTATGAATCAGTAAGAAAAGGACAGACAATTAAAAGAAGGTCAAAAGACAAGAATAGGCATTCAAGAAGAAAAACTATAGGATCAATAAGTGTAAGAAAAGATGCTCACTGGCCATGAGTGGCAGCTCATGCCTGTAATCCCAGCACTTTGGGAAGCTGAGACAGGAGGATTGCTTGAGCCCAAGAGCTTCAGACCAGCCTGGGCAACATAGCAAGACTCTGTCTCTATTTAAAAAAGTTTTGGATTTTGGAGCATTTCAGATTTTGTATTAGGGATGGTCTACCTGTACTACAAGATATTAAAAAAGAAAGGTACTGTGAATGAGGCTAACTTAGGTCTACTTCTGACTCTACTAGTTTTCTTACTTAACTTTAGGCTCTGTGGCTTTAGTTTCTTCATTTGTTTAGAAAGAATACACACGCTTCCTGATTTTAAGACTTATTACAGGCCAGGCGCAGTGGCTCATGCCTGTAATCCCAGCACTTTGGGAGGCCAAGTTGGGCAGATCACCCTGAGGTCAGGAGTTTGAGACCAGCCTGGCCAACATGGTGAAACCCTGTCTCTACTAAAAATAAAAAAAAAATTAGCTGGGCATGGTGGCAGGCACCTGTAATCCCAGCTACTCGGGGGGCCTTGGCAGGAGAATTGTTTGAATCTGGGAGGCAGAGGTTGCAGTGAGCTGAGATGGCACCACTGCACTCCAACCTGGGCGACAGAGCGAGACTCCATCTCAAAAAATAAATAAATAAATAAATAAAACTTATTACAAAGCTATAGTAATTAAATGTGTAGTACTGGCATAACGACAGACATATACAAAAATGAGATGAAAGTGAGAGTCAAGAATAAACCATTGAATTTATGGTCAGTTGATTTTCAGAAAGGACACCAAGACAATTCAATGGAAAAAGAACACTCTTTTCAACAAATGTTGCTCAGACAATGGATATCCACAAGCAAAATAATAAAGTTGTACCCCAATCCCTTGCACTATAAACAAAATGAACTCAAAATGGGTCATAGGGCTGGGCATGGTGGGTCACACATGTAATGCCAGCACTCTGGGAGGCTGAGGCAGGAGGATTACTTGAGCTTAGGAGTTTGAGACAAGCCCGCACAACAAAGTGAGACCCTGTCTCCACACACACAAAAAATCAAAAAATTAGCTGGGCATAGTTGTGGGCCCAGCTACTTGCAAGGTAAGGCAGGAAGACAGCACGAGCCCAGGAGGTTGAGGCTGCAGTAAGCCATGTTTGTGCCTCTGCACTCCAGCCTGAGCAACAGAGTGAGGCCCTCTCTCAACAACAACAACAACAAAAAAAGTATCAAAGACCTAAAGAAAGAGCTCAGATGGGATGATTTCTGGGGTATGTTTTCTAGCAATAAAATTTATGGTTATATGAAAAGAAAAAATGCATTAATTTAACTATTAATTCATTCTATAAACACGTTGCTTATCTACAATGTGGCAGTCGTTATGCTATGTGCTGGCAAGATGTGTATTATAAAATTCTTGTCTTTAAGGACCTCCCAATATAATGGGGAGACAGGAAAAGTTTAAAATGATGTAGTAATAGCAGAGAGGTAAATATAGTGATTTGACTCCTATGGCTTCAACTACTATCTACATGTAACAACTCTCCCCAAATTCCAGACTCATATATCCAACTGCTACTGAAATCTCCACTTTACTAGTGAGTTATATTTATCCTTTCCTCCTCTCTTTTTTTTTTTTGAGATGGAGCCTCGCTCCCATCACACCAGGCTGGAGTGCAGTGGCACGATCTCAGATCACTGCAATCTCCACCTCCCGGGTTCAAGTGATTCTCCTTCCTCAGCGTCCCGAGTAGCTGGGATTACAGGCATGCGCCACCAGGCCCGGCTAAAATTTTTGGATTTTCAGTAGCAATGGGGTTCTGCCATGTTGGTCAGGCTGGTCTTGAACTTCTGACCTCAGGCAATCCACCCGCCTCAGCCTCCCAAAGTGCTAGGATTATAGGCGTGAGGCGCCACGCCCGGCCTTCTTCACCCTTAAGATCTGAATATCAGTAAGATTACATACATGACTGTGAAATAAGTCCATCTGAAACATAAAGATAAACCAGGTACGTTTTAGAATTTTGAGATTTTGGAATGTTAACTGGGTACCTTATCTCAGTTTACAGGGGAACAACACTCTAATCAAATGCAGTAACATTTTAGAGCTAAACATCTACTAATTGGGATAAAGATCATAATAGCTTTGTGTCAGTTTAGGTCAGGTTTTGCCCATTCTCAACAGCCTCCAATCAGTTAAAAAAAATCATTTGTTTTCTAACAGGCTTTTGGATTTTAGAATCCAAAGAGATGAGGAATTATCACTCAAGCTCTCTAGTCTTCCATTAAGATGTCTCAAATAAAATGTAATCAGGGCCAGCTGCGGTGGCTCATGCCTGTAATCCCAGCACTTTGAGAGGGCAAGGCAGGTGGATTGCTTGAGGCTGGGCTTCCAGACCAGCCTAGCCAACATGGCGAAACCCTGTCTCTACTTAAAATATAAAAAAATTAGCTGGGTGTGGTGGCACATGCCTGTAATTCCAGTTACTCAGGAGGCTAAGGCACGAGAATCACTTGAGCCTGGGAGGTGGAGGTTGCAGTGAGCAGAGACTGTGCCACTGCACTACAGACTGGGTGACAGAGTGAGACACTGTCTCAAAAAAAAGCAATCACCCTGTAAAGACTCTCATCTTCACTCATCTGAGTTACTGACAAGGCTTCCTACTTCCAATTTATTCTCTATTCTGTCAGAGTGATTCTTCTAAAATGCAAATCTGATTGCGCCTACATTTTTCAATAACATTCTATTGCTTAAAAGGATGTAGCTCAAACTTTTTGCAAGATATACAAAACTACATATTATATATATATATATATATATATATATACACACACACACACATATGAATATGAGACTATTGCAGGAGCTGCTAACCTGTATTGTAGAAATAGGCAAATGACATGTTTAACCAAAGGATTTAGTCTTCTCTCTTTAATTATACAATTTCATTTTGTATCTTGTTCAAATTATCACTATTAAAGATTTTGGGAATTATTTTTTAGGCAGAGCAGAGCAGGATGATGTGGAAGATAAAGAAATGTGATATCTGGATGGATGGATGCTAGTCTTTGAATATCACTGGCTGGCTTGTAAGTATAATAGAGTAAGTTCATCTTGCCATCTGGCTAATGTAAAATGGAAAGCAGAGGTACTTGCCAATAAGAACTGCAGAACTGAATGAATTCAATAAGGTTTAGATCGGCAACACTTGATCATCAAACATTTCCAATTTCTAAATTCAGGTCCAGTGTCAGTCAAGTTGTGAGTTCCAGAATTACCTGATGTGAACTTCAAAAAACAGATCTGGGGCCGGGCATGGTGGCTCACTCCTGTAATCCCAGCACTTTGGGAGGCCGAGGCAGGTGGATCACCTGAAGTCAGGAGTTCGAGACCAGCCTGACCAACGTGGTGAAACCCTGTCTCTACTAAAAAATACAAAAAAATTTAGCTGGGCATGGTGGTGGACGCCTGTAATCCCAGCTACTTGGCAGCTGAGGCAGGAGAATTGCCTGAATCTGGGAGGTGGAGGTTGCAGTGAGCCAAGATCATGCCATTGCACTCCGGCCTGGGCAACAAAGCAAGACTCCGTCTCAAACAAACAAACAAACAAACAAACAACAGATGTGTAGGCCTCAACCATAGAGATTTTCATTACGCAGATGTGGGGTGAGATCCAGGAATCCGCATTTCTAAAAAGCTCTCCAGGATTTCTGATATACAGTTAGACTGCAGAAGTTGATACTGAAGAGTCCCCAAACTTTTAGGCAGTAATTTGTTGCTAAGGTAACAAGAGGTATAGAATCATGAAATTTTAGCACCTCTAAGACTTTCTACAGAATGACAAGTTGAAACTCCCTATTTTTTTTTTTTTGAGACAGGGTATCCTTCTGTCACCCAGGCTGAAGATCTCACTGTGCCTCAACCTCACTGCAGCCTCGACCTCCCAGGCTGAATCAATCATCCCACATCAGCCTTCCAAGCAGCTGGGATTACAGGCGTGCGCCACCATACCCAGCTAATTTTTAGTCTTTTTGGTAGAGTTGGGGTTTTGCCATGTTGCCAAGGCTGGTCTCGAATTCCTGAGCTCGGACAATCTGCTCGCCTTGGCCTCCCAATGTTCTGGGATTACTGGCGTGAGCCAGTATGCCTGATCAGAACTCCCTATTTTTTTCAGTCAGGAAAATTAGGAGTCCTGATTAGTTCAGTCACACCAATCGTGGCTGGATCTTTTGCCTTCTAACATTCCCACTACACATGCTACTTTTCTGTTCCTTAGTTAACTTATATAGGTAATAGCTCTTTAAGCAGACATTTTAATTTACCTAAAAGCAGTAACTACTTTTTCTACTTTATTACACCCTATAAAAGTGGACAGAGTTGGAAATCAGTGGATGCTTGCTGAAAGAAGGAAATGTGCATTCTTCTCTACAGGTGTTTTCACAGCTGCCGGGGCATCTTTATAAAGCTTCCCCAGGTCTCAGTGATAAAGACCATGGCTTTTACATTACATCATTTCTCATAGAGGGAATGGTTGATACATGACATGTGACAGCAGGATTACTTTATCAGGTAAAGGAATTACTAAATGAACTATTAATACTTGGAGTTATTGAGTCAGGTTAAAGTTTCCAGGTAGTGGGAATCTATAAAAGAGAACGGAAAAGTTGCTTCAGGAACAAATGGAGGGAAGAAATAGTCAACCTTCTGTTTAGAATGTGAGCTAATATCACAGCTGTTACTCTGATGGTAATTCCTGTCTACTATTTATAAACTAAGTGTTAAGACAAAGTACGACATGACAAAATGTTCTAAACACAATGCAAAATAAAATAACCTAAAGGTCCAAAATTTAGTTCAATAGGTGAAATTAAAAATTTTATCTTTCTGAAGTAGGAAAGATGTACAAAAAACACAAAAATGAAATAAAAAGAAGTTATAAAGAATTTCTAAATGAGTAAAGAAAGTACTAAACTAAGGCAAGACACTACAAAAAGGAAAAGAATTTCAAAGACTAAAACATAAACAGTAAAAGTCTAGGAAGACTAGGGGGCTAACATATAAAATGTTAAAAGCAAAAGAGACACACACAACACCTAAATAGGTATCAGCTAAGATAGCGGCAAAAATTGAACAAAAACTAGAAAAACTGAGAAAAATTAGATTGAAAAGATAGTTTCTAAAATGAGAAGAATCTGCCCAAGTGTCCATCAATTACAGGAATGGATAAACAAAATGTGGTTTATACATACAAAGGAATATTATTCAACTATAAAAAGAAATGAAGTTATGATACATGCATACAACACAGATGAACTTTGAAAGCCACTGAATTGCATACTTTAAAATGGATCAAGTGGAAAACTTTGTTATACATATATTTTACCCGAAGAAAGGAGGAAGCCAAAACAGACTAAAAGAAAAATCAGTATGCGACAAAACCAGAAATTAAAATAAAAAAAATATTAAAATCATAAATTTGTGAAACTATTGCAAGAATACCACCCCCAAATATCATTAAGGAACCTAAGGAACATAAGAAGTAAAAGGTAGGAGAGGGATGTCAAAGCAGCAGCAGCACAAATAGATCATTTAATCCTACTTACTGTAGGATGACCATATAATTTACCATTCTAACCAGGACACTTTTGAGAGGAAAGGGGACACTATTAATAATTACACAGGGACAACAGGTGTAGGCTGGAGCTGTGCCAGGCAAAAGTGGTTATGTGGTTACTCTCTATATAAGGGCAATCAGGTCCTTAAGGTTGAGTTCACGCCCACAGCTTGGGGTCTGGCAGAAGTACAATACTCTGACAGTGTCTTCCTGAATGACTCAAGTGGTCAAAAACGCAAGATTATTTTTCATTTTTTTACAGAGAAATAAAATACAATTCATGGCCTTTACTGAAGTTTACTGATTTGTGATTCATAAAACAATTAGCGTATCATTAGATTTTATTAAGAGCTATAATTTAGTGTTCTAGGAAATTTAGAAGGCCGAATTATACTTTGAAATGCACTGGCAGGCATACTAAGGAAGTCCTGAGGTGAATCATTTTTTATAAACCTACATTTTTATATATTACATTAGAGCCCTATAAATATATGTATACACTTTTTTTTTTTTTTTTTTTTTCAGACAGAGTCTCCCTGTCACCCAGGCTGGAGTGCTGTGGTGCGATCTCAGCTCACCGCAACCTCTGCCTCCTGGGTTCAAGAGATTCTCTGCCTCAGCCTCCCAAGTAGCTGGGATTACAGGTGGGTGCCATGACGCCTAGCTAACTTTTGTATTTTTAGTAGAGACAGGGTTTTACCATGTTGGCCAGGCTGGTCTCGAACTCCTGACCTCAGGTGATCTGCCTGCCTCGATGTATATACTCTTTTATACTTACTTTTGACTAGAGACAATTGAGACTTGAAAATTAGAAAAATCAAGTTAGAATTACTGAGAAAATTAGTAGCTCTGATATTCTACCCATTCTTTATTTTTAAATTAAAATTAATCTTAATGACCTACAAATAGGTTAACTTAAACAGTCCATACCTTACATGAGAAGCTCCGACTTGGGATGTTTCTTGCTAACTCTGATATCTTGGGTTTATTCTGAAGACACTTGGTTAGGTGATATTTTTTCAATTTTATTCTATTGTAACAATGATCAGCGAAGTTATAGTGATTCAAATGCTGTTTCTGCATGCATTTTCCAAGGTGAGGAATACTATACTTCAAAGCTTGGAGAAATAATTTGGTCTTCTGCTGCATGATATCAAAGTCCCTGGTTTATGCTCCTTTTGGGGCTGCCAGCACACGAATGATTTTATAGGTATGATTACAGAGTAGTGGGTTCTCAGAGTAACTAAGATCAGCAGTTCTCATCCCTCCTTTTCAGGGCCATGCCCCACTTAGGTTATGAATAACTTCAGACAGCTGATAACTTAGGCTAACTAAATCTAAAAACCTGTGTAAGTTAAAGTTTCATTCAAATCATAATTCTTGGCAGATGTGACTTAAATGTCTCATTTGTAAAGTTAATCCTATCAGGCTCAAACTATGCAGCACTGACTCTGGCACACATAGGGGTTAAACTAAAACAAAAAACAAAACAAGAAACAAAATATAAATTTGCAAATAAGTACACAGACTTAATGGGGTATCTCAGGAACTCAGGGCTGTAAAAGGTAAAAAGCCCTTTGGTCTTACATAATTATGAACGTATCTTTGGTATATATGTGGAAGATAAACTGGAAAAGCCTAATTATTTAATAAAGGTGGGGGAGGGAAGATTAATTATTGTTGAGTGTTAACTAACTGCCAGGTGCTTTTATCTTGTTTGTCTAATTTAAATTTTATATGGACTTAATAAAGTAGATATTACCATGCACATTTTACAGGTTGCCAAACTGTGGCTGTGGGAGGTTCTAAGCAACTGTTCCAGGTCACTTGTACAGTAAGCTGTATAGCAAAAAATCCAATTTGGTTCGGTTCCAAATACTGGACATACTCAACTTCGGATTTTTAATGTTAAAAAGGTATTTAGCGCTTTAATTAAAAACAACAAAAAACCCCTGCAAGATGCACAAATAAAATGTAAGGCCATCTCTGGTTTGTCAGGAGGTAGCTTTTATTAACCTTGATTGCTAATAAGTAGTTAAGAGTCAGAGAGACCTGGGTTGAGGTCTTAGCTCCTACACTTAACTGTGTCTCCGGGCCTCAGTTTCTTCATCTGCAAAAATGAAATGACACCATTTACCTTCTAGGGTTGTTGTTGTAAAGACAAAATGAGACAGCTTAACATTAAGACCATACAGTGCCTGGCACATAGTGACCACTCAATAAATGGCAGTTGCTATTATTTACGACAGGAATAATCTAGGTATGTTGCACACCGCTGAATGTCATTATGGAAGTCTTCCACAAAATGCCCCCTGGTATCAAAGGTAGAATGCTGCGTCAAATTTACCATAGATCAGATGCGCTACGACGCCCCCGCCCCCCTTAATCCCTTTCCATGTCGCAGCAAAATAATGGGCGATTGGGGGTAGGGGAGCAACACTAGTTTACTAGCCGACACTAGTAAAAAAAGGGGAAAAAAGACCCGAATAACAAGGACCTGCAAAGGTCCTACATCACCACGTTCCCACAGCCTTTATCCATCCATCTTTCATCCCCAAGAAGACAGTATGCAAGGCTAGGATGGGGGTGGGGTAGATAAATGGGTGTTCTCAGGAGAACCTATTCGTTTACCCCGTGCAACTCTCCACCCCAGGGATGAGGCGATCTGAATGCAACAGGGAGAGGGACCAGGTGACACGCACGCAGTGCCGGGACATTAGTCAAAAAGCGAGGACCTGGGGACTGAGGGGTGGGTGGCTGGGCGGGGGGAGAAAGGGGAGAAGGAAAGAGACCAGCACACCCCCCATACATACGCAAATTGAGAGAATCAGTCCGGCTCTGGACACAAACCAGTGAAGGCAGGCCGGAGAACCTGAAGCTCTCAGAGGGGAGCAGGTGTCACCGCAGGCAAGTCCAGCCGAAGTCTGCGTTCCGCAGCCCACAGAACGACAACTTACCCAGAGCCGCCTAGAGCTGGTTTGCAGCACGCCAATCTACGTAACCTCAATCTAGCACGAGCAACAGGCAGATTTCGCCATCTTTGTTGTGGTCAAGGAGTCTTCTTGGGTTCCTGGGTTCTTTAGTCTCGAAATATATAAGACTTTTCGTTCTTCGCTAGTCTTCTGAGCTCGAGATGAAGCACAGAAGGCTAAAACAATGAGGGACAGCGTTCCAGTAGCCCTGCCACAGCTCTCTCATCCTCTGGTCCGCCCTCACTCAAGATGGCTACCAGCAAGAATGGTGCAATGGCGTGACAGCTCGGCCCTGGTTGCCAAGGAGATGCGAGTACCGGAAATGCGGAATTCGGGGAGAGCGCGCATGCCTGGTCCGGTGGAGGGAGGGTGCCGGGCGTCACAGGTCCTGACAGGGAAGAAGTTGGCAGGTCCTGGCAGGGGACGAGCTGCGGCGGTGGCACCTCCGGGTGTGGAAGGCTCCAGTGAGATGGAGTCGCGAGTCGCGGACGCTGGGACCGGCGAGACCGCGCGAGCAGCGGGCGGGAGTCCGGCAGTTGGCTGCACCACTCGGGGGCCCGTAGTCTCGGCGCCCCTGGGAGCCGCCCGGTGGAAGCTCCTGCGGCAGGTAAGGGAGAACCTGCTCGCCTCACCTTTGCCTCTGGTCACTCCTCTCTCACGTACCGGGGGAGCGACTGTTCGCAGTTCTTTCCTCTTGGCAGCTCTGGGAGACCCTTCTCAGTTTGCCGGGAGCCACCTGCGAAGCTCCCCCTCGCTTCACCTAAGCGTCCCATCCAAGAGGAGGAATCATGTGGGGTTGGGTGGGGAGCGGGACAGCCAAGGCTGAGCTCCTGGGAAACTCAGATCGAAGTAGAAGAACCCCTTCTAGACATTTTTGTGCGTCTGGGGGACTTTTCCCCTTCTCGCCAGTCTCTGGTGCGCCCGCCGCTCCCCACTGCTCTTTTCCTGCTTCTGTTTTGCCTCCTTCCCCAGTTTCTTCTAGCTTAACTCCCAGCCTGGTTCGAGTTACCGATATTCGTCTGCACCCTCTGGCCCCGTCTTTTGCCCAGCGTGGTTGACTATGCCGGGACTGAGACACGGCATGCGTTCCCTCGGCATCTTCCGTACAGCGGAGCGTGCAAGGAGTAGGAAAAGCTGATACCCTCTCTCACTGAGGTCTCAAAGTTAAATGATTATCTTGTAGTTTGTAGTGATCAGCGAGATTCTCCGTGTCCAAGGTGGGCTAGTCAAAGTGTGTTCGTTTTTGAATGATGGTATCTTCTGGTACTTCAAAGTTTCTGCTGTTACTTACAACTCCACTCGTGCAAGCTTGACGGAAGTTCTGATTTATGATCACTCACATTCTTCGCTCACTTCTTGAAGTGAAGTCTGGTTATTGTTTTTGCATAGCAGTGTTATGCCTCTGCCTGAAGTTTTCTGCCGAAAACTTTACTCAGGAGGACATTTTTCCATTTCTGACAGTTGTGTTTGGAAAAGAGTTTCCCAGCTATTGCCACTTTACTTGAGATTGTGCTTTTAGTATTTTGGGGATCACTTTGTTTGCAGTTGCCTTGAGTCACCTTTTCATACAGTGGTCTTTTAGTGCTTTTAGAGTTATGAGTTAAGTAGATCATCAGAGTTAATTAAGATTTATTTGCTGATACATTGACAGTCTTTCCAGACCAGTAATGATCTGGTTTTGCTATTGTTACAAATGGTATTACAGGATAAGAAAATGCATGTCCTCACAGATCATCATAGGAAGTATCTATAATAAAGTAAATATCTAATTTTTTTTAATAGTGACCACTGAAATGAGATCTGGCGTGAGCTGGGGAGAGTGGACTCAACCCCCCTTCCCCCCTCCTTTTTTTTTGAAATGGAGTTTCCCTCTTGTTGCCCAGGCTGGACTGCAATGGCTGCCATCTCCGCTCACCACAACCTCCGCCTCTAGGGTTCAAATGATTCTCCTTCCTCAGTCTCCCCAGTAGCTGGGATTACAGGCATGCACCACCACGCCTGGCTAATTTTTTTTTTTTTTAAGTAGAGACGGGGTTTCTCCATGTTTGTCAAGCTGGTCTCGAACTCCCCACCTCAGGTGATCCACCCACCTCGGCTTCCCAAAGTACTGGGATTACAGGCATGAGCCACCGTGCCCGGCAACCCCCTTCTTTTTTTTTTTTTTTTTTCGATACAGAGCCTTACTGTGTTGCCCAGACGTGAGTGCAATGGCGCAATCTCGGCTCACTGCAGCCTCCGCCTCCCTGGTTCAAGCAATTCTCCCGTACTCAGCCTTCCGAATAGCTGGGATTACAGGTGCTCGCCATTACGCCCAGCTAATTTTTGTGTTTTTAGTAGAGACGGAGTTTCGCCATGTTGGCCAGGCTGGTCTCAAACTCCTGACCTCAGGTGATTCACTTGCCTCGCCTCCCGAAGTGCTGGGATTACAGGTATCAGCCACCATGCCTGCCACGCCCACCGCCCCCACCCTTCCTTTTTTTTTTTTTTTTTTTTTTAAATAAGATAGAGTCTTGCTTGTTGCCCAGGCAGGTAACTCCTGGGCTCAAGCAATCCTCCCACCTCAGCCTCCTGAGTAGTTGGAATTACAGGGGTATGCCATGATACCTGGCTTTCAGTGATTCTCAGTATAGTAAAAACTACAGCACTTATGTTCATTCTAAATTGCGGTCTAAATGAAAACAGTGACAAGTTTCAGCTGTGGCTGTTACATGAAGTCCCCACACGTTCTGACATCGAAACTTTTGGTATATATCTGCCTGCTTATAGTCTTTTTATCTTCTCTACTTGGTGAATGATTGTTCATTCTTCACACTTCCATTTCAAACTACTCTTCTGTGAAGCCACCCCTAATGCCTCTGGGCTAAGTTAGACCCTCAGCCAACTCTACCAATGAGCCCTTTATATTATTTTATGATCATGTGATCAGGGTCTCTTTTTCTTACTAGAATGGGCATTCACCCTGGGAAAAGGTGATGTTTTATTAATTTACATCCTCTGCACCTAGCACAGGGCCTGGTTAATTGATTTTTAGTAGATGTTGTTCAGTGTCTGTGGAAAGCCTGAGAGTAAGGACAGTCTTTAAGTGGCGCATAGCACCTAGTCCTTAGTGTATTTTATCAGTAAGCTATTGCTAAGTAAGAACCGCAACATCACAGTGGCATACAACAGTTAGTATTTATTTTGTTGGTGCATCTGGGGGCCACCTGGGAGCTGACCGACATAGGCTGTAGTCATCTGGGTATCTCTATGATGCACATGTGGTCCATATGTCTCTAATCTTTGGACTAGTGGGCTGAAGTCCTCATGGTGATAGCAGAGGTATAAGAGCAAGCCCAACCACAGAGACACATTTTAAACCCCTGCTCACATCATGTGTTTATTTCCTATTGGCCAAAGTAAGATATTTGGCAAAGGCCAAATTCAAGGGGCAGGGAAATACAACTCCTTCCTTGGAGGTGACAAAGAGGAAGTGAATATTTTTCTATTACAATTTAATCGATCACATATATTAAACATTTACAAGCTCTTAGTAAATGTATTTCAAATGAATGAACCATTCCTATCCTATATGCATCTAGTACTGGAAAACTATAAGGAATCTAAGCAGTGCTAGAGATATGTGACTCCTTTTCTCGCTCGTGGGACATCTGAAGAACATCTGCTCTGTCTACTTGTTTTTTCCTTTAAAATTCTGTCTTTCCATTACCCTATAGAGCTCCAAGGCTGTCTCATGGCCTTTTACTTTATGTTAACTATTCAGTATTTTCTGTGTTTTGTAATTAACAAAACATAGGTTTTGAGAGAAAACCTGGTTGACCTAGTGCATCATTTGGTTCCAGGTTACATGGTAAGTTGCCAAGATTTGAGTCAAGCGAGTACTTAAATTAGATGAGGTCTGGAAGATGATGAATCAATATCAGTAGAGGTTATGGATGTTGTTCTGTTTTCCTCTTTGTTGAGTCTCATTACATGTTGACGAAGATGGCCACTGGCAACTCCGGGCTTTCATATCCATCCAGCTAGTAATCCAGAAGAAATAACTCTTTTCCCCAACATCCAAATCATTTCCTCCAAAGGACTCTGATAGGCCAAGGTTAGACCAATTGCTGTGTCCAGAATGGGGCACTTTGGCTAACCTGGGTTATCAGCCTACCCTGTGGCAGGTAAGGTAACAACCTCACTAGAATTACATAGAGTGAGAGAGGGGCAGTTCCTAAAAGGAGGCAATGTAGGGCAGATGAAAAAGTAGCAATGACTGTTACACACGTATTTACAAACCACCTACCGAATGAAAAATGTTGCCTAGAGGTATGAATACTTGGCTGAAGAATCTGATTATGGAATATTTCACAGTTCAGTTTATATCAAAGCAGGATGCTTTTTCCTGGATTGGCTAATTGAAAAAGTTGGTTAAGAGGTGAATTGTAATAACGATACATATTCCAAGTGAAGTTATTTTCTGAGTGTCAAATCTTTCTAGGTATTTGTAATTCTTCAAATGTTTATAGTTGGCTTCCAACACCTAAACTGATAGTAAACTTTTAAGCAACTTACCTTTATCTTTCTCAAACATTCAACTTGGCTTTTAGGGTAACGTTAACTCCCTTTCAGCTCTATGTTATTAGTTTTGTAATATTTAATTAATGACAAGTTAAATATTTAATTGATGACAAATTTAATTTGTTATTTTGAAGAATAAGTAGAATAAAAAGGTTTGTGAAGAAGCACAGTTAACTTGGCAAGCATACAACTTGACACTGGCGTCAGATGCATCTAAGTCTTGATCCAGTCCTAGGTCTACTACCACGTACTGGATGCTCTTCACTGATCTATATCAAGTATTTAGATTGTTTTGGAATGTATTTTTGTTTCACCTTTATTCTTGACTTTGTTTTATATGCTTACTTTTGCTTTCTCTTTTTCTTCATAAATGTTATCTTGTTGTATTGTTCATCTTTTTAAGCCATCTTGAATCCTTTTGGTAATAGTTGTCATATAAGTCTTCCATAAGTTGTTGGAATTTGGACAACTTTTTACTTTCTAACCTCAGTTTTCTCTTCACTTAATGGGAGTGATAACACATACTTTGGAAGGTTGTTTTGAGTATTTGAGATAATATTTGTAAAATGTTTAGCTTGGAATCTGCCACATCATAGACTCAAAATAAATAGCAGCTATTGTTATTATTATTATTATTATTTGAGACAAAGTCTCACTCCATCATCCAGGCTGAAGTGCAGCAGTGTGATCTCGGCTCACTGCAACCTCCATGTCCTGGGTTCAAACGATTCTTGTGCCTTAGTCTTCTGAGTAGCTGGGACTACAGGTGCACACCACCACGCCTGGCTAATTTTTGTATTTTTTTTGGCAGGGATGGGGTTTTGCCATGTTGCCCAGGCAGGTCTCGAACTCCTGAGCTCAAGCAATCTGCCCACCTCAGCCTCCCAAAGTGCTGGGATTACACGTGTGAGCCACCATGCCCGGCCTGTTGCTGTGTCTTAAAAACGGGAAACACTATAGCTTCCGCATGTAAAGGATAAGGTTTTCTGGTTTTTACTTGCATCCCTGAGCATAGATTCATATATAAATATAGGGATTCAGAATTCTGTTAACTGTCCTTTTAACTGTAGGGTAACTGGAATTGGCCATTTTTGTTGAGTGGATCCCAAATGTCAGTATCTACAGGTCTTTTTTTCTTGTTCCAATATCCGAGAAAGGAAACCTGGTTAAGTATCCCTAATACAAAAATTAAAGATCTTAAATGCTTCAATATCCGAAACTTTTTGAGAGCCGACATGTTGCCACGAATGGAAAATTCCATGCTTGACCTCATGTGACAAGTCGCAATTAAAATACAGTCAAAACTTTGTTTTATGCATAAAATTATTTTAAAAATTATATAAATTGCCTTCAGGCTATGTGTATAAGGTATATATGAAAAACAAATGAATTTCATGTTTAGACTTGGGTCCCATCCCAAGCCTTCTCTTTATGTTTTGCAAATATTCCCAAATCCAAACAAATCCAAAATCTGAACAAATTCAAAATCCAAAACACTTCTGGTTCCATTTTGGATAAGGGGTACTCATTCTATATTGCACTCTCCTCTCTGGCAGGCAGATATAAGACTAGCTGCCTATTATCTGGAAGCTAAGTGAAGGAAAGGGATATTGATCAGAATGAAGAGCCTGTTATACTACTTTAAGCTGTACTCGATGTTTAAGATCAGAACTGTTACTCATCTTCTCTAGAAATGTATCTATCAAAGTACCATTGTGGGGAAGTGTAGTTGCCTGGTGTTGATGATGTAATCAGGGCATCTAGCTACTCTTCTAAAAGATTTTCAACCAATACTTTTGTGTTTAGCCTTACTCCTCTACCCATCTGGTCTTCATAAGTGTTTCTGTATAGTTATGATCAGTTTAGTTAGTTCTGGAGTAAACAAACATTTCAGGTTAATAAATGGGTCTTTGACTTCCATTGTGTTCAGTTGCATACGTTGTTTACCTAATGGGTTTAGGGACCTTAGGACTTGATGTCTTTTTTTTCTTCTTCTGATACTTAATCTTTTGACATGAACTTATTTGGTATATAGCATTGATATTTGACTAAATAGCTCATTGACTTACTTAGGAGAATGAGAAAATGCCTTGACTATTCCTTCACCCCAGATAATTTCATTTGAATATTATTTAATTATATAACATGGGTATTTGAAGGAGGTCTTCTAAAAGTGGTAGATGATAAGGTTATAACTTGATGGGAGATTTGAGCATCCCTTCAGTTCATTAAACTACCAATATTATTGATGGCCTTAAAATAACTGAATCTTCTTTTTAAAGCAATGTCAAAAGTAATTTGACTTGATCTCCTATTGCAATTACTTTTACCTAACATGGATTATATAAATGTCTTATTTGTTCTAAATATGTTGCCTGTTACTTTCATTGAGTATTAGCTTGTTGTCGTATTGTCGATCATGTAGATCACGTTGTCATACTGTAGATCATGCAGATCATACTAAACTATGTAAGCCCCTTCCAGTATTATACATGTGGTGACTTAAATTATTTTTTACATTAGCGGTTTATGGTACCATTACCTTGACATCAGAGTACCTTGGTGCCATTACCTTGACATCAGAGTAATTTAGACTATTAAAAGGTATTTACTGTTTGGAGTTTAATTGGGCAAGATTGAAGATAATTTATAATGTCTACATTTTATATTTTTAAAAATTTAATACTTTGTTTTTTCCTAAGAGTAAGCTCTGTTGAGTAGTTTGTTTTTCTTCCTGTTGCCCATAGTTGACAGACTATAATAAGACCCTGTATTATTATTATTATTTTTAAACAGAATCTTGCTCTGTTGCCTGCGCTGGAGTGCAGTAGTGCAGTCTGGCTCAAACAATTCTCATGCCTTCTGTGCCTTCTGCCTCCCAGGCTCAAGCAGTTCTCGTGCCTCAGCCTCTCAAGAACCTGGGATTACAGGTGCATGCCATGCACCACCTAATTTTTGTATTTTTAGTAGAGATGGGGTTTCATCATGTTGGCCAGGCTGGTATCGAACTCCTGGCCTCCAGTGATCTACCCACCTTTGCCTCTGAAAGTGCTGGGATTACAGGCATGAGCCACCATGCCTGAACAAGACCCTGCTTTTGATTAAGTCTTTTAAACAATTAAAAATAAAGAAAACCTTCAAAGAGAGACTACCTTTTCCGATCCTCCATTTAAAAAACTAACCTTCTAAAACTTCTACATAGTATATAAAATTTAAACATTTTTCCTATGAAATATATTCATACTGATATATTTTCTTGATTATTTTGATCTCAGTTTGCCCTTCTACACATAAGAATTATGCATCTTTGGAATAAGTGTTCCTTTTTTGAAAATAGAAACCACTCTAGCTACTTTAAGCAGAAATGGGTTTAGCATAGTGAATTAAGTGCTTACAAAATCACTGGAGAAACAGTCTAAGAGTGAATCCCAGAACAACAGAGTGCCAGAACAGTATAAAGCTGCAACTGGCCAGCCAAGTGAAATACTACCTCTACCACAATAAAGAACCTGAAGCTGTCTCCAGGATTATATCACTTTAGCTGTGATCTTTGGTGAACAGGAAGCTGCTGTGCCATAACTATAGATTCTAGAAGCAAAGTATGCCATAACTATAGATTCTAGAAGCAACCAGGAGAAGTGATGCCACTTGTGCTCCCTCTCACTCTCCATTAAATTAGAGAGTCAACACTGGAACCTCTGTTAAAGCTGCTTCAGAAAAACCAAGTATCTTTACAACTATTCTAAGCAGCACAAGTTGGTTGTGAATTATAGTTAACACCATCTTTCCTTGTTTCAAATCTCATGTTAGTGCATCTGATTAGTTAAACCAAAATCACATCTGAAACTTTGGCTGCTACGGATTCCAGGAAATACAGCTTCTAGCTTTCCAACTCTATAAAATAGAAAGGTATCTTGGAAGCTGGAATGGATAGGTGATGCCGGTTTATCATATTCTCTACAAGCAGAGGTGTTAAGAGTTTAGGGTCTGTAGTCAGGCAGCCTGGATTTTAACCTTGGGTTTGACTCTTGTGAGCTCTCTGACGTTGGGCAAATTGCTTAACTGCCCTGTGTTCTAGTTTTTTCTCTCACGTAGTAGGTATCTATCCCATAGTGTTGTTTGAGTATTTAATGAAGAATGTGGTAAGACTTGCATTAATTCTTACTCAGACATGTAATGTAATTTTCTTGTAAGCAATCTGGGCCTGGAGTTTTCTTTGTGGTAAGTTTTATATTTATGAATTCAGTTTTTGAAATAGTTTAGACTATTCGGATTTTCCGTTTCTTCTTGTGTCAGTTTTAGTAGTTGTGTTTTTCTAGGAATTTGTCCATTTCATCTAAATTTTTAAAGTTAGTTTTCATAAATATCCCTTTATTATTATTTTTTAATGTCTGCAGGATTTATAGTAACCTCCCTGTATCACATTGATAGTTCTTCCTTTTTTCTTATTAGTCTTATTAAGGATTTATCAGTTTTATCAATCTTTTCAAAGAAACAACGTTTAGTATTATCGATCCTCTCTCCTGTGTTTGTTTTCTACTTCATTAACCTGTACTCTTTTAGGGATCTATTTTGCTTATTTTTCAAATTTTTGCAATGAATGCTTATTAACTTTTGGCCTTTCTGTATTTTTTTCTGTAAGCCTGGATTTAGCTGCATGTCATATGTTTTGAAATGTATTTCTATTGTCATTCAATTCAAAATACTTTATAATTTTCTTTGTTTTTTCAGAGATAGAGCCTCACTCTGTTCCCCAATTTGGAGTGCAATGGCTTCATCATTGCTCACTACAACCTCAAACTCCTATGCTCAAGCAATCCTCTTGCCTCAGCTTCCTGAGTAGCTAGGACTACAGGCAGACACCACCACATCCTACTAATTATTTTTATTTTAAAATTTTTTTGAGGCAGAGTCTCGCTGTTGTCAACCAGGCTGGAGTGCAATGGCACAATCTCGGCTTACTGCAACCTCTGCCTCCTGGGTTCAAGCGATTCTCCTGCCTCAGCCTCCCCATCAGCTGGGATTACAGGCCCCCGCCACCACACCTGGCTAATTTTTGTATTTTTAGTAAGGATGGGGTTTCACCATGTTGGCCAGGCTGGTCTCAAACTCCTGACCTCTGGTGATCTACCCACCTCAGCCTCCCCAAAGTGCTGGGATTACAGGCGTGAGCCACTGTGCCCAGCCTATTTTTATTTTTTGTAGATATGGGGTCTTGCCATGTTGCTCAGGCTGGTCTGGAATTCCTGGCCTCAAGCAGTCCTCCTGCCTCAGCCTTCCAAAGTGTTAGGATTACAGACATGAGCCACTGCACCTGGCCTATAGTTTTTATTATGTGTTCTTTTTCTGTTTCACAGGTTATTTATAAGTACATTGCCTAGTTTCCAAATATATTTGGCTTTTCAAATATCTTTTTCTTTATTTTTGTTTGCTTATGAGTCTGAAGTTATTTTATATCTAAGATTTTTCTATCATGGGAAATATAAAACATATATAAAGCTAGAGAGAACAATACAATAATCATTCAGGTACTGATAAGCTTCAACACTGTTAACTCATGAACAGCTGTGTTTATTCTCACTTCTCCCATTGCCCCACCACCATTATTTTGAAGCAAATCTCAGATGTCATTTTTTCTTTAAATATTTCATTATGAACTTATAAAAATGACATTAAAAAATCACAATACCACATCAACCCAGAATAATTAATTGATGTCATGAAATATCTGATCAGTTTTCAAATTTTCCCCATTTTGTCATAATTTTTCTTTATAATTTGATTATTTTGGAGGAGGATCCAAATAAAATCCAAGCATTATTATTGGTTGATATGCCCCACACTTAAAAACCTGGCTTTTAGCAACACCAGCAAAATTATTCATTATGCTAAAACATACATACCTTGCATACTCAATATACCTCCCCATTCCTAGGTAAGCTTTGAAATTCAACTTTTCTCTCCTAGCTCCATAGGTTGTTAAAGAAGCAGCTTATCTTCTTGGTTCTTTCTTTTAGAATTGACACATATCCCCAGGAGAAAAGTGGTTGCAAAAGTCAGAGTAACCTTTGTAGGTTTTCTCCTTTTAAAGATATAAGACTGCAAGCCAAGTGCTGTGGCTCACTTCTGTAATCCCAGCACTTTGGGAGGCCAGGGTTGAAGATCACTTGAGCCCAGGAGTTTGAATCCAGCCTGGGTAATATAGGGAGACCCCATCTCTACAAAAAATTTAAAAAATTAACCAGACGTGGTGGTGCATACTTTTAGTTCCAGCTGCTAGGGAGCCTGAGGTAGGAGGATCGCCTGAACCCAGCTGGGTGACAGGCTGGGTGACAGTGAGGCTGCGTGACAAAGTAAGATCCTGTCTCAAAAAAAAAAAAAAAAGATATCAGACTTGTAAATCTTCACTGTCTTTGCTCTCTGATGTCTTCAAGTAATGCTTTAAAATATTTTGTTCATCTTTTATAGTTATCTTCAGTAGGAGATATATCTGAATTATCTAATCTGTCATTATTAGAAGGGAAAGTCCCCTTACCACTTAAATTTTGAACATTTTGAACACTAAACTTACTATATGTTTAGATAACATGACTGCAATATTTGGCTTTATTTCAAAGGTTCTGAAGCAAAAACACCTGGATGATTGCCTGCGACATGTATCTGTAAGAAGATTTGAATCATTTAATCTGTTTTCAGTAACAGAAGGCAAAGAAAGGGAAACTGAAGAGGAGGTTGGTGCATGGGTCCAATATACAAGCATCTTCTGTCCTGAATACAGTATCTCCTTAAGGTAACCATTATTCTAGTTAAGATTTTGTAAACACTAGATTTCTCTTGGATAAGAAAAACAATCTAATAAGAATCATCATTATTTATTCTATTGAGTTTACGGGCAATCTTTTTCAGAACTTAGGTTTTACAACTTGTTTTAGGAAATCCTGCTATTTTAACTGGGTCTTGCTGTATTATCAGACTAAAGGAAACAAGTTCTCACAAATATAGTGGCATTTGAAGATAAGGTGGTTGCAAATCAAAGGGTTCATTTAAACATTCTGTCATAACATTTGTTTATGACAAAAAGCCATGTTTGTTCTGAGGCAAAGAAGGGGCTGAAAGTGAAAACAGAATTTTTCCAAACTACCCTTCAAGTAATAATCTGAAAAATCAAGCTTTGGTATTTTTTCCATTTATTTATTTTTTTATTACTTTCAGAATAGAATCAATCTTAAGACTAAAGGAGAAAATTCAACTGAAAACACTGATATTGTAAGAAGCATATGGACTGTTCTGACTTTAAAAATCATTAGAAAAGAGACAAGAGAGTTACAGACTGCAATAACAAGATACCATTTTACTGAATTAATTTTCTCTCACAGTTATGTTCTAGCATGTTGCAATATTACTGTAGGTGTTTGATTTTATAAAATCTGCCTTTTCTGACAGTATTTCACATTTTGAAAGGGAGGGAGGAGCACATTTACAGTAACTGTAAGAAGAGCAAAAAACATTTTAAGTGTAAATGTGACTGAATAAGGTTTAGGTGAGGCTAGGAATAATTTTAAGAAAAAAATTTTCACAAAGGGTATCTTTTTATAGTATATGTTTCTCGAGCTATTTTAGTTTAGAATATCTAAGCTTTAAAACATAATAGCTAAAAATTGGGATTTGGATAAAAATTGACTAGGTTGGGCAGGAAAGAACAATTAGAATCTGGTTTTATAATACTATTTTACTGAAAATGCCGGCTGGGCGCAGTGGCTCATGCCTGTAATCCTAGCACTTCAGGAGGCCAAGGTGGGTGGATCACTTGACCCTAGGAGTTCAAGACCAGCCTGGGCAACATGGCAAAACCCCACCTTTACAAAAAATACAAAAATTAATTGGGCATGGTGGCATGTGCCTATGGTCTTAGCTACTCCAGAGGCTGAGGTGGAAAGATTGATTGAGCCCGGGAGGTTGAGGCTGCTGTGAGCTGTGCCATTGCATTCTAGCCTGGATGACAGAGTAAGACTCTGCCTCAAAAAAAAAAAAAAAAAAAAAAAAAATCAAAGTAAAGAAAATGCCAAATAAAATATATAAACTTACAGATTTTGGGGTGTACCTGTACATTAATTATGAGATTCTCATTAGGATACCCCAACTGCTTTGCCTTTTGATGGAGATAATCAGTTTTGTCCTTGGTTAGAAAGGAAAGAAAGGTATATGCTTACTCTGTGTCAGGTACAGAGCTAGGTGTTTTGATGTATTCCATTTCAAGTGATCCTTACAATAACTTTGTGAAGCAGGAATGGAAATGATTAAACATTTAGAAGGAAATGAAAGACAAGAAAGGACAGAGTGATCCAGTAGGGGTCTTTAGGTATAAAGTTCTAAAACTTATCTTCTGCATCCACTGGTGAAAAGAGACAATAAGTATAAATTATAGCAAGAATAATTTCCTGACATCTTCAAGGCCCTGGTAAGGGTTAGCCAGTGAGAATGTGAAATAGTCTCTTCTTGAGATCTTTCAAAGCAAGTCATGGTTATCCACTTGTAGAGATGATCCTCATGTAGTACTATCCAGAGCCCAAGCTATAGAGTAAACTGGGACTCCTTTCCAACAGCATTGTTCTTTGTGATATATCTTCTTGTGATATATGAAAGAATAAATGTATATCTATACAAATATGACATTGAGTTGGAAAAAAGACACGTGACTGAGCTAAAGTGTTGGCTTCATTGGCTGCCAAGATTTTTTTTTTCAAACTAGTTAGTATCTGTCCACATTAGTGCAAAAATAACAGTACTTTGGGAGGCCGAAGCAAGACGATCACTTGAGGCCAGGAGTTCAAGACTAGCCTTGGCAACATAGGGAAACCCTGTCTCTACAAAAAATTTTAAAAATTAGCCAGGGGTGGTGGTATGTGCTTGTAGTCCCAGGCACTCAGGAGGCTGAGGCAGGAGAATCCTTACAGCCCAGGATTTCAAGGCTGCAGTGAGCCATAATCATGCCACTGCACTCCAGTTTGGGCGATAGAGTGAGACCCCTTTAGGGATTACAGGCTTGAGCCACCATGCCTGGCCAGGGTTTCTGTTTTTTTTTTGTTTTGTTTTTTAATATTACTTGGAATAGCCCAAAGCAGTGGTTTAGAAGTAGTTTTGCAATGAAGTGGAGTACTCTCATCTTCCTCTATATTTTTTAAGTTTGTTTAATCAGCAGTAATGATGATTGAAAAAAAAGGGATGAATAGTGTTAAATTCAAACCAATAAATATTTAATAGCACCTTCTATATATATATAAAAAAACAGAAATAAATATAAATATACAATACTATGCTTAAGGAGCTGAAATAGATAAAAGTTAAATAATAAAAATAATTAAATAAGGAAAGTTAACTATTCAGTGTAAGAACTCTCACCAGGCTGTGCATAAGTACTTTCAAAATGAGTGGAATACTCACACTTAATAGAAGTTTAGAGGTAGGAGTGAGTTTTGGAAATGATTTTTAAAAAAACTGGATCTGGAAGTACTTGAAAGTTCTGGGAGAAGGGGATGCCCAGATGATGGCAAAGATACTAGAAAATACACAGGGTAAGAAAGAGCAAGACAGAATCATCAGAGGCTACTGAGAAGAGGCCATTGCAGTCTTTAGCTGGAGGAATGATTATCAATATATATTATATGGTGGATCTGCTCCAGGTTCTTGGTTTTTTTTTTCTTTTTAGAGAAGGAGTCTCAATCTGTCACCCAGGCTGGAGTGCAGTAGCCCATTCTCAGCTTACTGCAACCTTTACCTCCAGGGTTCAAGTGACTCTCCTGCCTCAGCCTCCTGAGTAGCTGGGATTACAGGTGTGTGCCATCACACCTGGCTAATTTTTTTGTATATTTAATAGAGACAGGGTTTCACCATGTTGGGCAGGCTGGTTTTGAACTCCTGAAATCAAGTGATCCACCTGCCTTGGCCTCCCAAAGTGCTGGGATTACAGGTGTGAGCCACCACGCCCAGCCTGCTCCAGGTTCTATTAAGGGGCTAAGCATTGGAGATTTTGGGCTGGGCACAGTGGCTCATGCCTGTAGTTTCAGCACTTTGGGAGGCTGAGAAGGGTGGATCACTTGAGCCTAGGAGTTTGAGACCAGCCTGGCCAACATGCTGAAACCCTGTCTCTACTAAAAATACAAAAAAAATTAGCTGGACATGGTGGTTCATGCCTGTAATCCCAGTATCCCAGTTACTCGGTGGCTAACACATGAGAATAGCTTGAACGTGGGAGGTGGAGGTTGCAGTCAGATGAGATTGTGCCACTGAACTCCAGCCTGGTGACGAAGTGAGACTCTGTATCAAAAAAAAAAAAAAAAAATAGACACTGGGGATGTTACAAGTTCCTCACAAATCATAATTGTAAACCCCATTTTCACTTTCTCAGTTCTTATCGCCTAAGATCACCTGCCACAGCTTAACAGAGATAACACACACAGGGTGATCAGCACTTGTTATCAATACCTATTAGTTTTGTCTATCTTAAACTTTTGCTACCCATTCATTTCTGTCTCCTTAAAGTTTTATTAGAGTTGAAGTGAATACCCCCAAGAGGGTTAATGCCTAGGTATTTGTGAATTCAAAATACCTAGTTGTATCTTGTTTATATAAGCAGTGACCTTAAAAACTTTGACCATTATTTTCTGTCAGCCTTACATGATAATAATTAAAATGAAGGAATAATTTTCCCTTAGTGACTTTTCATCTGAAGCTAAAGTTTAAACAATGTAAAAGTTAGGTTACAAAACTCCCAAGGTTTGTTGTCGTCTTTGTCTACCTGTGGATGGTGACTCTTTGTTTCAAATTACGTGTTGAGAGTTATGAAATGAAAATCCAGGGTATGACTCCTGGATTTTGTTCCTTGACAAACTATTCTTGCCTTTCTGGTACTTTCTTTCTTCCTCTTTTTTGAGACGGTCTCACTCTGTTGCCCAGGCTGGTATGCAGTGGCATGATCATAGCTCACTGAAGCCTTGACCTCCCAGGCTTAAGCAATCCGCCCGCCTTAGTCTCCCAAGTGGCTAGGACTACAGTTACATGCCACCATGCCCAGCTAATTTTTGTATATTTTGTAGAGATGGGGTTTTGCTGTGTTGCCCAGGCTGGTCTCAAACTGCTGGGGTCAAGGGATCTGCCTGCCTTGACCTCCCAAAGTGCTGGGATTACAGGCGTAAGCCACTATGCCTGGACTTTGGTACTTTGTTTCTTAGAACTTTGTAGAAGAGGCTCTTGTTATTAGATAGATGCAAGTATATAAGCTAAGAGACACCAGGAGATGTTTATACCAAAATTCTTTGATTAAAATTTCCTTTTCCCTATCTCATAAACTATAATATATTGTTGTATAAAGCTTGCTGTGTAGATACAAGAAATTGTTCCTATCTCCCATATTTCAACTTAATTCCAGCACAGCAGGAATTTGCATATTCTGGAAGCTTTAAATTGCTTCCATTATATATGGAACCATAGAAGTGCCTGAGTTATTCATTTATAAGTGTATACGTGTCTTAGGTATAGAGAAAGCTGAGAGGCCTGAACTGTCCTTCTTTGTTTGAAGAAGACTACTGTTACTATGGTAATTGCTGAATTAGAAGGCTAGAACTCTTGACTTTTGCCTTGTCCTGGGAACTTAGAATGGGCAAAAAGTCAAGAATGACTTTGTCTTTGACTGTGTTGCATCTTTCTATTATAACAAATGCACTACACCGAGATCATACCTTCCATTTCTAGGGAAAGAAAAAGACAAACCAAACCCTCACCTCATTATTTTAGTTATATAGCTTGTGAATGTTCAGTAAATAAAAACTAGTGATTAGATGGTTTGCTTATGAAATTAGATGTATGGCAGATTATTTTTGTATGTGTAGTATAACCTAGGTACGTATATAGAGCTTGGCGAGGCTGGCATCTAAGACAAATACGAATACTGCATCTATATTTAAAAGCATAGTTTTATTGTTAGTAGTGATATTAACAACAGAGGTGATTATAGCAATAAAACAACGTTTTTTAGGACCTTTAAAATATGATCCGTAGTTTCCAGAAAACTGTGAATTCCATTGTGTCACATTTTTATGGATCTTAAATCATAGATATGGGCTAGTATAACTTAGTTTTCTAATTTGTTTTAAATTTCATTGCAATTTTTTATGTAACGTGCTTACATATAAATATACTGTTTCAGTAAATTGAAATGTTCCCTTAAACATTTTCCAAATCCCAATATAGTACATGTAGAAACCATCTACTAATTTCCTAAAACCCATGAGACTGGAAAACATCTCTTTAGCTATTTTTAAAATTTGTAATTTTTAAGCACTTATTTTTGAAAGAACTCCAAAGCATCTAGAATTAAGTTTGTTTGTTTGTTTGTTTGTTTGTTTGTTTGTTTGTTTTGAGACAGAGTCTTGCTCTGTCACCAGGCTGGAGTGCAGTGGTGCAATCTTGGCTCACTGCAACCTCCGCCTCCCGGGTTCAAGCGATTCTCCTGCCTCAGCCTCCTGATTAGCTGGGACTACAGGCATGTGCCACCACGCCCAGCTAATTTTTGTATTTTTAGTAGAGACGGGGTTTCACCATGTTGGCCAGGATGGTCTCGATCTCTTGACCTCATGATCCACCCACCTTGGCCTCCCAAAGTGCTGGTATTACAGGCGTGAGCCACCGCGCCTGGCCTAGAATTAAGTTTTTAAAACCTTCTGAAAACCTCTCCTCTTTGTTCTTCTGCAGCCTTTTAGGACCCACTCCACTCTCTGGCTTACTTTGTATTTTTGGATCAATTTTCTTTTACTCACAATACAATTTACATAACAAAATTTGCTATTTTAATCACTTTAAAGTATGCAATTCAGTGGTTTTAAGTATATTTACAATGTTGTACAGCCTTCACCACTATTCCAGAACTTTTTCATTACCCTGAAAAGAAACCCCATATACATTGGCTGTAACTCCCCATTCTCCTTCTTCCTCTAGTCCCTGGCAACCAGTACTTGACTTTCTGTCTCTATGTGTTGTCTGTTCTGGACACTTTATGTAAATGGAATCCTACAATATGTGGCCCTGTATGTCTGTCTTCTTTCACTGAGCGTAATCTTTTTAAATTTAAGATTCAGCCATATTGTACCACATAACAGTACCTCATACTTTTTTTATGGCATCCCACTGTATGGCTAATGTATTTTGTTTTTTTCATCAGTTGATGAACATTTGGATTGTTTCTAATTTTGGGCTATTATGAATAATGCCACTATGAATATGCATGTACAAGTTTTTGTGTGAACATATGCTTTTAATTCTCTTGGGTATGTACCCAGGAGTGGAATTGCTGGGTCATGTGGTATCTCTATGTTTAACTTTTTGAGGAATAGCCAACTATTTTTCATAGGGCTGTACCATTTTATATTCTAGGAATGTATGAGTGTTTTAGTTTCTCCCCATACTTATCAGTGAAGCACTTGTTAATTTTTCTTCTTTTTTAAAAAATATTACAACCCTTATAGTGGATATGAAGTGATATCTCACTGTGGCTTTGATATGCATTTCTCTATTGTCTAATGATGTTGAGTATCTTTTCATGTGCTTATTGGCCATTTGTATTTTTTTTCTTTTTTTTGAGAAATGCCTATTCAAGTTCTCTGCCTGCTTTTTTTTTAATGTTTTATTTTCTTTCCAATGGGACTTTTGCACTCCTGTCTTTGTGTTTTTAATTGAGCTGTCTCTTTTTATTGTCAGAGTTATTTTTATATATTCTGGATATTAGACCCTATCATACATGTGATATTTGCAAATATTTTCTCCTAGCCTGTGCATTTTCTTTTAACTTTCTTGATATGTAGTATCTTTTGATGCACAAAATTTTTAATTTTGATGAGGTGTAACATGTCTATTTTTTCATTTGTTATCTATAATTTTAATGTCATATTTATCCATGGCTTGCTTTTCACCTCTAGTTTCAACCTCTTGGCATGTTTAGGCTTCAGATTTTTCCTCTAGCAGCTTTTCTTTTTCCCTCTTCAAATAATTATCTGCCCCAATGACTCGTTCCTCAGTCCTTACTCAGCAGGCCATTTTTAGGAAGAAACTCAAAGTTCCTCAGTTCTAGGATAGCTTTAGGTGCTTGTGAAAAAAATGGTTTGGCCCTGGGGAGAAGAATCTGGCCATTGTTAATGGTTTGGGATAAAGCTTTGAAGTTTAGGACAAAGATAGAGTGAACTTTTTATACTCTGAGTATGTTGGCAAAAAATCGTAGTTGTCACATAACATTAATTACAAGTATAATGCTAAGACTGAAGTTTTTAAGAATTTAAGTTTGAGCAGTTTCTTTTGTTATAGGCATTACTAGCGAACCACAGAGATCAGACAGGACCTAGGTAAATAGTTGAAAAACTAAGACTAGACAAGAGCTTGTAGACTTGACGCTTGAATAAAGTAGATGACTCAGTGAAAAAGAACAGTCCTTAAGTTTGGAACAAATGAAATGGAACTTGAAGTAACCAAACTGAATCTTTGTCATACTATATTGATAGCAGTTTTCCTATAATTAGAACTAACTTCTTATAGTTTTGAAAATAGTGATTATTAACATTATTCTTTCATAAGATGCCATCTTTTAGGGTTTTTAAACCCTGATAACTTCATGGATAATTGATTTCATTTTTATAAGTATCTTAGAGGTATAGGATGAGGTTTACTGTTTCTCCACTGCCTACCCCCTTAAAAAGGTCATATGGTAAGCATTCTGTTTCTTTAAGAAATAATGCTTTCGGCCGGGCATGGTGGCTCACACCTGTAATCCCAGCACTTTGGGAGGCTGAGGTGGGTGGGTCACGAGGTCAGGAGTTTGAGACCAGCCTGGCCAACATAGTGAAACCCCATCTCTACTAAAAATACAAAAATTAGCCGGGAGTGGTGGCAGACACCTGTAATCCCAGCTACTCGGGAGGCTGAGGCAGGAGAATCGCTTGAACCCGGGAGACAGAGGTTGCAGTGAGCTAAGATTGCGCCATTGCACTCCACCCTGGGTGACAGTGCAAGACTCCATCTCAAAAAAGAAATAATGCTTTCCAGAATGACAAGTTTTGCTTCAGTGATAAGTTGAAATCAAATTTTTTATTTTGAATAGTGTTTTTAACTTTTAAAACATGTACTTAACTTCTATTATCTCAGTTTGTTTTTTAGAAATTAAAAAAAATTACCATTATTACAAAATATGTGCATGTTATTTCTACTTGTTTCAGATTTAATTACAAGTATTTATTTCATCCTGATATATGAGAGACAGAGAGGGAGAGAGACAGATGCAAGAAGAAGAGAATATTCTTATTAAAATTAGGCCATAAAACAATTCCACTTTTAGCAATGTATCTTAAGTAAACAATCAGAAATAGATTTGATGTTTTCCACAAGAATGTTCACTGCAGCAGTGTGCACAATAGTACAAAATTGGGCACAATCTTAAAATCCAACATAAAGTTCTGGTTCAATAAATTATGGTGCAGACATCCATTGAACTTGGCAGCCATTAAAATCATATTATGGGATATTACTTAATGATGTGGGAAACTGTTTATAATACATACTTTGTTATAATTGGTGAATAACAAATTGCAAAACAATATGGACAAGTGCTTTCAGTTCTTTAATAAAAGGAATATGTGAACATAGAATAAGATTTGAAGGCTGCGTACCAAAATTCTCATGTTATCTCTCCATGTTAGGATTATGAGCAGTTTTTTCTTGAAGGAACCGTATATTGCTTTTATATTAAAACTTTTTTTGGATTTCAATACTGTATTGTTGATAATTTTAATAGTTTTATCTTACACTTTTTTTTTTTTTTTTTTGAGATGGAGTTTCGCTCTTGTCACCCAGGCTGGAATGCAATGGCACGATCTCGGCTCACAGCAGCCTCTGTCTCCTGGGTTCAAGCGATTCTCCTGCCTCAGCCTCCTGAGTAGTTGGGATTACAGACGCCTGCCACTACACCTGGCTAATTTTTGTATTTTTAGTAGAGACAGGGTTTCACCATGTTGGCCAGGCTGATCTTGAACTCCTGACCTTAGGTGATTCTACCTGCGTCAACCTCCTAAAGTGCTGGGATTATAGGCGTGAGTCATCTTGCATTTTGGAGGTTAAATATTTTGCTCATTTTCATCTTTTCTTAGTATTTACTGTAGTTTTCCATATTAGTGTAAATAACCTCATCTCTACCTAGAATCTTATAGGCCCAGAGAAGACAAAGAATCATTATGTTATTATGATTGTTTTATTTGTGATTGGTGACTTTGTTTTTTCAGATTATGATACTTTGGGGCCTAGTGCTTATTTGGTCAGTCATATTGCAAATAACTTTTTTCTTTTTCTTTTTCTTTTTTTTTTTTTGAGACAGAGTCTCGCTCTGTCACCCAGGCTGGAGTACAGTGGCGCGATCTCCACTCACTGCAAGCTCCGCCTCCCGGGTTCATGCCGATCTTCTGCCTCAGCTTCCTGAGTAGCTGGGACTACAGGTGCCTGCCACCACGCCCAGCTAATCTTTTTGTATTTTTAGTAGATACAGGGTTTCACTGTGTTAGCCTGGATGGTCTCGATCTCCTGACCTGGTGATCCACCCGCCTTGGCCTCCCAAAGTGCTGGGATTACAGGCGTGAGCCACCACGCCCGGCCAACTTTTTTCATCTCATTTAATTACCCTGTCAAAGGACTGGGCCTCTGTGGCAGAAATAAAGAAAAGCTCTATTTTTATGGAAAGGGTAATACAGTTTACACGTATTCTCTTACTATGTTTTAGTTTGCTTGGCTGCCAAAACAAAACACCACATACTGGGGGGCTTAAACAAGAGAAATTTAGTTTCTTGCAGCTCTGGGAGCTAGAAATCTGAGATCAAGGTGTTGGCAGGTTTGGTTTCTTCTGAGGCCTCTTCCCTTTGGCTTGCAGATGGCCGCCCTCACACTGCCTTTTCGGAGGCCATTCCTCTGTGCATGCATGACCCTGATGTCTCTCTGTGTCCTACCTCCTCTTTTTTTTTTCAGTTGATAATTTATTTTATTTTATTTTAGTTTTATTTTTTGAGGCAGAATCTCGCTCTGTCACCCAGGCTGGAGTGCAGTGGCGTGATCTCAGCTCACTGCATCCTTCACCTCCCAGGTTCAAGCAATTCTCCTGCCTCAGCCTCCCGAGAGGCTGGGACTACAGGCGCATGCCACCACACCCGGCTAATTTTTGTATTTTTATTAGAGATGAGGTTTCACCATACTGGCCAAGCTGGTCTCAAACTCCTGATCTTGTGATCCGCCTGCCTCGGCCTCCCAAAGTGCTGGGATTACAGGCATGAGCCACTGCACCTGACCCCTTTTTTTAATTTGTAATTTCAATTTTCATTTTTTTCCATAAGTTATTGGGGTATAGGTGGTATTTGGTTGCATAAGTAAGTTCTTTTGTGGTGTTCTGTGAGATTTTGGTTCACCCATCAGCTGAGCAGTATACAGTGTACCATATTTGTTTATCCCTTGTACCCCTCCCACTCTTCCCCGCAAGTCCCCAAAGTCCATTGTATCATTCTTATGCCTTTGCATCCTCATAGCTTAGCTCCCACATATCAGTGAGAATATATGATGTTTGATTTTCCATTCCCGAGTTACTTCATTTAGAATAATAGTCTCCAATCCCATCCAGGTCACTGCAAATGCCCTTAATTCATTCCTTTGTGTAGTATTCCATTGTATATATATATATACCACAGTTTCTTTATCCACTCGTTGATTGATGGGCATTTGGGTTGGTTCCACGATTTTGCAATTGTGAATTGTGCTGCTATAAACATGAGTGTGCAAGGGTCTTTTTCGAATAATGACTTATTTTCCTCTGGGTAGATACCAAGTAGTGGGATTGCTGGACCAAATGGTAGTTCTACTTTTAGTTCTTTAAGGAATCTCCACACTGTTTCCATAGTGGTTGTACTAGTTTTCATTCCCACCAGCAGTGTAGAGGTGTTCCCTGATCACAGCATCCACGCCAGTATCTATTGTTTTTTGACTTTTTGATTATAGCCATTCTTGCAGGAGTAAGGTGGTATTGCATTGTGCTTTTGATTTGCTTTTCCCTGATCACTAGTGATGTTGAGCATTTTTTTCATATATTTGTTGGCCATTTGTATATCTTCTTTTGAGAATTGTCTATTCATGTCCTTAGTCCACTTTTTGATGGGATTGTTTGTTTTTTTCTTACTGATTCGTTTGAGTTCGTTGTGGATTCTGAATATTAGGCCTTTGTCAGATGTTTAGATTGTGAAGATTTTCTCCCACTCTCTGGGTTGTCTGTTTACTCTGCTGACTGTTCCTTTTGCTGTACAAAAGCTCCTTAGTTTAATTAGATCTCAGCTATTTATCTTTTTTTTTTTTTTTTTTTTGCATTTGCTTTTGGGTTCTTGGTCATGAAATCCTTGCCTAAGACAATGTCTAGAAGAGTTTTTCCAATGTTATCTTCTAGAATTTTGATAGTTTCAGGTCTTAGATTTAAGTCCTCAATCCATCCTAAGTTGATTTTTTATAAGGTGATATGAGTATCCAGTTTCATTCTCTGCATATAGCTAGCCAATTATTCCAGCACCATTTGTTGAAAAGGGTGTCCTTTCCCCCACTTTTTGTTTTGTTTACTTTGTCAAAGATCAGTTGGCTGTAAGTATTTGGATTTATTTCTGGTTTCTCTATTCTGTTCCAGTGGTCTCTGTGCTTATTTTTATATCAGTACCACGCTGTTTTAGTGACTGTGGCTTTATAGTATAGTTGAAATCAGGTAGTGTGATGCCTCCAGATTTGTTCTTTTTGCTTAGTCTTGCTTTGGCTATGCAGGTTCTTTTTTGGTTCCATATAAATTTTAGAATTGTTTTTTCTAATTCGGTGAAGAATGATGGTGGTATTTTGATGGGGATTGAATTGAATTTGTAGATTGCTTTTGGCAGTATGGTCATTTTCACCATATTGATTCTACCTATCCATGAGCATGGGATGTGTTTCCAATTGTTTGTGTCGTCTGTGATTTCTTTCAGCTGTGTTTTGTAGTTTTCCTTGTAGAGGTCTTTTGACGTCTTGGTTAGGTATATTCCTAAGTATTCCTTTTTTTTTTGCAGCTGTTGCAAAAAGGGTTGAGTTCTTGATTTGATTCTCTACTTGGTTGCCGTTGGTGTATAGAAAAACTATTGATTTGTGTACATTAACCTTGTATTTGGAAATTTTGCTGAATTCTTTTATCAGTTCTAGGAGCTTTCTGGAGGAGTCTTTAGGGTTGTCGAGGTAAACAATCATATCATCAGCAAACAGTGACAGTTTGACTTCCTCTTTACTGATGCCCTTTCTTTCTTTCTCTTGTGATTGCTCTGGCTAGGACTTCCAGTACTATGTTGAAGAGCAGTGGTGAGAGTGGGCATCCTTGTCTTGTTCCTGTTCTCAGAGGGACTGCTTTCAGCTTTTCCCCATTCAGTATTATGTTGGCTGTGGGTTTATCATAGATGGCTTTTATTACATTAAGGAATGTCCCTTGTATGCCAGTTTTGCTGAGAGTTTTAATCATAAAGCAATGCTGGATTTTGTCGAATGCTTTTTCTGCATCTATTGAGATGATCATGTGATTTTTGTTTTTAATTCTGTTTATGTGGTGTATCACATTTATTGATTTGCATATGTTAAGGCATCCCTGCATCCCTGATATGAAACCCACTTGATCATGGTGGATTATCTTTTTGATATGTTGTTGGATTCAGTTAACTGGTATTTTGTTAAAGATTTCAACATCTGTGTTCATCAAGGATATCAGTCTGTAGTTTTCTTTTTTGGTTATGTCTGTCCCTGGTTTTGGTATTAGAGTGATGCTGGCTTCATAGAATGAATTAGGGAGGGTTTCTTATTTCTTTAGCTTGTGGAATAGTGTTAAAAGGATTGGTACCAATTCTTCTTTCAATGTCTGGTAGAATTCTGCTGTGAATCCATCTGGTCCTGGACTTTTTTTTGTTGGTAATTTTAAAATTACCATTTCAGTCTCGCTGCTTGTTATTGTTCTGTTCAGGGTATCTAATTCTCATGCTTTACTGACTGGGCTAGCTGGGTGCCTCAGGGTATCTAATTTTTCCTGATTTAAGCTAGGAGGGTTATATTTTTCCAGGAATTTATCCATCTCTTCTAGGTTTTCTAGTTTATGTGTGTAAATATAGTAGCCTTGAATGATCTTTTGTGTTTCAGTGGTGTCATTTGCAGTATCTCCTGTTTCCTAGTGAGGTTATTTGGATTTTCTCTCTTCTTTTCTTGGTTAATCTTGCTAATGGTCTATCAATTTTATTTATCTTTTCAAAGAACCAGCTTTTTCTTTCATTTGTCTTTTGTATTTTGTTGTTGTTGTTTCAATTTCATTTAGTTCTGCTCTGATCTTGGTTATTTTCTTTCTTCTGCTGTGTTTAGGTTTGGTTTGTTCTTGTTTCTCTAGTTCCTTGAGGTGTGACCTTAGACTGTCAGTTTGTGCTCTTTCAGTCATTTTGATGTAGGCATTTAGGGCTATGAACTTTCCTCTTAGCATCACCTTTGCTGTATCCCATAGATTTTGATAGGTTGTGTCATTATTGTCATTCAGTTCGAAGAATTTTTTAATTTCCACCTTGATTTCGTTTTTGGCCCAGTGCTTATTTAGTAGCAGGTTATTTAATTTTCATATATTTGCATGGTTTTGAAGGTTCCTTTTGGAGTTGATTTCCACTTTTATTCCACCATGGTCTGAGAGGGTGCTTGATATAATTCCAGTTTTCTTAAATGTATTTAGGCTCGTTTTATGGCCTATCATATGGTCTGTCTTGGAGAAAGTTCCATGTGCTGTTGAATAAAAAGTTTATTCTGCAGTTGTTGGACAAAATGTTCTGTATGTATCTGTTAAGTCCATTTGTTCCAAGGTATAGTTTAAATCTATTGTTTCCTTGTTGACTTTCTGTCTTGATGACCTGTCTAGTGCTGTCAGTGGAGTATTGAAGTCCTCTACTATTATTGTGTTGCTGTCTATCTCATTTCTTAGGCATTAGTAATTGTTTTATAAATTTGGGAGCTCCAGTGTTAGGTACATATATGTTTAGGATCGTGATATTTTCCTGTTGGACAAGGCCTTTTACCATTATGTAATGTCCCTCTTTGTCTCTTTTAACTGCTGTTGCTTTAAGGTTTGTTTTGTCTGATATAAGAATAGCTACGCCTGCTAGTTTTTGGTATCCATTTGCATGAAATGCCTTTTTCCACCCCTTTAAGTTAAGTGTGAGTCCTTATGTGTTAGATGAGTCTCTTGAAGGCAGCAGATAGTTGGTTGGTGAGTTTTGATCTATTTTACGGTTCTGTGTCTTTTAAGTGGAGCGTTTAGGCTATTTACATTCATTGTTAGTATCGAAATGTGAGGTACCCTTGCATTAATTGTACTCTTTGTTGCCTGAGTACTTTGTTTTTTTTTGTTTTTGCTTTTTAACTTGTATTTTTGTTTTATAGGTCCTGTGTGATTTATGCTTTAAAGAGGTTCTACTTTGATGTGTTTCCAGGATTTGCTTCAATATTTAGAGCTCTTTTTAGCAGTTCTTGTGGTGGTGGCTTGGTAATGGTGAATTCTCTCAGTATTTGTCTGAAAAAGACTGTAATTTCCTTCATATATGATGCCTACTTATATGATGCCTTGTTTCACTGGATACAAAATTCTTGGCTGACAATTGTTTTGTTTGTTTGAGAGGCCCCAGTCCCTTCCGCATTGTAGGGTTTCTGCTGAGAAATCTGCTGTTGATCTGATAGGATTTTCTTTATAGGTTACCTGGTGCTTTTGCCTCACAGCTCTTAAGAGTCTTTCCTTCATCTTAACTTTTGATAATCGATGGCAGTGTGCCTGGGTGATGATCCTTTTGTGATGAATTTCCCAGAGCTTCTTGTAGTTGGATGTCTAGGTCTCTAGCAAGGCCGGGAAAATTTTCCTTGATTATTCCCCCAAATATGTTTTCCAAGCTTCTTCCTCAGGAACACCGATTATTCTTCAGTTTGGTCATTTAACATAATCCCAGACTTCTTGGAGGCTTTGTTCATATTTTCTTATTCTTTTTCTCTTTGTTGGATTGGGTTAATTTGAAGATCTTGTTCTTGAGCTCGGAATTTCTTTCTTCTACTTATTCAATTCTATTGTTGAGACTTTCCAGAGCATTTCACATTTCTAAAAGTGTGTCTGAAGTTTTCTGACATTTTGACTGTTTTTTCTTAATGCTATCTATTTCCTTGAATGTTTCTGCCTTCACTTCTTATATTGTTCTTTTGGATTTGCTTGCATTGGGCTTTGCCTTTCTCTGGTGCCTCCCTGATTAGCTTAATAACTAACCTCCTGAATTCTTTTTCAGGTAAATCAGGGATTTCTTCTTGGTCCGGATCCGTTGCTGGTTAACTAGTGTGATTTTTTTGGGGGTGCTAAAGAGCCTTGTTTAGTCACATTAACAGGGTTGTTTTTCTGGTTCCTTCTCATTTGGGTAGGCTCCGTCAGAGGGAAGGTCTAGGGCTGAAGGCTGTTGTTCAGATTCTTTTGTCCCACTGGGTGTTCCCTTGATGTAGTACTCTCCCCGTTTTCCTATGGATGTGGCTTCCTATGAGCAGAACTGCTGTGATGTCTCTCCTGGGTTCTAGCTACCCAGTGAGTCTACCTGGCCCTGGGCTGGTACTGGAGGTTGTCTGCACAGAGTCCTGTGATGTGAACTGTCTATGGGTCTCTTAGCTGTGGATACTAGTGCCTGTTCTGGTGGAGGTGGCGGGGTGGGGGGTACAATGGAGTCCGTGAGGGTTCTTAGCTTTGGTGGTTTAATGCTCTCTTTTTGTGCTGGTTGACCTCCTGCTGGGAGGTGGTGCTTTCCAGAGAGCATCAACTGTAGTAATACGGAGAGGAACTGGTGGTGGGCGGGGCCCTAGACCTCCCAAGAGTATATGCCCTTTGTCTTCAGCTACCAGGCTGGGTAGGGAAGGACCATCATGTAGGGGCAGGGCTAGGCCTGTCTGAGCTCAGAATCTCCTTGGGTGGGTCTTGCTGTAGCTGCTGTGGGGGATGGGGGTGAGATTCCCAATACCTCCTCTTCTTATAAAGAAACCAGTCACATTGCATTAGGGCCCACCCTAATGACCCTATTTTAACTAAATTACCTTTAAAAGCCCTATTGCTAAATATAGTCACCTTTCGAGGTACCAGGGTTAGGGCTTCAGCATAAGAATTTGGGGAAAGTGGGAGGCACACTTCAGTCCGTAATTCTATATATCACTTATGACAAGTTTTAAATGACAAAGTGAATGTTGAAGTAAATTTTTATGAATTATCAATGGTTATTACAAACTTTTATAACATTCTAAAGAACTTCAGCTGTAAATTATATGGGAGAGAATGTAGAGGATTGTAGATGGATTAGCACTAATTTTTTTTTTCCCCTGAGAAACTCAAACTCTATGACCTATTGCACAATTGAGTCTATTTGTATATAACAAATAGTATTTTTCATAGGTATTAATAAAATATCAGTGTCAAGTCAAATATTTAAAAGAGTTGTTAACTGAAGCGGGATTAGAATTAAAGGCATTAGAATTAAGATTAGTGGGCAAAAGATACAAAAACTTTGCTCCCTGACATTCATAACTGTCTGTAGATGGAATAGCAGACCTGAAGATTGGCTATTTCTTTGTGACTGAAGTTCTGAATTTTTTGTGCTGTTATAGAGTAAATTTATGTATTGTTGAGTGTGGTTCTGGAAGGTGATGATTTTTCAGCTTGATTCTCTAAGTATACTGTGTGGGTTTTTGGCTTTAAAAAGGTTAAGAACTTCCCTTTACATAATGAAAACCCAACAAGTAAATATTATTTGTTAGTACTTTAAGATGTAGATTAATCATTTAAAAAGTCATTATGTTAAATATTCTGAGGACCATACTGTTATTTCTTTCCTTCTCCCTCTAGTGGGCAGAAAATATTCTTAAAATATAGCATGGAATAATTTATTGCTATTGGGTATACCATAATATACAGTCTCAGTCTCAGCTTTTTTGAATACTAAAAATGTTAACATTTCAGAATCATTAAAGCAAACGCTTTACTCCTTTCTAGGCATAATAGTGGATCCTTGAATGTTGAAGATGTCCTTACCAGCTTTGACAATACAGGAAATGTTTGTAAGTTATACATTCACTCTATAGAAATATATTTAGTGTTTTACAAAGTGAATTTATAGTTGATGTTTTCTTCTCACTAATATTTATTATACTCACTAAATGTATGCATATATGTATATATAATAGAAAGTTTGACTGTCTTTAGCTGCAAAATAAGCCTTGTATAAGGTACACCGACAAAATGGGATACTGCAGTTTCTAAACTTCGCAGGTGTGTGTGTGTGGGGGGGAGGTGGGGGAGGGAGAGAGAGAGGGAGATGGAGAGAGTAGGTCAGAAAGAACACTGGACACTGAAGTACTGTCCCTTTTATTTTTGTTTCCATTTTGACCTCAGTTAATTCAGTAGTGGGGCTGTTTCTTCCTTCTTTGCTTTGTTTCGGGTGCTTTCTTTGCCATTCCCTGCTTCTTTACTTTCACTGTAGAATAAACCCAGAACATATTTTTCTTGATGCTACTATACATTAATACCAGAGTGTTTTTGTTTGATGCAGTATTACAATATTACAGAATATATTGCCTTTTCATCAAAGCTTCTGATTAATTGGTGATAGATTTGTCCACTGAGAAAATCACTTAAATATTTCTTATAATTCTTGTAATTAATTTCATGTGATGAAAGACATCAGCCAAGAATACCTTTATGTCACTGAGTTAAACAGCATACCATCATAGGAGCTATGGACTTTTTATGTTTTTTGTATAGGACATTTCTCTTAAGATAGTGAATTGTCAATGAAATATGAGCATTTTAAATGTAAAAATAGTACTCATACTCTTTTTCTCAAAGAAAATTTCAGAACTGTTAACTTTTGGCTGAATTTAGGTAGTGTCTTTGGCTTAACAATGCAGTTTTATCAAATAAATAGATTTGCATAGAATTGTGTTCAGTAATACTCAGACAACACTTTTGTTCTTATGTCCACATTATGATAAGCTTTTGATTTTATAGAAAAATATTTGTGGTTCACTAAGGAATCTATAAATGTCCTTAAATTATCCTAAATACCTAAAATAATGTAGGTTTCTTTTTTATGGATAGTGACTGATGTGCCTTTTAGTTTCTTTCTTTTTTTTTAAATTTTCCAAACACCAACTTGAACCCGAATGCCTTTTAGTTTTTCCATGTTGGCATTTAGTGAATTCTCTCCCACTTAGGTGTATCTCATATTTTTATTAGGTCTAGGCAAGGACTGGGCAAAGCATACCAATGATGGTTGAGGATACATACTCTTTTAGTTCTGGGGTAATGTTAAATATCATTGAGTCAGGCTTAAACATATGTAATTTCAGAAAATGATTCTAGAATGTTAAATGTGGAATTTTTGATTCAGTAATGTAAAAGTCAAGTATTGTTCCCAGTTGGCTCCGTATGAAATAGGGCCACTAGCTGACAGCATTATGTAAAATAAAAATAATTTCCTAAAGGCATCAATTATTATTTTAGGCATGAATGACTGTCTTAGCCTTCTCTAACATTTTTTCCCATCAACTTGTTCCATACCCCGTGTTGTTGTTGCATGAACAAACGGAAATATTGCATATTCAGGGTGTTTTTTCACTGTTGTCTCTTGTTTGGTAGAAAGGTTTAAGACTTTGGAATGATACTCACCTGCATTTGACTTCTGGCTCTGAAATTCATCTTGAGCAATTTGTATCATCTCTATGAACCTCAACTGTTTTCATCTCTTAGGGCTGGCTGTGTTATAAAGAAAGTACGTACATACTGCATGGCTGAGAGTTGATATGCAATAAAAGTTATTAATTATTACTGGCGATGAGTACCTATATAACCTCTTTTGGTTTTTTCCTAATAAAGAAGATAATATTATTAGGATTATTCTGTCTTATACTATTTTAATTGAACTAACAGGGCAGAAAAATTAGATAAAATTAGCAAAATAGCTGTTTATTAAAATGCCTCATTATAAATGTTGCCTTAAAAACCTGGATATATTGCTGAGTGATAGAAGTGGTGACAAAAATAAGACCTCTTAAAATATGTTGTTTTGTGTACCTTTTATGTTTACTTTTTATTTTAACAGAAAAATCTATATAGATGTTTCATTTAATGATAAATTGGTAAAGTCCTGTTCCAATAAAGTAAATATTGATTATGACTTTTATATAATCTTGGACGTAAAGTAACCATGGACTGAAAAAGTGATTTTTCACTTGATGCCTCAAAAATTTGATTTTATTATGCCAATAGTGATATTGAGTTTGTGACTAGAAAACCCAGCAGAGGGCGCCACAATCATAATTCTTTGTCATAGCCCAATATAATTAGGATAAATAGCTCAAATAATAACCCTAAGCTTTTACCATGTAGACATATAAAGATGTGTCTAAACATTTCTATTTGATTCATTTATAATATATTTAATATATTCAGTAATTCAAAAATACAAAAAAATAGATTTTTCCTGGCCGATTTTTTAATTTTTAAAAATATCAGTTTAATTTTTCTACTTCTAGCTTTAAATAAAGAAGTACTTTTGATAGAGAGTGAAAGTTCCATACAAGAGTATCAGTTCATAAATCACCACCATGGTAGTATGTTAAAGGACAATTAGAATGAGGAAAAAAGTTTCTAATAGATGAGAGAACCAAGAGATGGAATTATCTATTTATTTTAAGAATTTGTTTCTAGGTTAATAATGCTTCCTAGTAATAGAAAAAACAGCTTAACTAAAACATTTTCTAGTCACAAAAACCTGATATGTGTAGATACAGTAAAAAAAGGTATGGTCATGGTTTAGTAGAACCATTAATTTCAATTGTAAGTTCATTTTGAATATCAGGGGATGATTATATTCATTGCAAATTTTCAGAGATGAAAGGATCAGTCTTACCTTCTGAATTGGTTTATGCTCTAAGTGAAAAGACGTGGAAAAATCTCTTTAATTTTGGAAAATAAACCTCTAGATAACTTATTTACTATTAGAAAAGATAATTTTTTTGTATTTACTTTTTTGTATAGAAGTTTTGTGGTTTTAAATGTATGAACTGCAAAGTGTTTTATATTTTTGAGGTAACTTTTCATTGCTTGAATTTCTTCGAATGTTGTGGGAAGAAATTAAGAGGAATCTCGTACAGAATGAATCACGTCTGCGTATTGATTTATTGCTGTGTGATATACGACCCAACCTTCTTTTTATATATTTATATTTACTATGGTGGAAAACAAACCATTTTGAAAGTGCTTACCTTTAACTAGGAATAGGTATGTATATTTCATTATTTGGTTTCTACTACTTGAGAACCTACTTTCTTTTGAGATATCAAAGCTTCTTGGTCAGGAGGTTGTGTCTACTATTGATTCATTGTGCCCAGAAAGACATGCTGACAAGCTACCTAGGGAAGAGTATAGGATGACATCTTTCACCTCAGATGAGGTACTGGCTGCTTCTGTGTCTCCTTTGATATGTCGCTCAGATACCTTGGGTAACAAGGGAGTGCTCTATAAGCATTGTAGCAGATTTCTTGCTTCTGCTTTTTCTGTGGGCAGGGACTCCTTTCTAGCTTGTCCTCTGACCTCTGGTCAAAGAAGCTGCACCATGCTGTCTCTTCCAAAATCATTTTCCTTTTCTCCAAAGTTATTTCGTTCCACTACTGAAAGGAATTTTTAAAAATGTAATTCTCAGTGCTTACTTGATCCAAATTTGGATACCATAGTATCTAATTTAACTATTTGTTGTTTATAACATCTCATCTTATGCTTGGGTCTGTAGTAGATTCATTGGAACATTTTAAGCACATCATCCTTTGTTGAGTAGTATGAACAGAAGTGTTAGTACTTCGTATAATTTATTATAAACTATGTACAATATAATGTATATAATCCTTTAAAGGATAGGAGGTCAGCAGTTAAATCATTTCAGTAATATCATTGTGAAGCAGGATTCCTGGCAAATGTTGCAGCTTAAGTCTGGGGGATGTATTGGTAAAACTTCTCTACTATTCTTTGAAAAAAATTTTTTTTCTTGGTTGAGCTCCATGACAGGACCCTGTGGTAGTTGGTGTCACATTATCTCCTGGAGGAATTTGTAGACCCTCTGCCATATATACTTGTACATGTGACAGTGGTGATTTTTGTTTTCCCTAGTGAATTCTAAGACTGACCAGGATTTTTTTTTTTTTTAATGGAGTTTCACTCTTGTCCCCCAGGCTAGAGTGCAATGGTGCAATCTTGGCTCACTGCAACCTCTGCCTCCCAGGTTCAAGTGATTCTCCTGCCTCAGCCTCCCGAGTAGCTGGGATTACAGGCGCCTGCTACTATGTCCAGCTAATTTTTGTCTTTTTAGTAGAGACGGAGTTTCACCATGTTGGCCAGGCTGGTCTCGAACTGCTGACCTCAGGTGATTTACCCGCCACAGCCTCCCAAAGTGCTGGGATTATAGGCAAGAGCCACTGTGCCTGACCTGACCAGGATTTTTAATGCACACAGCTATAGACTTTGCTTCCTAGTGGTCTGATAGCAGAATCTGTTTGTCTGTTTGTGATGTATCTAAAACTGATCTCTTTTGGGGTGGTAATCAGTTATTATTGAAAGCAAGACTCATTAAAATAAAAGTCAGGTGTGGAGGTATGTTCCTGTAGTCCCAGCTACTCAGAAGGCTAAGGCTGGATGATTGCTTGAGCCCAAGAATTTGAGGCAAGCCTGGGCAATATAGCAAGACTTTTCCTGTAAAAAAAAGACAATCAAATATTTATCTTCCTGGTTTTTCTAGAGGAAAAAAAATTATATGTTTTCACTTTTTACTTGTATTTAGGAAACCAAAGGTAATAGTTTCTTTGGAAATATGGTCTAAATTTTTAGTTTTTCTGTTTCATTGTTGTTATGTTATAAAGTTAGGGTTTGGAATGTTGGTGAAATTATCAAAGCTTCAAGAATGTCAGCTTGGATTTTAAAATGCTATTCTTATTCAAATAAAGATGTCTATATATGTAATGCATATGTATGTGTATATGTATATGTAGTTATATAATGCATATATGTAGCATGTGTGTATACATATGCATATATACATATATGTAGTATATGTGTATACATGTACATATGCAGATATATAATGCATCTATGTAGTGTATGTGTATACATATGCATTATATATACATGTATGCATTGTATATCTATATTTATATACAGATATATACATATACACAGTACAGTGGTTTGATTAAAAAATGAAAAAGTTGGGCTTTTATGGGTCATTGCTCTGTTTTTAATTTAGAGTGGTTATGGAAGGTACATGGGATATGAAGTTCAGGTTTTAGCTCTGCGGGTTATTAGCTGTGTAATTGTAGACGAGTCTTTGTACAAGTCTTAACTCCTTATGTAAAATTGAATAGGAAACAATAAGTACTTTATAGTGAGGTGAACATAATATTAGATAATGTGAAAGTACCAAGTAAACTGTAAATAGTATTTGTATTTTTTATGGTTAGTAATATCATCTGCCTCATTCTTGAATTTTTTCAGTACCTTTGTTATTCAAAATAATACAAGATAGAAGATATTTTTGGTATGTGCCATTCTGTTTTAATATCATACATTATTTTGTTATGTGAAAACAATGTAAAGCTACACAATTAAAATAGTGTGGCATTATTGCAGAAATACACATATAAATCAATATTTTTAGAATAAAGTGTTCACAAAGACCTAAATATATGTGACTTAACATATGATGAAGATACAATTTTAGTAAGAGAGGAAAGGATGGATTCTTTAATAAATAGTATTGGGACCATTGCCTAGGAATTTAGGAAACTAATAAAGCTGACTCCCTCCTATATACTATATGCCAAAATAAATTTAATATGGGTTAAGTATTTAATTAAAAACATAACACTCTTAGATATTTCAGATGAATAATTTTAATATATTGAAATCAAGAAGGTCCTTCTAAGTGCGAGTCAAACACCATGAATTTAAAGGTTAATAGATTGACTAATTTAAGATTTAAAGACCCTTTATTCAAAAAGCGCATCAAAAAAATTGAAATACAAATTACACACTGGCAATTATTATTTATGACATATATTCAGATGAAGATGTATTTTCTTTATAAAGAGCTCTTACAAATCCATAATAAAAAGACAATCTGAAAACCTGTAAGATAGAGAAAAACGTAGCCAAAAATTTAAGAAGAGGTATTTCACAAGAGAAATAGCAATGTTCTGTATGTACATCAAATGGTTATTTTATTAGGAATTGAAGGAATGATTTTTAAAAGTGAGATAATTTTTGCTTATCAGGTTGGCAAAGATGAAAGAAGTTAAGCAGTAATCAGTAAATTGTAGGGAACTGGGTATTCTCATACACTGTTGGTGGAGGGGGGTAGGTAAATTAATTCTACTTTTCCAGAGGCAGTCTGATTATATCTTTCATAATTTTAAATATCCATATCTTTCAACTAATGATTACCTTTCTAAAAAAAAAAAAAAGAAAGAAAGAAAGAAAGGAACCAGGATGGGAACTGTGGCTCACACCTGTAATCCCAGCACTTTGGGAAGCCAAGGTGGGCGGATCACAAGGTCAGGAGATCGAGACCATCCTGGCCAACATGGTGAAACCCTGTCTCTACTAAAAATACAAAAATTAGCTGGGCGTAGTGGCGTGAGGCTGTAGTCTCAGCTACTCAGGAGGCTGAGGCAGTAGAATCGCTTGAACCCAGGAGGCGAAGGTTGCAGTGAGCCGAGATTGCACCACTGCCCTTCAGCCCAGGCGACAGAGTGAGACTCCATCTCAAAAAAAAAAAAAAAAAGAAAAAGTACACAATATTTTGTTTTAAAATAATACTTTTCTTGAAGGAGCTCACAGCATGTTAGATGTTAATGTATTAGTCCCCCATTACACTTATGAGATAAGGAATCAGAGATCAAATCATTTTAACCCTTTCTTAGGTTGGGAAAGTACAAAGAGGTTAAAGTCAGTCAGTGGCAGAATATTGAGCTTTGGGAATAGAAAATTTATAAGTTGTGTTACAAAATAAATATTTAAGGTCATCAATGCATTATGTGGTTAGAACGCATGGGTAATGATCAGCAGCCCTGAGAGTATAGGGGACCTGAAAGCCAGTGGAGCACTGATGGTATGCAGCATGGCAGTGGATTCTTAGTCCCTCTTTAGCATCGTAATGTACATGTAGTCTTTGATTCTTAGTCTGTGTTAGAATTTTTGAAGGTTGGCTTCGGTTGCTAGATGGCAATTTCCCTAGCCATGTGTCTCCAACTTCTTAGCTCCACAGTTGTCAGGACGGTTTTTTCTTTTGGCTCAAAATCAGGTAAGCGTGCCCCTAATTCATAAACAGAGCCCTACACGTTTGTTATCAATTACCAGAGAAGGAAAAAGACACATTTGTTATCAATTACCAGAGAAGGAAAAAGACACATTTGTTATCAATTACCAAAGAAGGAAAAAGAAGTCTCTTTTTAATGTATTTTAAAAATTTCTATTTGAAATAAGAAACCACAGAATTGGAATGATTCTTTGACAGTAGAACTTGGTGCTATCATGGGAACTGACTGAAATAAACCCTATAATCCTTTGTAGATTCATATGCCTTAATCAGTGCAATAATATAGAGAGGTAGCTCATGTCTTTGTCATAAACCTGCTAGTTTCTCCCTCTTTTAAATATCTAAAGGGATGTTTCTAATTTAGGTACTTCCAAGTTTTAGCACAAGATATGCCAAGAAAGTCTTTTTATTTTTCCCCCGAGCAAATACTGAGTAGTTTTCCTTTGTCTGTCTTTTAAATAGCTACCATTACTTTTGCATCCTTTACAGTATTTGTCAGGAGCTTTGTAAGTACTGTCCCGTTTAATAATCTTAACGTCTTTACAAGGGGTGAGGAAACTGATGTCCAGAACAAGGTAATTTGCTTAAAGATTTAGTAGGTGGTGGCACAGGAATTTAACTATTCTACTTTATTTCTTAAAGGCTACATTTCTCCAAAACGGCGAGAAATGAATTTTAAAAGTTTGTGATGGGAATTGAAACAGAAAGTGGTAACTTGAAGGGCTAGAAAATAACTTTGGCAAATGGAATTCTGTGCAGCAGATTGTGTCTCAGAGGAGACTGATTAAAGGTCAAGAAAAATGGGCTCTCCAGGGTTTCTGCAAGGTAGTTGACAATCTAATGGAATGGGGATTTGGGGAGTGTGGATAAGGGACAAAGAATGCGTTTTCTTTTAATAGTCTTAAACCAAATGCGGGCTTTGTTTTACTTCAGTTTCTTTCTTTTTTCTTTTCTTTTCTTTTTTTTTTTTTTTGAGAAGTGCTGATTTTTGTAACGATAATACAATAGTAATAACAAGTTATGTTTTAACATAGCCCCTTCTCTAAGGTACTTCTCAAGCTTATGGCTATATATTTTAAAAGTGCTTACATAAACGTAAATCACCCAAAGAGCTCAACTAAAAGGATGTTCTTGATTTTTAACAAAGTTGTTTGGATTGTGGATAGCCTTTCCACAGAGAATTGTTATATTTGACATTTATATGAACTGTGTATATTGCACTGCTCTTGTTAATGCTTGATAAGAACAAAATATTTGATGATTGAATGAATTTAGTGTTTGTGTGTATATACTCCATGTTAAAAAAAATTTTCTCTTCTCTGAACTTTTACTCTCCACTCAGCCCTGAGTCTGAATATTTTCATTATTTTCTGGGAGGTGGGAACAGTTTGCAGGAAGGAATAAGGAAAAGTTTCCAATCATTCTGTGTGTATGAGATTGAAAAGGCGCATGTTTTGTGTAATTATAGATACGTCACATGCTCACAATCTGCTTGTCCTGGTATACTGGATCAGGTGTAGTCTTTGCTGCACATGGTAAATTCATAGTTCGTCTTAAGCCTTTGCCCTTCCAGGGTTTTGAAGATCAGACTTCTGTATCACTTAATTTCTGATTGATTTTCTACAAAAAAGTATTGTTTTTAATTGTGTGATAGTCAAACACAGACAAATAATATTTTGGTTAATCCTGGACTTTGTTTTTATTTTAATACTTGGTGACTTAATCAGAATTTAGTGGGGATTGACTGCACTGCCATTAGATACAAGTAAGAAATGATATGTGTGGGATGAAAACCACAAGTTCTCCTCTGCTTGTGCCTATCCTCTGAATTTCTTTAAAAGAGAAATTAATGTAACAATAAATTTGTTGGGGGAGGGGGCATTGATTCTTATTGCCCTCTTTGATCTTTCTCTTATTTCCCACAGATTTGTTACCATTTCCCTTTTTTCCCTCTCTCATCTCCTGCCATCTCACATTGCTACTGGTTCTACACCTCTTAAATACAAAATAATCAAGAAAAAAAAAAAGCTAAGAAAAAATTCTAACTCTTGTATCCATCATAAGAAAACTCTTGTCTTCCATTTTATCCCCTTTCCTTCTGATTTCGTCATGATAGAATTGAGGAAGACGGCTGTCAATGTAGGATTTTTCTTGCAGGAGGTGAGCCTGGGGTAGGTAGACTGGAAGAAGAAGAGACAGAAACAGACCAGGTTCTTTTAGTTAGGGTGACTGTACAGCCTCGTTTGCCTCCAGTGGTCGCAGTTGTTCTTATCATAATTATTAACAATGCTTACTTTCACTCCCAAAAGTGCTCTGATTTGGATGATAAATTATATGTGTATGTTTAGAAGACAAGGAAAGAGAAAGATTGGAAGCTTAATTATTTATAGTCATTTATAACTCTTTATCCCAGCATAGTACCTTTCACAAAGCCTGACCCAAGTGGTATTCAGTAAGTATGCATTGATTCATTTGAATCCCAAGTCATACCCAAACAAATCTGTTCATTCTACACAAGTGTATTTATATTTGATATGTTAATATGTTCTATATAATGGAGAGGTAAATCTAAGTTTCAATTTTAGAGGACATATACCACAAGCCCTATAAACTAATAGAAACTGAGTTCAGAACACATACATTTTTTATTTAGGTAATACAATAATTTTTAAAAAATTACAACCAGGATTTAAAAATCAGAAATATTCACATAAAAATGTCGATTTTTCAGTTTCTTTTAGAGAAAAAAAAAATGATCTAATGGCCCGAGTCTGAGCTCACATGGTAATTATTATATGGAATGAGCAGGGTCTTTATTTTGCCTTGGCACTCACCACTCTACCCATGGACATTCAGATTTGCAATCCCTGATGCATATTGTATATTTGGAAGCATTTAAGATGTTAAACTTTGTATATTTAGTTATCTACTTAAGATGAGCCAATTCTCATTAGTCATGTTGTTTATCAAAGCTATTTAAATGAAATACTTAAAAATTCTTTTGGTGATAAGCCTTTTTAAAAAAATTCAACAAGTTAATCATTAATCTTTGGGAAATATTTTTTCCCATACCATCCATGAATGGCAACAGCTATTAACAAATATTTATATTATTTTATTGAATAAAAAATAAGCTAACACTATTTTAAATATTTTTCAACAGCCAGTATCTTCGAGAAAGCGTATTTTTGAAACATACTTATTTGAGTTAAAATTGTGAAATGCATTTAAAAATTGAAATTGAAAGTAGAACTACTGGAGAAGTTTTAAATATTTGTGAGTACATGTATGTGTGTATGTGCATGTATACTTATGTGTGTGTATATATATATATATATATATATATATATATGTATGTACATAAAATACATAGTTAACTTGTTCTTCATTTGGTTCTTGTTTATTTATAGATTGGAACAGAAAGAGCAATCTCCACAAGTGTTTATTAAGTTCCTATTATGTGCTGTCCTGCATTTTCAATTCTCAAATGATTTATCAACTTTGAAGTACAAAGTAGTAAAACATTCTTTCTACACATGTTGAAGAAACTACTGCAAGTTAAATTTGGATAAATATCTCAGTATCTGATGCATCCAGGTACTTGGATGATTTCTGTGAACTATATCTGACTTCTCACCAGCAAACATGTTTTAAAAATAATACAAAGACGGGGCACAGTGGCTCACGCCTGTAATCTCAGCACTTTGGGAGGTGAGGCGGGTGGATCACCTGAGGTCAGGAGTTTGAGACCAGCCTGGCCAACATGGTGAAACTCCATCTCTACTAAAAACAGAAAAATTAGCCAGGCATGGTGGCGGACGCCTGTAGTCTTAGCTATTCAAGAGGCTGAGGCAGGTGAATCTATTGAACCCGGGAGGCGGAGGTTGCAGTGAGCTGAGATTGTGTCACTGCACTCCAGACTGGGTGACAGAGACTCTGTCTCAAAAAAAAAAATAAAATAAAATTTAAAATAGCTACATTGCTTCACCAATGAAGAATTTACCCTGCTAACAATTTTTAGAATTTTGGCAAAAAAATGGCTTGAATAACTACATTAAATATGAATTTAATGGCTTGAACATATTGTCTCAGGACATGATTTTATTTGTACATTTTTAAGGTTTAATATATTTTCAGTTAAAATTATCTATATGTAGATCAATTTCTTGCTTTCGGAGTCTTTTCTGAAGCCTTCTGATGTCTTCCAGTTTGACCTCTACACCAGCAACAAGCATCTTGACATCTTCCCTCACTATCATCTTGAGGATTCATTTCATTTCTTTTGTTTTGTATCTCGTTCTAAATTCCATGGCTTCCTTTTTGTTTGGTCTGTTGTTTTGGAGGATTATAAACTCCAGTAGCTTCCTGAGAAAGTAAGGGGAAGTAATTTTTTGAGAACTTGTGATACTTTGGTTGGATATAAAATGATAGAATTGGCCGGGCGCGGTGGCTCACGCCTATAGTCCCAGGACTTTGGGAGGCCAAGGCGGGTGGATCACCTGAGGTTGGGCGTTCGAGACCAGCCTGGCCAACATGGTGAAACCCCGTCTCTACTAAAGATACAAAAAAATTAGCCAGGCCTGGTGGCAGGTGCCTGTAATCATAGCTACTCGGGAGGCTGAGGCAGAAGAATTGCTTGAACCCGGGAGGCAGAGCTTGCAGTGAGCCAATATCGCACCATTGCACCCCAGCTTGGGTGACACAGCAAGACTCTGTCTAAAAAAAAAAAAAAAAAAAAAGATAGAATTTAAAACAATTTCCCCTTCAAAGTTTTACAGTAATGTGTCATAGCTTCTAGAGTTGCATTTGAGTAGTCCAATGCTATTCTAACTTATCATTTTTATGAAACTTGTTAATTCTCTGTTGATTGAATCTTCTGTTATTCCCATTATTCCAATATTTTATGATAAAATATCTTTGTGTGGCTGTATTTTCAAACATTGTGTTGGACATTTCTTGGGCACTTTTCAGTTTAGAAAGTCATATTTTTCAGTCTGGAAAATTTTTTTGAATTACTCTTTTAATGACTTTCTTCCATCTGTTTTCTCTGTTTCTTTCAGAAACTTCCATTTTTTGAATGTTGTGCATCCTGGACAGTTCTCTAATTATCTTTTCATCTTTTGTTTTGCTGTTTTTTTTTTTTTTTTTTTACTTTTTCTTTACTTTTAACCTTTCTGTTGAGTTTTTTATTTCTATTTTTACGCTTTTTAATGTCCAAAAGTTCTTTTTCTCTTTTCTTAGCTTTTTCCCCCATAGCATTCTTTTCATATTTCTTAATTGCCTTTCTTGCTTTTTTTGAAGATATTACTGAAAGTTTTTTTTTTTTTTCTGTCTTTATAGTCTTTGTTTCCTTTAAATCGCTTTTTCTGTTTCTTTTCTTTGGTCTCTGTCTGTTACAGTAGAGGCTTTCATTACATTTCTGATGATCCTTAAGAGTTGTGTACTACAAAACTGATTGGAAGGGACACTGATATTACAGTTTCCTCTGTGGGATGATCTGGTTGGGTTGATTCTTAGGGAACCCTGGCTGTCCATATGGTGTTTCCCTTGAGCTGGCCAGTTTATCAGAGAAAACACTTTTGAGTTTGCTGCTTTGGGCAGTATGTATACCTTAGCAGCTAGCATTTTGGAAGATGGATAAGAAGAGTCCTCAGTTACTCAACCCCCTGATTCAGTTACTCCACCCCCAATTAAAAAGTATTTTACCTTCCTTACCACCACCCTCCTTGAGCTGCACGAATGCCTTCCAGTCTGGAGAGACTAGACCCGAAGACATCTGACAGGATGGAGCAAGGGTAGTTGCACAAATCTTTGGAATAAGAGATGAGATTTCAAGATCTAATTGTTTTGTAAGTAGATTTTCAACAAATTCTTCTGTGTTTAGTCCATCCTTGTACTCTACTCGTAGACATGTAACTCCGGTTGCTTCTTAGCTTCTCACTACTGCTGATTTAAGATTCAGCTTTTTGTGCCTTTATGAACCTTCATTTTGTTTCTAAATGTACTTACTTTTATTTTAGGTGGGGTGTCAGGAAGAGAGGGAAGCTAATAGGTAGATTCACTCTAACATCTTTAGCTGCCATCTTTAACGCATACACACATATATGCACTCATATACATTAATTTCACATAAATGCTATAATCACTTAAAAATAAGGTAATAAAATTTTTAATACTTCATTTAATTAGACTACATATGGTTCTTGTCAAATCTACACTAGAACAGCATTTCCAGTTTACATGTATTGAGATAAATCACCAAGGCTTTGCATAAATTTTAGAAATTCTTTCTTCCCTAATTTCTGAATTCTTCAGCCTTCAAGATTCAACTCAGATGTCACCTATAAAGCTTTTCCTGACTCTCCTAAGCTATAGTTTATTGGTCCTTTCTATGTTTACCTATAGACTTTTTAATTTAATATACCATTAAAACATATCACATTGTGTTATAACTATGTCTAAATCACTTACTAGACTGTAAGCTTCCAGAAGGCAGGAGTGATGTTTTGTTTGTACAGTGCCTGGCATATAATGAATACCCAATATATGCTTTGTGGATTAGTGAACTTATTATTTAAAAAAGCAAACCACACTTTAAGTAAATAAATTAGGATATGATTATTTTAGAAAATATTCACTATACAAAATAATTTACAATGCATTTAAAATTTCATTACATGGCTTGTTTTCCCCTCCAGGAACATGTTCATATTAGTATCATTTTTGCATATGTGTGTACATATGTATGCATTTTCCATTGTTCTTCTTTAGTAGGGGTGTTACTCGTCTTTTAAAATACATACGTGTTATTTTGTTACATATTGGCGATATTTTCCCCTCCAGATATCTTTTGCTAGGAGAGCACTAAGTTGCTATTCATCTAGTTTTTTGATCAGTGCAATATATTTTAAGCAACTAGTTCAAAAATACATTCAAATAGCATGCCCTATTCCTCATGAATTGCTATTTCTTTGCTTAAATTTCCCACTCAGACCACCAGCAATCCCTTAAGTACTTTTCCTACCAGCTAATGCTAGCTTTTAAAAATCTACTTAATGTTTCTCTTTTCTTTCTCTTTGTTGCCTCTGTCACTTAATATACCTGTGTGCCTGTCTCGATATTGTTCCTTCTCAAGGTCTTTTTATGCTTTTAGGATGATCTTTCCTAGTTTCTTTTTCTACTGTCTTAGATGCTTTGATTCTGCTGTTTCTCCATTGCAGAGAGCTTAGTGGAAGGAGGAAGTGAATATTAAGAGTGTCTTTTTAAAAAAAGATGTTATGTATAATATTAAAGAGAATATAAATGCTGGTGGTTACTATATAACTAGTGCTCCAAAAAGGATTTTGATAAACTTTTAGAGTCTTTCATGGAGGCAAAAATACGAAAATGCGTTGTGTTTAAATTTCTTAGACAAGGGGAAAAGGGAGCATTGAAATTGGGCAATTGTAAAAAATGAATGATAGATACATGGGAGTTCATTATTTTCTATCTCTATGTTTTTGTGTATATTAAAATCTATCTAAATACAAGGTTTAAAAGAGGTTAAGTATCATTTTTCATTTCTTTTGACCCAATAATCCCACTTTTGGGTGTCAGTCCTCTAGCTCATAAAGACAGATGAGCAAGGATGTTAAATATAGCACTATTTGGACTGGAAAGGAACATAACTTGAAAACAGTCTGACAGCTGTACTTCCATTACTAATGGAATTGTTGGATAAATTATAGTGTGTCCATACAATATTATATAGCAATCAAAAAGAATGGATTGAGTTATATGCTATATTCTGGAGGGATGTCCAAGATGTATTTTTAGGTGTTGAGTAATGCATAAAATGTAATTTCATTTTAATAAAAAGAAGCTATGAATATTGCAAAAAGCTGTGAAGGCATATATACCAATTTATCAAAGTTGCTTATTTTAGGAAATCGGAACTTGAAGGAATGGGGTAGAAGAAAAATTAACTTTATTAATCTTTGTACTTAATTTGTTTCAAGTATGTGTTACTTTTGGGGAAAATGTAATGAAGATTTGAAAAAAATTTAAAAATAAAATATTTAAAAAATGAATGTCAATTCATCCAAGATAATAATAACTCATTTTTAAAGCTGTAAAGAGACACAGAAAGTGATATGCATAAGAAACTAAATGATGAATTAGATCATAATTTGCCTTTGGAAAGAAACATAAATGGATTGATAGCTCATGCCTATGAAATGTATATTCAACTCTGATTCTATTCCCAAACTTCTAACAGAAATTGCTGGGTAATAATTAGAAAGGAGACTTTGGCCTTTTATATATTAATTCAGTATTCTCCTAAAATCTGTGCCTAAACTTTAAGCCTTTTTGTTATGGTAACTGAACCAATCAATTTCATAGTTAAAGATGTCCCATTTTCAACAGACCATATTTAACTTGGAACCAAGGGTATCTAGTTATATCAGTTAGGGTTCTTTGGTTGTGAGCAACAGAAACTGAGTCTAGCCAACTTAGACAAAAAGAAATGTATTGGAAAGATACTAAGCAGGTAATAGAATTCATGTTTCACCTGACAGTTGGGCATTTCTTTTTGTGTTTTAGTATGCCTCTAATTATATTCTCTGCTTTCAATTATAGCATTGCTCCAAAAGTTCCTAACCAAGCGCCTTTGTCATTTTGCCTTAAGTCTTTTTTTTTTAATTACCATTTTTTAAAAGGGGAATTTATATAACATCTGTTGTTCAAATTGTGCCCTAGTAAATGTTGAGTTTGGAGTTATAATAAGTTTGATTTATTATAAGAGATATTCCTATTCAGATACTTACAGATAGTTTCAACCTACATATTTTATTTTAGAATTGTCACCCTTGAGTTTCTCTTTAATACCACCCCAGTGTCTTTGTGTGTGTGTGTGTTTAGCACATTTGTTTTGTTTATCTTTTTTGTTGTTGTTGTTTTATTGGTAAGTTTTCTGGGGAGATTAATTGTAAAATGTTTATTAACATTAAATTATTATTATTTTTGAGACAACGTCTCACTCTGTTGCCCAGGCTGGAATGCAGTGGCACCATCATGGCCTACTGCATCCGCAACTTCCTGGACCCAGGTGATCCTCCCACCTCAGCCTCCCAAGTAGCTGGGACTATGGAAGCGCACTACCAGGCCCTGCTTGTTTTTTGTATGGTTTTGTAGGAACGAGGTTTCTCCATGTTGCCCAGCCAGGCTGGTCTAGAACTCCTGGGCTCAAGCAATCCGCCCACCACACCACATCTTCCCAAAGTGCTGGGATTACAGGCGTGAGCCATTGCGCCCAGCCAAATTATTTTTTTATATCTATGCTATTCTTTATAATTTCTGTCTACTTAACTGGAACAGTCTCTTGTGCTTTTTAATTGGATTCCAGACATCGTGTGTAAAAGGACAGCAGGGACTAAGGTAATAAGATTCATGCCCAAAAGTGGTCATGCCTCTTCTGTTAGGTCATTAGTGTAGGAGATTAAGTCAATTTAGGCAGTAGTGAAACTGAGTTTGGTTTTGTTGTTGCTGTAGTTATCTGCAGTTGTTCTGGTGGGCTATCATTATCTTGTGCTTAGTTTAGAGCCTGGGGTCTTAGAGAGTTTTTTTCAATAATTTTGCTCCCTTCACAGCTTTCAGCAGACTTTGCACCCCTGTATGACAGATCTCTGTGCTCCTGAGCCTCTCTAGAAGTAGACTGTTAAGTTGGTTCAAGGCTTGTGGTAGGGCCTGGAGGGCTCATTCTTGGCCATACCCTGTGCACATGAGTCTCAGGGGTTAGACGTTTTCAATGTTTGTGCTTCTCCCCAGACGGCAATACACTTTTGCTTTGTATTAGTGCAGGATCCTTGGCATGAGTGGGTTTTCTCCCCTTTCACAGCAGCAGGTGTCTTTTGCCTAGTGTCAGGGCAAGGTAAGAATGAGGTGGAGATTGTCTTGGCCAAGTTAACCTTATGAACCTCTGCAGTAAAATGGAAATGATACTACTATCTGATGTAGCAGTGAAACATTTAGTTTACTTTATTTGGTACTATACAGATGTTTGTTAATTAGGTAATATTTAATGCAGAAGATATGGGTTGAGCCATGGCTAAAAGGATTAGGACTTAGATGGGCAGACTGAAGGCAAGAGGGCATCTTGGGTAGGTTAAGATAAAATAATGATAGGCAGCTGCAATTTGATGTGAAAGTATTTTTTCTTAAATCAGTTATTCTATACCTCAAGATGTCATTCATTCATTCAGTTAGTCAGTCATTGTCTCTTGCTGCACTTTACTAAAAGTTGGGGCTTCAGAAGCATATGGCTCAACTGTAATAGTAAGTTGTACTAATAGATTTCCCAGTATACTGGGAATGATCAGGGAAACTTAATTGAGGCCTGGGTTGGTTTAGAGGCAGAAGACAACAGTAGAGCATGTCTTTTTTTTTTTTTTTTTTTGAGATGGAGTCTCACTCTGTCCCCAGGCTGGAGTGCAGTGACGTGATCTCGGCTCACTGCAACCTCCACCTCCCAGGTTCAAGCGATTTTCCTGCCTCAGCCTCCCGAGTAGCTGGGACTACAGGTGCACACCACCACGTCCAGCTAATTTTTGTATTTTTAATAAAGATGGGGTTTCACCATATTGGCTAGGCTGGTCTCGATCTACTAACCTTGTGATCCACCCACCTCGGCCTCCCAAAGTTCTGGGATTACAGGCGTGAGCCACCGCGCCTGGCCGTCTTTTACTCTTTATAGATTGCTATAAAGAGTTACTTGTAAGTAAAGTAAAGATAATGACAATAACAGTAAAATGATAATAGTAGCTCTAGTTTATAGAAAGGTTTCTTGTTTTTTATTGTTTGTTTTTGTCTAGGCATTGACCTCTTTTATTAAAGCCCTGCAATACATAAATTATTATTTCCTATTTATTTCTTTACATCTTCAGATGAAGAAACTGTATCTCAGAAGAGTTAAGTGAGTTGCTCAAGGCCACTCAGCTAGTTTAAATTAGAGCATGACTTTGAATAAGGTTAGTATAACTTCAAAGTCTGAACTCATTTTGTTTTATTACTCTGCCTCCCAAGACTCAGATATCTAGTAAGGAAAGCTAGTATTCAGAAACATCCAATCAAGAAGCTCCTATGTTAAATTTAATTAATTAATTAATTTTTTTGAGACAGGGTCTTGCTCTGTCACCCAGGCCAGAGTATAGTGGCATGATCATGGCTCACTGCAGCCTCAACTTTCTGGGCCCAAGCAATTCTCCCACCCCAGCCTCCTGGGTAGCTGGGACTACAGGTGCACACCACCACACCTGGCTAATATTTGTATTTTTTATAGAGACAGTGTTTTGCCACGTTGCCCAGGCTGGTCTTGAACTCCTGAGCTCAAGCGATTTGCCTGCCTCGGCCTCCCAAAGAGTCAGGATTACAGGCATGAGCCACCGCACCCAGCCTGCTTCTATATTTTTAATTTTTAGTTGTTATTTCAGCCGATATATATATATATATATATATATATATATATATATATATATATATATATATATATATATATATATATATATATATATATATATATATATATATATATATATGTATATTGCTACATAAAGACAACTAGCCAAAATTCAACGTAGTATCCAGCCAGTGCTTTGTTATGAATCCGGCATTCTTGCAGGTATGTATTATCTTAATAGTTAGTTGACATTTGGACTCCTAGAGATAATCATGACTTACTGGTGATTTCTACCGTGACATTTGTTATGTTCTTCAGACTCAGAAACATTTACACTTTCATATCATGTGGGGTTGTATGATTTACAAATTAGGTATTGGCTGGTTTTTTATCTCCTCTTGAAATTTCACATGAATCTTGGTTTGATTCTAAAAGTAGATGTTATTGCGTTATCACAAATAAGTAAATTTGGAATTTTGTCAAGTTTTTATATACTTCTTTGGCCTCAAAGCATATCTTAAAGCCATTTTATAGTAAGACTAGCAACTCTTACAGTGGCAGATTTGGATGGCTAAATATTAAAAAACATAGAAGACTTGACATTGTTGTAAAAATGTGAGATCATACATTATGTCTTAAGATGGTAATAGAAAACATTTTATCTTTAATTGTGGAATACTCTGTAATTTATAGATATTTTAATAAAATAATTCATATGGAAAATCACTGTTTTTTTAATTGTCAAAATGCAGAGAAGCAATATGATGGAGATGTATGTAAGGACTGTGTCGTTTGTTCATTCAGTAATTCAGTTAACCAATATTTACCATGCTAGACAATCTGTTAGGTCCTGGGGTATAAAGAGAAATAATATCTGGTCCTTGTTCTCAAATGGTTTAGAGTTTAATGAAATAGACAAATAATTTGATGAACTATAATATGTTTTAATAAAAGTAGGAAATAACTGCTGTGGAAGTATAGAGAAGAGCTGAGAGCTGTGTATAGTTTTTAGTATGTTTTCTTTATGTAGCATGGTTTTTATATATCTGTAGAAAAGTATGAAACTGGTAGGGGGTATTTTTCAGCAGTTTCTTACCATGTACTACCAAAGAAGCAGAATGTGAGAGACCAGTAATCCAGTAGTAATACGTGTATCCTGACAAACTTAAGTAATTAGTCAGGTATCAGTATATATATATATATATTTTTTTTTTTTTTTTTTTTTTTTTTTGAGACGGAGTCTTGCTCTGTCGCCCACGCTGGAGTGCAGTGGCGCGATCTTGGCTCACTGCAGGCTCTGCCCCCAGGGGTTCACCCCCTTCTCCTGCCTCAGCCTCCCGAGTAGCTGGGACTACAGGTGCCCGCCACCTCGCCCAGCTAATTTTTTTTGTATTTTTAGTAAAGATGGGGTTTCACCTTGTTAGCCAGGAAGTATATTTTACAAGACTCTTTTTGTGATTTATCAGCATACTTTCATGCCAATGTAAAATGTGGGAGATCTTAAAATTGAGAGGTACAATCAACCCTGAAATTCCAAATCTATTGAAAGCCCAACATAGACTCTGATGACTGTCATTTCACCTAAAGGGAACATATTCTAATTAATTCAAAGCAATATGTCAGTTGCCTGTTCTTTAATATGCTAAAAGACGGATATAGTAATTTGGAGAAATAACTTCATTAACAAGTGAAGGATTGCTGAAGCAAAGAGTAATTGTCTGATACTAATGGGATAGCAATATACCCAGAGATTAAAGAGTTTTAAGAGGTTAAAAACAAACAAATTCTGTTTAAGGATTGGTGAATTTTAGCTCCCCACCCCCCATCTAAAAATGAAGCAATTACTTTTTAAAATGAAATGTATCATTATGTATAAAATTAATTTTTAAAAGTAATTGATAGTTCTAAAGTAATAAATAACTTTTGGTTAAGATGTTCCTATTGGGATTATATACCTTAATAAAGGAAATGTAATCTTTTGAATACCCATCTTGAGTGTTATCAGAAATGGCCTTTACTGTCATACCCATTAGTTCCTACTTGTAGAATTTCTAAAAGTTGAAAATTTGATTTAGTTTTTTAAAATACTTCTCTTGTTTGAACAAATGTAATTTGCGGTCTTTATAGACAAAACCTTGTACATTATATTCCTGGGCATCCAGATTTGTTAGGGTAGGTATTTTTGTGAGTAATATTCTGGCTAGCTGAGCATTCATTCGTTTACTCATTACATATTTGAGTGACTATTGCGTGGCAAGTACTAGGCTAAGCACTGGGGATACAAAGGTGAAAAAAAGACATTGTCTTATAGAAAAGTGACATTTGGTTTATAAAGTTTCTGAAGATTTAGACTCCAAGGAAATGTATACTTTATACTCAATTGCATGTATTAGAAAATTTGACCTTGGTCATATGTTATCTCTAGATTTTAGCTCCCTCATTTATGAAGTGAATGCATCTGGATTAGGTAACCTACAGATTCTCAGAGAGATTTTAATAGTCTGTCGGTGCCTCATGATTCTGAATAAGGGTTAAAATTTAGAAAAAAATCCTGAGTACCAGACTTTTTTTCATATTTTATTCATTAGTATATTGAATATGCAAATAAATACTGCCTTGGACAATGTAACATTATTGTCTTTCTCTTATGTATTGTATCCTTTCCCCAAGTTTTGTCTCAAGTATTTTTGTAAAATTCCATTCATCAAACTATTTTTTAAATGGTTTCCACCAGTTGCCTTAGTTTTTTTAAAGTCATCATTCAAGGTAGTCTTTTTAATTTTTTTTAAATTGGCATCCTGGGGGCTTCAATTTCAGCTAAATCTTTAACCTCTCTTTCATTGTTGATTCATTGCCCAAAGTATCATTAACATTATTAAGAAACTTTGGCTTTGGATACATAACCAATTAATATGTAACATGAACATTCTCTTCAATTTTTTTTTTTTTTTTTTTTTTTTTTTTTTTAGCAGACAGTGTAGATTTGCACTGAATCCTCCGTAATTCTTCAGCCAGGACTCTTCTAGGATAAAGACATTATCAGAGAAAACACAGCATATAAAAGTAACCACAAGGAGATGGAACTGCTTGTCACGCGCATTACGTTTCAATGTATTGACTCCAATAGCTAGTGATAACCCACAAAGAGTCTGTCCATTTATTCTGTACACCCCCTGCGATGCCTGTTCTACTCCCGTACATACAATGGGGGTTCAAACCAAAATAATGGCTAGCATATCTTTGACACAAATTGTTTTTGGGCCATTATAATGTTTGTTTAAGTTTTTTTTGTTTGTTTGTTTTTGTTTTTGAGACAGAGTCTGGCTCTGTCGCCTAGGCTGAAGTACAATGGCACAATCTTGGCTCACTGCAACCTCTGCCTCCCAGGTTCAAGCAATTCTCCTGCCTCGGCTTCCCGAGTGGCTGGGATTACAGGTGCCTGCCACCACGCCCAGCTAATTTTTTGTATTTTTAGTAGAGACAGCTTTTGCCATATTGGCCAGGCTGGTCTTAAATTCCTGACCTCAGGTGATCCACCCATCTTGGCCTCCCAAAGTGCTGTGTTTACAGGCGTGAGCCACTGGGCCCAGCCAGGTGAGTCTTTTGACTCAATACATTTCATTGAATTACTTACAAGCCTTCTAAAACTATTTTGACACTGAATAAGTAAATAAGCAGTAACTTAAGCAATAGGAAACATCCTCAAAATATCCTAAAAATTCAATTTGGAATGTAGTTTAAAAATAAAGAGGCTGGGCACGGTGGCTCACGCCTGTAATCCCAGCACTTTGGGAGGCGGAGGTGGGCAGATTACCTGAGGTCAGGAGTTTGAGACCAGCTTGACCAACATGGTGAAACCCCGTCTCCACTAAAAATACAAAAATTAGCCAGGTGTGGTGGCGTGCGCCTGTAAACCCAGCTATTAGGGGGGCGGAGGCAGGAGAATGGCTTGAACCCGGGAAGCAGAGGTTGCAGGGAGCTGAGATTGTGCCACCACACTCCAGCCTGAGCAACAGAGCAGGACTCCATCTCAAAAAAAATAAAATAAAATAAATTAAATAAATAAATAAATAAATAATAAACTAATGGTGTTATCTATTCTGTACAGTTCTCTGGGGGCTGATTACAAGTGCTGAATGGCAGTATTAATCTCTGTTGTTTTTCACTTGAGTGATCCTATACATTAAAGTCACAGTGTACATTGTTTCTCTGCTTGATTTCTCCTCATCTCAAAATGTAGGGTCAAATGAAAGAGGCAGGTAGATATTTAGAGAAGAGCATTTTAATCTAAATATAACCATCACGTACTATTAGTAAAGAAATTAAGAGGCCAGGCATGGTGGCTCATGCCTGTAATCCCAGCACTTTGGGAGGCCAAGGCGGGTGGATCATGAGGTCAGGAGTTCAAGACCAGCCTGGACAACGTAGTGAAACCCCGTGTCTACTAAAAATACAAAAATTAGCCGGGCAGGGTGGCATGCGCCTATAATCCTAGCTTCTTGGGAGGCTGAGGCAGGAGAATCGGTTGAACTGGGGCGGTAGAGGTCACAGTGAGCCAAGATTGCGCCACTGCACTTAAGTCAGGGTGACAGAGTGAGACTCCGTCTCAAAAAAAAAAAAAAGAAAAGAAAAAGAAATTTAAGAAATGGATCCATGGGAAATATATACATTTGTTGAATTGAAAATTATTTTTCAACACTTGGCTTATATCTACTGTGTTGTTCACTTAAAAAGCAGGCAAAATGAAGATGATGCTTTAAAAGGAGTTATAGTTAGAAATTTGGAACTACCATACTGTTCCAGAAGACTTGATTTAATATCTGGTCATGAGTTGCACAATTAATAAATTTTAGACCTCATTCAATATATTTTCATGCCTGATTTATCCTTGTTTGAGAACTCAATACAAGATTCATAGTAATATTTTAGCTTTCTAGACAGGATATTTAGTAGCCAGGCTCAGGGTGGCATTGTATTGGTATGCCAGTTGGTAGGCCTTTTGACTATACATTGGCAGGATAACTTGAATGATACCCTCTCCCAAACCTGTCCCACATCCTCATATCTCTGGCAACTCTATTGTAGAGTAGTTAGCCAGAGGTGATTGCTTGTAGGGGAATATAATGGTTATTTTCTGGTTGTTCCAAAGGAAAGAAAATATTATCTCCATGTATTATTTATTGCTATATAGCACATTGCCCCAAATTTAGCAGCTTAAAACAAATATTTATTATCTAACAAAGTTCCTGAAGATCAGGAATTTGGGTATGAATGGTTCCTATGGTTCTGGCCCAGGGTGTCTTTATCAGGTTGCAGTTAAGCTGTCAGCTGAGGTTGCCGTTATCTCAGTGCTTGACTGGGACTGGAAAATCTTTCCGGGGTCACTCACATGGTTGTTGGCAGGCCTCAGTTTCTTGCTAACTGTTGATTAGATGCTTCAGTTTTTCACCCTGTGGGCCTTCCATGAGGTTCACAATATGGCAGCTTCCACTAGAGTGTAAGATCAGAGAGACAGAGAGTGGACACCCAAGATGAGAGTCATAGTCTTTTATAACCTAATTTCAGAAGTGACATACCATTACTGCAGCCATGTGGTGATCATACAGACCAACCCTAATCCCCTGAGAGAGGGGACTACACAGGGTGGAAATATGAAGATGCAAAGATCATTGAGGACCATCTTGGAGGCTGGCCACCAAACTCCTCGTGATGGATATCATCATTGGTAGTTCTCTAGCTGGCTATCTGTAAGTCTCCAAAGCTACACTTGAACTGTCTAGCATTTAGATTAGTACAGCTAGAGGAGCTAAGTTTGAATTTTTAAAAAATCGGCCAGGCGTGGTGGCTTATGCCTGTAATCCCAGCATGCTGGGAGGCCGAGGCGGGCGGATCACGAGGTCAAGAGATGGAGACCATCCTGGCCAACATGGTAAAACCCCATCTCTACTAAAAATACAAACATTATCTGGGCATGGCGGTGTGCCTGTAGTCCTAGCTACTCAGGAGGCTGAGGCAGGAAATCACTTGAACCCGGGAGGCAGAGAATGCAGTGAGCTGAGATGGCGCCACTGCACTCCAGCCTGGTGATAGAGTGAGACTCCGTCTCGGAAAAAAGAAAAAAAATTCTGGGTATTATTCTTACTAGATATGTGTCAGATTATCAGATCACTTGGTGTTAGGCCTGGTATGTACAACTGAGTTACTAAAAGATTTCATCAAGTAGGTAGCAGATATTTAGGAAGAGTACTTAAAGAAAATGACTTGTTTTTAAATTTTCCTTCTTTATAGGTCCAGGTTTAGTTCACTACAGAGGATAATTTTGTTTGCTTTGCAAGACAGCCAGACTAGAGGTTAAATGTTTTTTTTGACAGTATGTGGTTACAAATCAGTCTTGCCAGTCCTATGTTAATTCGTTATTTCCACTGTCTCCAGACTCTGGTGATAGTGATACAAATTAAGATAATCACATGAATAAATTAGTGGCAATAATTTCTTTGAGTCTTTTTCTTGGCCTTTAAGTTGGTCACTTTGCATTACTTGTATAAATTTCTAATGTAAACAGAGAGCAAATTGTGTGTGTGTGTATGCACATGAGTGAAATCTATAATGAAATCACAGTTTAGAGAAGGAATTATACGTTTAAAGTCTTCAATTTTATGAAAACAATGATTCCACATTTCTTCAAGTGGCTGCCATAGAATGGAAATTGAAATCCCTGGGTGGGAAGTGTGCTAGAAATCATAGTATTCCTTTTCAAAGTATTTTGCATCCCCTTATACATATATTCAGTACTTCATTTCTAACCCCTACACACTAAATCATGCTGTGATTCATAATACTCTGTTATGTTTTAAATTCAAATATTGTTTTTAAAGGGAAATTGCTACTAATGTTGGCTAAGCTGCACGTAATAGTTTAGTAAATGGTTGTAGGTTTGATTCTTCTCATGTCAATCTAAATGTGAACTAACATTATTCAAAATCCTTTTAAGATACTGAATAATTGTTTCAGTTAACTAAATGCTTCATCAAGTAATATCAATTTATGAAGTATGGTTGGGTTTAGGGCATTTATTATTTAAAGAAAAAAGCAATAGGTACATACCTACGTAACAATGTTAATGGATATGTTTTGGGTGCCATGTGTTTGAAGAAAGAGGGATTTTCATATCTTAACAGAACAAGTATAGATCATTGAAAAAATTTAAAAGTAATGTATGATTTAGTTTACTCTTATTTAATTTGTTAAAATATCAGCTTTAATGAGATATAATTTACAGAAATGCACCAATTTTGATGTACATTTTAATGAGTTTTGAAAGTTTTATACATTCATGTAACCTATGGAACATTTCTATCACCCCAGAATGTTTTCTTCTGTTTTTCTTCCAGTCAAATACTACTTCTCGGGTAAAAACTGATCTACTCTCTGTCACTATTGATTAGATTAAACTCTTCTCGTGTTTCATATAAATGCATTCTTATATGTTCTCTTTTTTTTCCCTAATATATTTCACTTAGCATGATTTTTTTTTTTTTTTTTTTTTTTGAGATGGAGTCTTGCTCTGTCGCCTAGGCTGGAGTGCAATGGTGTGATCTTGGCTCACTGCAACCTGTGCCTCCTGGGTTCAAGTGATTCTCCCTGCCTCAGCCTCCTAAGTAGCTGTGATTACAGGTGCCCACAACCACACCCGGCTAATTTTTGTATTTTTAGTAGGGACAGGGTTTCACTATGTTGGCCAGGCTGGTCTCTAACTCCTAACCTCAGGTGATCCACCCGCCTCAGCCTCCCAAATTGTTGGTATTACAGGTGTGAGCCACCGCACCTGGCCAGCATGATGTTTTTGAGATTCATCCATATTGTGGTGTGTATCTGTTGTTCGTTTCTTTATTTTTTTCACTTTTTTTAGAGACAGGGTCTCCCTCTGTTGCCCAGGCTGGAGTGTAGTGGCCTGATCATGGCTCACTGAAACCTGAAAATCCTGGGCTTAAGTGATCCTCCTACCTTAGCCTCCTGGGTTGCTGGGATTACAGACATGTATCATCATGCCTGGCTTTGTTTCCTTTTTATTCCCGAGTAGTATTGCGTTGTATAAATATGGCCACACTTTGGGAGGCTGAGGCGCGGATCACGAGGTCAGGAGTTCAAGACCAGCCTGACCAACATGGTGAAACCCTGTCACTACTAAAAATACAAAAAAAATTAGCTGGGCGTGGTAGTGCACACCTGTAATCCCAGCTACTCAGGAGGCTGAGGCAGGAGAATTGCTTGAATCCGGGAGGCAGAGGTTGCAGTGAGGTGAGATTGCACCACTGCACTCCAGCCTGGGTGAAAGAGGAAGACTCTGTCTCAAAAAATAAAAAATAAAAATGAAAAATAAATATGCCCACAATTCATTTATGTATTCATCTATTGATAGACATTCAGGTTGTTTCCGGTTTTGGGCTGTTTTGCATAAAACTAGTGTGAACATTCATATACAAGTTTTTGTGTGTGTGGACATGTGTTTTTCTTTCTCTTGGGTAAATACCTAGGAGTAGAATTGTTAGATTGTATAAGTGTACATTTAACTTTGTAAGATATTACCAAACTGTTTTCCCAAGTGGTTGTACTATTTTACATTGCCACTAATAATGTATGAGAGTTCCAGTTGCTTCACATTTTTGCTAATGCTTGGTACTGTCAATTATCTTTAACCATTCTGCTAGGTGTGTAGTGTATCTCATTGCGGTTCTATGCAGATTCCTGATGACGATGACGTTGAACATCTTTTCATGTGCTTATTGGTCATTCATATATCTTCATCTGTGAAGTGTATGTCAAATGTTTTGCCCATTTTAAAAATCAGATTGTCTTAATGAGTTGTAGGCCGGGCATTGTGGCTCATGCCTGTAATCCCAGCACTTTGGGAAGCCGAGGCGGGTAGATACCTGAGGTCAGGAATTTGAGACCAGCCTGACCAACATGGCGAAACCCCATCTCTACCAAAAATATAAAAAGTAGTCGGGCATGGTGGCACGTGCCTATAATCCCAAATACTCTGGAGGCTGAGGCGGGAGAATCGATTGAACCTGGGAGGCAGAGGTTGCAGTGAGCCAAGATCGCGCCATTGCACTCTAGCCTGGGCGACAAGAGCGGAACTCTGTCTCAAAAAAAAAAAAAAAAAGAATTGTAAGAGCTTATTATATACTCTGAAGACAAGTCTTTTGTCAGGCATGTACTAAGAGTATTTCCTCCTTTGTGTATCCTGTTTAAAAAAATCTATGAATTTTTTTTTTTATGTGTTCTTCTAGAAGTTTTATAGTTCTGGCTTTTATATTTTTAGTCTATGGTCCATTTTGAGTTAATATATACATATAACATGAGGTAGAAGTTAAGGTTCTTTTGTTGTTGTTTTTGTTGTTGTTGTTTTTCACGTGGGTATTTGGTTGTTTTGGTATCATTGATTGAAAACACTGTCATTTCTCCATTAACTTACTGTTGCACATCCTTTTTGAAAATCATTTACCCAAATACGTGTTAGTCTTTTCTAGAGTCTGTATTCTGTTTCATTGATCCATCTTTTATGCCAATGGCACTACATTGTCATGATTATTATAGCTTCATAGTGAGTCTGGAAATGGGATAATGTAAGTCCTCTGAATTTGTTTTCGTTTTTTCAAAATTGTTTTGTCCATTCTAGGTTCTTGCATTTCCATACAAATTTTAGGCTAAACTTATCAATGTCTGCTAAGAAGTCTACTACAATTTTGATTGGATGGCACTAAATTTGTAGCTGAATTTGGGGAGAATTGACATTTTAACAATATTTGGTCATCCAATCTATAAACCTGATATGGTTGTCTCTTTATGTAGGTATTCCTTAATTTCTCTTAGTAAAGTTTTGTATTTTTCATTTTACAGGTCTTGCCTATATTTTGTTAAATTTATTCCTAAATATTGCATTTTAAAAATAATATTTTAAATAATCTTTTAAACATTTTAATTTCCTGGTTTTTGTTGCTAGAAATCAGTTATTGAAACAAGGAAATATATTTCAAGCTAAATTATTAGAAAAAGCCCTTTTGATTTAAAGTATGTGCTATTTATGAGATCTGAAGAAGCAGGCAAACTAAAACTACTTTTCCAGATTCCGTCGCAGCTAAGGTGCTAAATATGAATTAGGTTGTACCACTTAGATGCACTTAGATGAGATTTGAAATGTGGACCTAAGATGATGCCTTGGCCAGCTCTTTCTGCTGGAAAGCACAGTGATGGACATGTTGAATGTTTCTACAAAAGCATTCCAGTGTTTGGTCATTAGCTTCATGGGTGAAAGTGGAAGGTACGATGGCAGCTTCCTGATCCCTAAATCTCAGGTATGTATTCTTGAACTCAGCAGTTCTAGTGGTGGCCTCCTATTCCCCCATCTGGAAGAGGAAAGAAGGCAGCAGTGAGCCAAAGGATGTTCGCAGCTTCTAGAAGCTTGTAATGGCAAGGAAATAGATTCTCCTCTAGGCCTCTAGAACAGATAGTAATTTGCATACATCTTGATTTTAACCCAATGTTGTTGTTAAAAGACAGTCTCGCTCTGTCACCCAGCCTGGAGTGCAGTGGCACAGTCATCACCGTAACCCTGAACTTCTGGGCTCAAGTAATCTTTCTGCCTTAAACTCCCAGGTAGCTAGGACACAGGCGCATGCTAAAAATGTTATTTTTCCAAGAGGCAGAGGCTGAGGTAGGAGGATCACTTGAGCCCAAGAATTCAAAGCTATTGTGCACAATGATCACACCTGTGAATAGCCACTGCACTCTAGCCTGGGCAATATGGTGAGACCTCCCCTCTTTAAAAAAATTTTTTTTTTCTTCTGTGGTTGCTAATATCTTTTTTAAAGTGCAAAGAGTCGTCTCACAGTCATTAGACACAATAGATGATGTAATGCCATTGTTTCTTTTTTTAGTATTTAGAGCTTTTTGCCATCTGAAAAATACTCATACAAGATTGCTGATCGCCCAAGTTTAGGTGAATACTCAGGAGAGGAAATTACACAATTATTTTAGATAATTATATGTAAAGATTTATTAATTGTGTAAATGTAATGTGAGTTTAATAATAGGATATAGCTTAAATCTCTGGCTTCTATTTGAAAAATTTCTAAGGATCACATCCAGGCATATGAAATAAAAAGGTGACATGTTAATCTGTGTATAATTTGTATATTTCTGCATAATTATATGGTCAAGTCTCAGACTGTTTTCTAATTAATATTTACTGTTGCTTTCATATTGTTTTTATCTTTCTTTAATCTTAGAATCCAACCAATACTTTTCTCTACATTGCTAGAGGGGCAATATATATGTAGAGATAAATAATAAAGTTGACTCTTGAACAATGCAGGGGTTAGGAGTGCTGACTCCTCCCTAATCAAAAATTTGCATATAACTTTTGACTATTAATAAACCTACAGTTGACTTTTTTATTGATGAAAATCCATGTATATGTGGACCTGTGCAGTTCAAACATGTGTTGTTCAAGAGTCAACTATATATATATATATTTTTTTCTCTTCTTTTTGTGAAAACTGTCCAGGAGTCAACTGTGTATAAAACCTGGGAGCAGTGAGGCACCTCCCAGACAATATCTGCATTATTACTAAACCCTAGAAGATAGTGTGGATAATTTGGAGCTAAAATAATTTAATTATATTTTTTAAAATATTTGTTGATAGGTTTGTACCCAGGGCTTTCATTCAAGATAGAGTATCATTTATTTCATAGCCTATATTCCACTAGCAGAAGCTTACTTTTTTTTTTTCCCCCCTTGGGTAATTTTTTTTAATTGTCTAAGGGATTAACTGTCACCTCATTATCTTTGTTAATCACTTTCAGAGCTTTTCGCTATTGTTCATCACAGTAGTCAAGAGGATCACAAAGAAAGTGCTAAATCCTTATTTACAAAGAAAATTGATTCTCAGCTTTGCTTATATCTGCTATATATTTCCTTTGAATATTTGTTAGGGTAGCAATGGTTAAAATTAAATATTTATTGAGAAGTGATTTTTAATGTTGTGGGAAAATATTTTATGTCAGAAAAATATTGAATTTCAAAACCATGGAAAATAGAAAAAAATCATTAAGAGACTTGACTAATGTCTCCTCAGAATGGTTTACAATATTCTGCTATTCATTTACTTTCTTCATGAGCAGTGATCTTGAAAGTTTTGAAGAAAGACTTTTGTCTTTTGTTAAATACTTTGGAATTTTTTTGGCAATGTGAAGAAATTTTATTTACATGTTTGATAAGAACATCCACAGACATCTCTTTTAAAGATAAAAAACTTCAATATGAAAATTGAAGTTATAAACTAAAGATCCTCTCTCAGCTAAGAATTCCTTTTTAGAAATGTATAAATACAATTATCCTTTAATAAATAAACATATCTTCAAATTTTCTCAGTAATGTGTCACTGAAACACATTAAAAGATGACATCGCTACTCACAATAACAGTACAAAATGAAGAAAATAATTGAAACATAGATCAAGGATGTTAAAGATGGGTGAAAAAAATTATCTTGCTTTTTATAACTAAAGTTTGTTTAATATTCATAACAGGCTTATAGAATTCTTAATTGTTCCAGGTAAAATACCTAATTTTCTTTGTTTTGAAAGCATTCTCTTTTTCTTACTAAATCAAAAACAGAGAAAACTTAGGGTACACGAATCAATTATGGTTTTTAGAACAACAATGGATAAGAATGTTTTAAAGATTTAGGAATCTTTTAATCTCTGTGACGTTTCATCATTTCCATTCTGTGTCGAGTTTTTGGTTGCAAAGTAATAGAAACTGATGTTGAATAACTTGAGTAGAAATAAATTCATTGGATATCAAGCAATTCTCAGAGTATATTTTGAAGGCTGGAAAATGGGACTTGGGAAATAAAGAGGAACCAAGGCAGGCTAGGCCCAGGAACCTCTACACAGATCAACCTGCATGATACAGTTTGGATATATGTCCCTGTCAAATCTCACATTGAAATGTAATCCCCAGTGTTGGAGGTGGGGCCTGGTGGGAGGTGTTTGAGTCATGGAGGTGGAGTCCTCATTGCTTGGTGCCGTCCTTGTAATAGTGAGTACTTACAGAATCTGGTTGTTTAAAAGTGTGTAGCTCCTCGCTTGCACTGTCTCATGAGTAAAAGCTCCCTGAGGCCTCACCGGAAGCTGAGCAGATGCTGGTGCAATACTTATACAGCCTGTAGAACTGTGAGCCAATTAAACTTCTTTTCTTTATAAATTACCCAGTCTCAGGTATTTCTTTATAGCAATGCAAGAATGGACTAGCACATTAATGTTGACTAACTTATGTAGAAATAAATTTGCTGAATATTGGGCAATTCTCAGAACCTGGGAAGGCTAGAAAATGGGGCTTGGGAAATACAGAGGGACCCAGCCAGGAACCTCTACACAGATCAACGTGCAGGATCAGTCTTGTTGTATGGATGCTCCTCTCAGACACACATCAGTGCTAGCACTACTGGATTCTTAATGCTACTTCTGCTGTTGCTGCTGCAAATACTTTATCACCTGTATCTGTATTTTGCCTTACTCCCTCAAGATTCAAAGTCCAGAATTGGACTATCCAAATATATTGGTCATTAGTTGGAACATAAATTTCTTTTTTTTTTTTTAATTTTCAAACATCTCAACAGCCAGATGGAGCATAAATTTTATCTTGTAGATCAGTGTTTTACTCTCACAAAGTTTTGTCTCCCAGTTGACACTCTAATGGAGTTTCCAGTTCAGCTTCTCTAAGAGGTGAGCTGCTTTTTGATGAAGAGATACATAGAACCAGTGAATTCTCTGGGTTATCAGCTCATGGCTTTATTTTTATCACTGTAAGGTGAGCTCCTTGTTCAGAATCAACGTGGTATGGTATACCAAATGTCCATTACACCTTCAGTCTCAGATTTTCTTTCTCATCTTCACTCTGTATCTTCCACCTGCAGCAGCAATAAAGGTATCACAAACAATTATTTTTTAGAATTCCTCAAGAGGAATAATATTTGTTCTACTGATCATCCTGGTTTCAGTAGAATTATCCTAGGAGTGAGCAGTAATCATATGCACAGATTCAGACATCAGGACTCTATTTTATTTTATTTTATTTATTTATTTTGAGACAGAGTCTCCCTCTGTCACCCAGGCTGCAGTGCAATGGTGCGATCTCGGCTCACTGCAACCTCTACCTCCTGGGTTCAAGTGATTCTCCTGCCTCAGCCTCCTGAGTAGCTGGGATTACAGTCATGCACCACCACTCCTGTCTAATTTTTGTATTTGTAGTAGAGACGGGGTGTTACCATATTGGCCACACTGGTCTCGAACTCCTGACCTCAAGTGATCCACCTGCCTGCCTTGGCCTCCCGAAGTGCTGGCATTACAGGCATGAGCCATCGCGCTGGGCCAAAACCCTTAACTCAAATAGCACTTCAAGCATCAGTTCTCTGTCTCCTCCCTTTCTGTTTTCCTGTGCTGCAGAGATGCCATCTTATAAATAATTCTGTGAGCCTAGTTATCACAATGAATTGTAATTTTGTTTTGTACATCATCTTCCTCATGGACTATGAACTGCTGGAGAGCAGGAAGTTTTAATTTGTCTTTGTGTTTTCTGCACTTAACACTACATTTGGGACACAGTAATGGCTCAGTTTTTAAAATCAAAGTAAAATATACATACAGTTAAAATAAAATATATTGAAGGCTTTATAATGAAAATCAACAGTCTCCTTTTCTAACCTGTCCTGCTTCTTAGAGGCCAACATTTTTAACTTTTCTAAGTAGTCTTCTGGCAGTTATTTCCATATTTCTTTAAAAATATGTTTATCATGGTATTTCTTGATTCATCAATTTTAGAAAATTTATTGACCACCCGCCAACATTCCTGAGATATGTATGTATGTATGTGGGTGTGTATGTAGCTGTTTTTGTTTTTATGAATAATTAGCATGTATATTATTTGAACTATGCAAATTACATTCATTACAGAGCCAAGTAGTGTTTTGTAATTATATTTTCCATCTTACACAGCTTTCTTTTCTCGTCCTCTTATACTATTTGCTATTATATTTCCTTTCTTATGCCACTTCTATACCTTATATATTATCTAATGTTTCTGTACCGTATGTATTTCTTAATTTTTTTCAAGCCCTCCTGTAGTGGGAGCGGTCGCAGACAAAACCTCTTGGACACCGGTTTTAGGAAGGAATGGGCTTTAGTCAGCTGGGAGCATCGGTAGACGCTCATCTCAAGGTCCAAGCTCCCCAAAGTAAAGATTCCTGTCCCTTTTATGGGCTTACAACTCTAAGGGGTCCATGTGAAAGGGCCGTGATACATTGCGCAAGTGGGGGCTATGTGACTGAGGGCTACATGCATCAGTGATGGGGGCTAGCAGAACAGAACAGAAGGTTTCACAATGTTTCCTCATACAATATCTGGAATCTATAGATAACACAAGCAGTTAGGTCAGGAGTTGATCTTTAACTACCAGGCCTGACGGAATACTTCTCAGCCATAAAAAGGAACGAATTAATGGCATTCACAGCAACCTGGATGAGATTGGAGACTATTATTCTAAGTGAAGCAACTCAGGAATGGAAAACCAAACATCATATGTTCTCACTCATAAGTGGGAGCTAAGCTATGAGGATGCAAAGAATGACACAGTGCACTTTGGGGACTTAGGGGGAAAGGGTGAGACGGGAGTAAGGGATAAAAGACTACAAATTGGGTGCAGTGTATACTGCTCGGGTGATGGGTGTGCCAAAATCTCACAAACCACCACTAAAGAACTTACTCATGTAACCAAACACCACCTGTTCCCCAATAACTTATAGAAATAAAAAAATTAGAAAAAGAACACAGAGTGGAATGGGGACAAAACTGTAAAGTTTTTGGGATATACATGATCTAGAACATGAAACAAAAAAGTACCCGTTTTGATAAATAGATTTCATATCCTCCTGTAATATTCACAATTAGAACACATTCAATATTGTGACTCAAAGTTAAAGAATAAAATGTTGCATATTTTCAAATTGCATGGACTCCTTTAGAGATTCTGAATCAGAATAATAAAATAATTAAAAATAAACATAAAGAATAATGAAAAATAAAGCTATCTAACAATAGTTAATGGCTGGGTTTTTAAATGAATAAAACATTATCTTATCATTATCTTACCAAAAGACAACAATATTTCAAATCTACTTATGAAGACATTAATGATATGACTATCTAGTGTCTACTAACCATTATTATAACAACCATTTTGGTGGAGATTTACTACCTTGTTAGAAGAATATCATGGCTAAAAGAAGAGAAATAGCAATTGCAAGTTATCGTAGAAGTATAAAGACAAGGTCATTATAGACTGATAGTTAATAGAGCAATAGAAAAATGACATTTGATATGAACTGTTTTGATTACAGAAAAGGCTGAGACTCATTTTTACATTCATATATTTATAAGAAAATTCCAGGTTTATAAGATTGATCCTTCAATTATTTTTTTCTTTTTTGTAACATACAATGAGTAATTGATGTTACATTTTTCAAAGGGCAAAAGATTTGTTAAATCAAAAGCCGTATGTATAAGGTAGAGAGTATTTCAGGGAGACCAGTGTATTATCTCTCTGGTTCTATGTAGTATTCTATCTTTTTTTTTTTTTTCCGAGACAGAGTTTCACTCTTGTTGCCCAGGCTGGAGTGCAATAGCATGATCTTGGCTCACTGCAACCTCCACCTCCCGAGTTTAAGCCATTCTCCTGCCTCAGCCTCCCAAGTAGCTGGGATTACATGCATGTGCCACCATATCTGGCTAATTTTTGTATTTTTAGTAGAGAGGTGATTTCACCATGTTGGTCAGGCTGGTCTCGAACTCCTGACCTCAGGTGATCCACCCGCCTTGGCCTCCCAAAGTGCTGGGATTACAGGCGTGAGCCACTGTGCCCAGCCAGGATTGTATCTTTTAAGCAGAAAACTTAATAGCTTTGTTCATGACTTAAAAAAAATACCATGAGAATCATTTTACCAAGTAATTTACTTTATACAAATAATTAGAAATTATGCTATCACTAAAACATAGTTTAAATATTTTTGAAAATAACTTAGTGTTGTCATAAAATAGAATTGGAAAAGGCGGGTAAATCAACATAATTGGTAACTGGCAAAAGTTTCAAGCATTCTGCCTAAGAACTGGAGCAAGACAAGGATGCCCATTCTTACCACTCCTATTCAATTTAGTACTGGAAGTCTTAACCAGAGCAATCAGGCAAGAGAAAGAAAGAAAAGGCATATAGATGGGAAAAAATGAAGTTAAATTGTCTCTCTTCATTGACCATGTGGTTCTGTACCTAGAAAACCCTGAAGATTCTGCTCAAAGACTCCTAGACCTGATAAATGACTTCAGTAAGGTCTCAGGATACAAAAGCAATGTACAAAAATCTGTAGCATTTCTATGTACCAATAACATTCAAGCTGAGAACCAAAACAAGAATGCAGTCCCATTTACAATACACATACCTAGGAATACTTGTAACCAAGGAGGTGAAAAATCTCTATGAGGAGAACTTAAAACACTGCTGAAAGAAATTATAGATGACACAAACAAATGGAAAAACATTCCATGCTCATGTACTGGAAGAATCGATATCATTAAAATGCCCATACTGCCCAAAGCAATTTACAGATTCAATGCTATTTCTATGAAATTACCAATGTCACTTTTCACAGTATTAGAAAAACTATCTAAAATTCATATGGAACCAAAAAAGAGCCCAAGTAGCCAAAGCAAGCCTAAGCAAAAAGAACAAAACCAGAGGCATCACATTACACAATTTTAAACTAAACTACAGGGCTACAGTAACCAAAACAGCATGGAACTGGTACAAAAATAGACACATAGACCAATGGAACAGAATAGAGAATCCTGAAATAAAGCCATATACCTACAACCAACTGATGTTCTACAATGTCAACAATGGGGGAAGGATACCCTATTCAATAAATGGTGCTGGGAAAACTGGTTAACCATATGCAGAAGAATGAAATGACATCTACCTCTGACCATATACAAAAACTAACTTAAGATGGATTAAAGATTTAAATATAAGATCTCGAACCATAAAAATTCTAGTAGAAAACCTAGGAAATACTCTTCTGGACATTGGCCTAGGCAAATAATGTACGACCAAGTCCTCAAAAACAAATGCAACAAAAAAATTGACAATTGGTCCTAATTAGACAAAAGAACTTCTGCACAGCAAAATAAACTATCAACAGATTAAACAGACAACATACAGAATGGGAGAAAATATTTGAAAGCTACACATTTGACAAAAGACTAGTATCCAGAATCTATAAGGAATGTAAACAAATCAACAAGAAAAAAAATGCCATTGAAAAGTGGGCAAAGGACACGAACAGATACTTCTCAAAAGAAGACATCCAAGTGGCCAACAAACATGAAAAAATTCTCAACTTCGTGAATCTAGAGGGATGCACATCGAAAACACAATGAGATACCAAACCTTAGCACCATACAATATACTCATGTCACAAACCACCACAAGTATCCCCTGTATCTTAAAATGTGTATATGTATTTTTTTTTAGCCTTCAAATGTAAATTAACATGGAGCCCAAGAGGCCAAAAAACAGCTGCTACAAAATATACCAGATTTGTATTATATTGAATTTGTGGCCCAAACCAGACCATATATTTTTCTGCTTGGTAAAAATGTGATAGTGAAATGGGAGAGTTCCTTTGACCCCCTCATGGGACTTGCGACAGGGTTGGCTCGTTTGCTCAGCTGCCGTGCCCAAACCCCTTGTGGGAAAGGGAGCATACAGGTGAGGGGGTGCAGTCTCTGGGGTGAATGTCTTTGGGCACTGGCAGGAACAAACCTGCAGCAGCCTCTAGGGGTTGCCCACAACCTCTGGAGCCCCTAAGGGTGTGTGTTACAAACAATGCTCTTTTAGCATTTGCCTTCTACTGTTGGCTAAGTGTTAACCAGCTCAGTGGAGGGTCAGGGTGACAGCTTTTTACACCCTGCCCTCTTGGTACCTAGGTTCTTGTCCAGTGTCCAGGAAGAATCAGATCACACGGACTTGAAGGATGGTGAATGCGGAGATTTCATTGAGTGGTGGAAGTGGCTCTCAGCAGGATGGAGAGTTGGAAATGGGGTGGAGTGAGAAGATAATCTTCCCCTAGAGTTCGGTCGTTCCCAGCCCAACTCCTCTTTGACCATAGTCTCTGATGTTCAGCTGCCTCTTCTCTTCTCGACGTTCAGACACATCTTCTCTTCTTTCCTTCTCTGTTGTGCTGCCCTGCTCCTCTGCCAATGGAGGTTGTGATTTTTATGGGCACATGATAGGAAGTGTGGGGGGCAAAAAGGCAGCACTAGGGTAGGAAAGCGGAGATGTGAAGTTCTCATTTAGGGCCGCAGGTCCAGGCTCGAGGGTGGAACCCTCGCCAGGGACCCCACCCTTTTCTACTCAGTATTTCCCTGCCTCCTGTCCATATCAATAGATGTTGGCAGTTCTTTTAGTTAACATAGTCCAAGGTTTTTCTTGAATTTTTGTATGTTTGTGTATATGTATATTTTATATGTATGTATGTCTGTATGTATGTATATATATCTTCAATTTTCTCAGACTTCATACCACAGCTTAGAGTTATGCAGTCACGTTAACCATAATAACTCAAATTCCACCAGATACAACTCCAAATGCAAGTTTATGATGACTCCATGAGTTTGTAAAACTGTTACAGACTTTCAAGGATCTCAAAGCACGGGCAGAAGGCATTTGTTTCTGGGCAATGTGCTCTGCTTGTTGGAGTGACCCAGCTAAACAGAGCAAGAAGTTATTTTGCCTTTTCCTGCCATTTCTCCATGCATTTGGGGGCTTTAAGAGTGCTTTGAGTCTAAGAAATATATTTGAAATATAGGTTGGAATCATCTTTGTTCCAGTCATGTTGAACTTAAGGCTAAAGTCAAAGAGCCCAACTCTTCTTACAGGGCTCCTTGAGCCCCACCAGTGAAATTGTTTCTTATCTGACCAGCCTAGACATACCAGAATCTCACTTAGACTCAAACTGACATCCCTACCCTACAAGCTGTGAAGCTGACTTTGAAGCAATGTGGAATGTGTTTGCTTTGGTGACTCAGGAGGTTTTATATATATGTGTGTGTGTGTGTGTATGTGTGTGTGTGTGTGTGTGTGTGTGTGTGTATGTCTTATGGATGGTGAATTATACTGTTAATTCAAACTAATATTTCTGGATAATACATATTATATTCCTACTACTGTTTCGGTTTGTTCAATCTGAAATAGCCCTAGCTGGACCTGTATCTCTTTGCTTCTTTCCTGGTCTCTATGTTATCATACTTACTTCAACATCATTTAACATAATGGAGCTACTAATGACTCTTCCAAGGTTTTTGTTGTTGTTGTTTGAGATTGTTACTTTAATGGGACCAAAAGAAGAACGTATAAGACAAAAGAATAAGGTCAGGAGATCGAGACCATCCTGGCTAACAAGGTGAAACCCCGTCTCTACTAAAAATACAAAAAATTAGCCGGGCGCGGTGGCGGGCGCCTGTAGTCCCAGCTACTCGGGAGGCTGAGGCAGGAGAATGGCGTGAACCCGGGAAGCGGAGCTTGCAGTGAGCCGAGATTGCGCCACTGCAGTCCGCAGTCCGGCCTGGGCGACAGAGCGAGACTCCGTCTCAAAAAAAAAAAAAAAAAAAAAAAGACAAAAGAATAAAACCTATCAGAGTCAGGTGCTAATTTACCCATAATTATGTAGGGTCTCATTATATGATCTTGTTAAAGTTTGTGATAGTGATTATATATATGTGTATATATATGTATTGAGACAAAAATCTCTAAATGATAAAAATAATTAGTAATCCAGGACTCTTTATAGAGAAGCTCTCTATAAAGATGAGAGAATTTTGGGGGGAAATTATGACTTCTTGATACTTTCAATGGGCTTTCGGCTATGAATGTTTGAGATTCTCATGGTGCTGCATTAAGTCAAAGTATTCCATGTAAAACAGTGGTACTCTTGGTGGAAGCTAAAGAATAACCTGCCTTGTAGTCTCTGATGTTTCAAAAGAATCTGCCCAAACATATGATCTCCATCAACTGTAAAGTTAGGGCCTGGAATCACACCTTTCATTTTCTTTTTGTCTCCTTTAGCAGCCCTGAAGAGTTTTCACCAAATTGCAAACTGGAGTCAGGTAATAATGTTTGTTTCTGAGCTTTCAGAGGAAGCTGTTTATTTTAGTAGGCAATTTTCATGTGTGATGAAGTGAAATGTTGAGAAGGCAGCCTCTCATCAGTGGACAAACAATGCCTAAGAATTTAGCTAATGGCCCCCCTTCAGTGCAGAGAATAGATGGTAACAATTGGACTTGCATACTAGACCCAGAGCTACTTGTTTGGCTGCTAGGTGTTAATGCAAATTTGTTCTTCAGCTCATTCAACCCTGGGGCTCCCATCCTTTGATTTAATTAAATGTAATTGGTTACATTGCTCCTCCCAGGCCCCCGAGGTGTTTTTGTTTATTGCTTACTCTTTGCAATAAAACTTCAATTCATGGCACAAAATGCTGGATAAATAAGAGTCTTTTTTTCCTGTGTTGGATTTGTTGGGAGATTATTTCTTTCAAATAGTTTGGCTTTACTGTTAAAAGTAAATGACCAGTGAAATAAACTCATTGGGTGGCAAATGTAGCATATCCAGAAGCAAGGAATTAAGTAGGGTAAATTACATGAGATTAGGAAAAGATAGGAAGTTGTAATGTTAAATTAGTAAAGATTTGCAAAAGTACTATAAGAGCTATCAACACTGTAAACAAAGCTTTAATAAGTGAGATTATCATTTTTGTAGCACGTTATTAAAAAGTTACTTTAAAATTTCAGTTATGAAATACTCAATTTATTTTGTAATCATACATAATTCTCTTACAAATATGCAGGTGGCATTGATTCAGGATAAAAGTGAGAATAATATTGATTTAAATTAGGTCAGCACAATTAACCTATTCTTTTTAATGAGAGATATTTTCCCTCTGAAGTAAGTATATATATTTTTTCTACCTGAAGATATTATAAATAACATTTTTTGGTAAACTGATACTTTTTTTTCCCCTTTCAAGTTTTAATCTTAATTTGAGAAGTGGGGTAAATTAACTTTGTATTAACTTCTGAGGAATAACTCAGAAACTTAGGAAAATTGAGAAAATATTATTAGCACTTCCCAATTCAATTTTAAGTACCAAATTGTATAAATGACTTTTTTCCCTTTTTGTTACTGTCAATGGGATAAAATGGCCTCCAGAAGCTGCCATTTATTATAGTGCTAACTGGTTAGTTCCTTTGTTGCTTTCTTCTTTCCCTGGTCTTTATTTTTCCCTTTTTTACTGTAGAGGTAACATCAGTGACATTTTCATTAGTGCAATAGACTTTCTAAATCTTGCTGTGTCACAGGCCTAACTCATATCTCTTCTGATGGAAAAAATGAAAAATCTGTGATAAGAACCTAGGTATTCCCAGTGCAATATGAAGCTTCAGTTTCCCACAATAGGATTGTTTTGCAGAAATTTTTTTCTAGGCTCCTCTCACATTCTATTGTTGAGATACTGGGGTTTTAGGCTTATCATCTTGTGCTGTCGGGTTAGGCCTTTCTTCTGGTGGATGCCCCTGATGAAAACCAAGTGGTAATAGACAACTAGAAAACACTCCCATTGGGAAATGGGGAACTAGTCTAAGATGTTAGCTCAATTGTAAGTGTTCAGAGAAGAAATCAAGTACCCAATTTACTTCCTGGAAATGAGCTGTTAAAAAGGCTGTGCTTCACTTTCAGAGCAAGCTTTGTTCAGCTCCTACCAGCTCAGGTATAGGCAGAAAACCCAACTGTGGTCCTGGGTCCAAAAATCTTGGATGGAAATTACAGGCTTTCTTGACAGCAAGGCCAGGATGATTTAACTTCTTGGCTGGTTTAGTCGCATCTTAAAATAACTCTTGCCCCACATACAGAGAAATAAGAATGTTTAAAATATTATAATGTAGTGGTTACTGAGGGTTTCCTTTGTAAATGAATGTAATGTCATAGACAAAAGGGAGAGAAATGTTCCAGTGGTCTTTTAGATAAAACCAGATACTCCTGTACTTGAGTAATTTTCCTCCCTGCACACGGGTAATAATAAGCCCATTGCCCATCCCCTGACTCTCCTGTGACTCTCCTGAATCCACAGCTTTGATTGGAAACTCTCAACCCCTGACCAGCCTTGGGAGCACTGATTACGAAGGCACCCCACATACTTCCTTCATAAACATTTGGCAGATCAGGAAGTGCTGAAAAGCAATGCCCCTGGGTCTCAGAAGAGAATACTGGTGGGAGAAGAAATAGAACATTTTCCCTCTTGCAGCTGTCAAAGAGTGATTATGTCAAATGGGTTTTCAAGGAGCCACGAAGTAATTACAGGGTAACTTCTTGACATTATTTTCCAATGTTTGACTCAGCAGATGATGATGAATTGATGCATATTATTTTATGGCTCTCTGAAACTTTGTTTGATACTTCAGATAGAGGCAGAGCTAAGTCTTCACTTAGACTAACATAACAAAGTTGCCTTAAATTTTAACATGTTAACTCTTTCTTTGTAATAGATGATTTCCTAAACTAACTGGT